>NC_000011.10:114748182-115051212 GCF_000001405.40 Homo sapiens
AACAATTTTAACCTTACAGAAAATTTGCAGGTATGGTACAAAGCAGTTTATTTTTCCTGAGATGTTTGGGAGTAAATTGCCTATGTGTTGCTCCTTTGTCCCCTAGTACATGCAGTTCCTACTAATAAGGACTTTCTCCTATAAACCAAGACACAACCTGCAACATCAAGAAATTAACATTGATGCATCACTATCATTTAATCTTCAGACACACTCAAATTTTGCCAGATGTCTCAAAAGTGTTGTTTACAGCAAAAGAATTCAATTTGGAATCATGAGTTGCTTTTCACTGTCTTGTCTTCCCAGAGTCCCTCACTCTGGCCCAATTCTCAGTCTTTTCTTGATTTTCATTAGCTTGACACTTTTGAAGACTACAGACCAGTTACTTTTTACTGTGTTTTTCAATTTGCATTTGTTTCATGTTTCCCCTTTATTAGATTCAAGTTGTACATTTTGGCAGGAATATCACATAAGCGATCCTGTGTTCTTCTTGTCACATGCCATTAGATGACACAGATTCCAATTTTTTCACTTTGGTTACTTGAATGAGATGGTATCTGCCATGCTTCTCCACAACAAAGTCATTCTTTTTCCATTTGTATTTAATTAAAGTGCTGTGGGAAGTTACTTTGGAACTACATATATATCCATTATCAAACTTTCAATTTATTTATTGATTAATTTGTGTCAGGAATACATATGGTTTCCATTTTATTCAATGGATTATAATTAGTTGCCATCATTGTTTATTTTGATAATGAAATTGTGCTAGATCTGACCAGTGAGTGCCTCTTCAGATAGGCTTCTATGTCCGTTTGACATACCTTTATCATTCTTTGAGCTATTCCTTGTTTTCTAGGACAAGACATTCCAAATTCATCTTGTAATTTTGTTGCCTCAGCACTGGAATCTACCATTTCTCCAAAGAGTCCTGGTTCCTTTTAGTAAAGCATACGTATTTAGAAGCCATGATCTAGGCACCTGGTATGTGCATTGCTATTTGTGTTATTGTTCCTAGGCTCTATCAGGGGAGAGTTAGGGAATATATGTATGTATGCATATATATTTACATCTAAATTCATTCATGTATATCTAATCCATTATGCATATATACATACACACACATACATTTATGTATATGTATATAATGTATACAGTCAGCCCTCTGTATCAGCAGGGAACTGATTCCAGGACCCATCACACATACCAAAATCCACAGATGTTCAAATCCCTTATATAAAATGGGGTCAGCACTCTATCTGCAGGTTCCACACCTGCAGATTCAAGCAATTTTGGATGGAAAATTTGTACAGTTGGCCTCCCATATCCACCTGCTGATGTGAAGCCCACAGAAAAGGAGGGCCAACTGTACCTATATAATCTCCAAAAGTTCACAAGGATGCACCACAGGGCTCATTCTGGTATTCTCCCTTTTCATTTTTGTAATGCCTTTCTCTGACAATGACAAAACTATCTCTCATTATCCTTATTTCATCAATCCCCAGTACATGACCAACCATTCATTGCTACCATCCCTTCTTCATGTGAACACCCTCTTTGTGTCTAACACTCACACTGGCCGTCACCTCTGTGGGAATGCCCTTTCCACTCTTCTCAGGCTTTGAAACTCACCGTAAACCTCCTTCCACGTGGATGTCTTCTTCACCCTGCTCAAGCTTTGCCACCCTGTGCCTGATTCCCCACCCACCCCATCTGTGTCTTCCACATGAATGTCCTCTGATACCCATGCCTGGCCACCCTCCATGTAGACTCTCTTCTCTCCTTCCTCAGGCTTTGAACATTCGCCAAGATGCTCCCTGCCCTCCTCCAAGAGGACATTCTTCTCACCCACCCAGGCTCAGACCCAAGTGGCCCTCCTAGACAGGTGCTCTCTTAACTCAGCTCAGTTCAATGCCCTCCACTGCACTACTGAGGCTCCCTCCACCTCCGCATCAGGTACAGAGGTCCGTCTTGCTCTGCCTACCTAAAGGTGTTAGAATCAAACTCTTCAATAAGGGAAGGAAAGAGAAGTGAAAGATCTCACAGTTTCTTTGAGACAAATTTATCATATCTGGTATGTTTCTTTCCATTTTTGCTCCCCCAGTTCTCTTGCTCCAGGCTGTCACATGTCTGCGGACAAGTTTTACCCTTAATATCTGCCATGAGTAGTTTTATACAATTGAAAAAGATTTACTGAGCAATATATCCTTGATTTGATCCTTGCCTTTAGGTAATATAATTTGTTGAAAGATTTTATTGGCATCTATCCTGAAATTGCTTTTTGACTCTTAAGTTTTACTATATGGTGTCCAGAAGCAATTGGCTTTTCAATCCTGCAAAGTTCTAATTCTTAAATTTCCCCATTTCCTTTCATTTCTGCTTTCAAACTGGGAAATTCTTCCCTTGGCTTATTTCTTATAGTATCTAGCCAAACATGACAAACATCACTAAACAAACACTCCAACATTATGTTTTCCCCTTGAGTGCCAGCTTCACTTAAATATGATCTACTTCCCAAGTTACATAGGTGACAGTTTTACTAAATATTTGGTTACAATATAACATGAATCACAACCTTTGTAGCCTCTGATATTAGTTGTCTTGCCAATGGCCATCTAACTGTGAAGTCAGTGCCACATATTTGGTTGCTTTTTACACAGACTCCCAACTTTCGGTATGGAAGCCTGTATTAATCAGAGTAGACTAATTATGTTTTGATAGCAAATGATTCAACGTTTCAGTGCCTTAATACAACAAAATTTGATTTCTTGATGGCATTTTATGTCCTACTCTTGTTGTGGGGGTGGGGGGTGTGGAGTGAAGGTCCTGTTTTGCATAGTCACTCAGGGACTCAGGCTGTCAAAGGTCCTGCCATTCTGTATCTATACTATCTGAAATGACCACTCCCTAGTTGCTTCAGCAGGGGATAGAGACCGAAGAAGCATGCATGGGCTTTTTATTGCCTCATATCAAACTTGATATACATTACTTATGGTCACATTTCAATGGCCAGAATTAGCTATGTGGTCCCAGCCAACTGCAAAGGAGCAGAACGTGCAGCTTCTATGTGCCAAAAAGGAGAGAACAAAATATTGGCAAACGGTTGTACTACTTCTACAATACACCATTCGTTGGTTGATTCCAGTGGTGAGTCTCATTCCACCATGTTATTATTTATGAGATGTATTTTACACTAATTCAACAGACATTTAGTGAGTTCCTAATGTGTCCTAGTATTCCTTTAGACACTGAATATATCTATACACAGATATATTAGTTCAGTGATATATCAGTAAACAAAAGTGACAAAACCTACCTACCCTCATTTTTAATGGGCTGGACAGACAAATTTTTAGCTGCTAAGTGCCATTAGGGAAAATTAAAGCAGAAAAGGAGGTTAGGGCTTTCTGGTGGAGGGATGAGATTTAAAAGCTTAAATATTTCAGTCGGGAAAGCCTGCTACAACAGTCATTGTGGCAAGCTGAATAATGACCCCCCAAAATGTCCATATCCTAATCCCTGGAACCTGCAAATATGTGACCTTACTTGGCAAAAGGGACTTTGAATCAGTGACCAAATCTTGGTCACTTGATCATGAGGTGGGGAGATCATCCTAAATTATCCAGGCAGGCCCTATGTAATCATGAGGGTCTTTACAAAATGGCAGGGGGGTTAGAGTCAGAGAAGGCAACGTGATGATGAAAGCGGAGAAAGAAAGAGATTTGAAGATGCCATGATGATGGCTTTGAAGATGGAGAATGGGGCCTGGAGCCAAGAAATATGGGCAGCCTCTAGAATATGGAAAAGACAAGGCAATAGCCCTGCTGACATTTTGACCTCTAGACTTCTGGCCTACAGAACTGTGAGATAATAAATTTGTGCTGTTTTAAGATGCTACGTTTGTGTTAATTTGTTACAAGAACAATAACATTTGAAGGAAGCACTGAGGGAAGTAAGGAAAAGAACCATGTGGATATTTCAGGGAAGAACTTCCTGGGCAGATAGAACAAATATGAAGCCCCTGAGACAGGAGTGTGTTTGTCACATACAAGGAACAGAAAGGAAGCCAGTATGGCTGAAGCCAAATGAAGGAGGAAGAGGCTTCCGGGAGATGAGTTAGAGGCAGTGCACTGTCAGTTCATGCAGCGGTCTGCAGGTCACTACAATGATTTGGTTTTCATTTTGAGTTAGATGGAAGCCATTGGAGGATTTTAAATTGAAAAGCCACCTAAATTGCCTTATATTTAAAAGTAATCACTACTTAGTGATTCCTTTATCACTATCAACAACAGAGAGTAGGAGAGCAAGGGTGGAATCAGGGAGATCATTGAGCAAATATAAATAGTCCATGTGAGAAATGATGATAGCATGGTCCAGGGTGATAAAAGAGGAGGTGCTAAAGGGCAGTCAGGTTCAGGATCTATTCTGAAAATAGATCCTAGGAGACTCACTGATTGGGCATGAGATGTGAATCAAGAATGACTGAGGTTTGGGGCTAGAACAACTAGAGGGACAGAGCTGCCATTGACCAAGACAGGAACGACTGTGGGAGTCTGGCAGTTTCAGAGTTTTAGATATATTAAATTTAAGATGCCTTTTAGATACCCAAGTAGAGATGTCTAGTAACCAATTGGATATACTAGTATGGTGTACAAGAAAGAGGCAAGCTTGGAGGTACACATTTACGAGTATCCAGGATATTTAAAGCCATGATACTGGATAAGAAGACCAAGGAAGACAAAAGAGGTAAGAGAAGAGGTCATAAGACTGAGCCTTGAACACACTAAGATTTGGAGATCGGGGAGATGTGGAATAATTAGCAAAGGAAACTGAGAATTTGCAATGGTGACCAAGAAAGAAAACAAGAGTATGTTGCATAAAAGCCAAATGGATACGTGTTTTAAGGAGGAAGGAGTGTCAAATGCTAGTGAAAGGTGAAGTGGGCTGGGTGAAGTGGCTAGCACCTGTAGTCCCTGCACTTTCAGAGGCCCTTGGGTCTATGAGTTTGAGACCAGCCTAGGCAACATGGTGAAACTCCATCTCTACAAAAAATGCAAAAAGTTAGCTGGGTGTGCTGGCATGCACCTGTAGACCCAGCTACTCGGAAGGCTGACCAGGGAGGATCCCTTGAGCCCAGGAAGTATAGGCTGCAGTGAGTCGTGATTGCTCTACTGCACGTCAGCCTCGGCGACAGAGCAAGACCCTGTCTTAGAAAAAAAAATGAAGTGATATTCAAAATATTTAACAATCAGCATAGTAAAATATTAATGTGAAAGTGTATATATAACAGCCTGAAAGAAATTCTCTTTTATCCTTTAAAAAAGTTATGCTGAATATGTTATAATTCTGTCATGTGACATAGTTGTAGTGTAAATTATTCATCAAATCATTGTAACAAATTCCAAATCATTTATTAATTTTTAGAAATTGTCTATTTGAGGAGGCTCTCACTAGATAAATGATGCTGCTGTCTGAGCCATGCGTAAAGAGAACAAACTCAAACACAGAAAAAGTTCCCTATGAATAGTCATTGGTGACATAGTGTGCCAAATTAAATCGTATTGATCATGGTGCCAAATTCTTTCAGCTTCTATTGAAAAGCATTCACATTAAGAACATTCTATCCTCACCAAATCTTTTAGGCCAGATGTTACTGAGATTTTGCATATTAAAGTACCCTTATTGTCAACTAAATCAAGAAAATCATTTTGGAATATCATACTTAATTGGATGGAATATGATCTTTGGAGTCAAACAAGATGCAAAGTACTGTAGCAGTGAAGGGCATTTGTCCATGTGCCACATTGACTGGGTTTGAATGTTAATTCTGCCATTTAAGTTTTAAATCACTTCTTTGTGCCTCAGTTGTCGTATCTGTAGAAATGAAAATGATAATGATGATTATGGTACTCAAACAAGTTAATATTTGCCGAATAGAGAAAATACTATAATGATTATTCTCATTTTTATTAATGAAATTATTGTTGCTAATTCTTGTGATGGGCAAGTGTTTGGTGGGTTTGGGTGAGCCTGTGCAGTTAGATGGAGGTAAAATTCAACAGTGACCCACACTCTGGGCATCCCTGACCTCAAACTGCCCCCAAGGTCCCCATCCTTTTTTTCCTGACCACCTGTGTTCCCTGCCTCTCCCAGACCCTCTCAGAGGTAAAGTGTCATGGAGGCTATGGTACTGTGCAGCCATGTGAAAGTGACACTATATGGGTACCAGAAGCACCAGGTCACAATTTTAGAGGCTAAATGAGCCCTAGACATCTGCTCGCTTGAATACCAGTGTCATCAGGGGCACTTTCTACAAATGTCTGAGCCTATTAGAGCCAGGATCTAAGGTTGGGTCATGAGAGCCATGGTGGACTGGCTGGCATTCCAGGAGCACAGTGGACACCAGAGAAGCTTTCCAGAAGGCTGTGTTAGAGAAGGTCCCACTCAGAGGTCCTCAGGGCTGTGTGTGGAGGGTAGGCAGGCCCTTGGGCTGGTGGTGGGTATGGCAATGCCAGGGAGTGAGAGCTCCAGGGGGTATAACTGGTACATATGCTGTTGACCAATGGGAATAGAAACTGGCCTTAGTGTCGGAGCAAGGACCTGGAGGCCTTCTGCAATGCCTGGATTAACTCTTTGATTTCTGGATCCTGGGGTAGTAAGAAATGGGTCCCAGGGAATAGCAGTGGTTGGTGGAGGCACTTAGAAGTTTGGAAATGTGTCTATTTGTCAATGATGTGGAAATATTTTAATATTAAACAACCAGCATGGCTACAACAGTGCATATGGCTTGATATTTGCTCCACTGTTAGTTTAAGTAAGTTGCGATCTATGAGATTTTTGCAATGTGGAGGTCATTGATGTTTCAGTGAGGTGATTAAGGTATGAGCCTGACTGAAGGGTTCAGGGGAAAATGCAAGGACAATTGGTAACTCTATCATAGTGTTTTGCTATGAAGAGGAGCAGAAAAATGGGGTTGGAGATTGGAGGATCAAAAGATTTTCCTAAAATAGAATTAACAGCATGTTAGTAAGCTCCTGTGGAGAGATGATGCCTTCATTTATTACCCATAGGCTGTGTGGGGGATGTACTAAGGCCACTCTTATTATTTGCAAGTTTTCTTCCATTTCCACTATGAACTACTTCCTCTGTGAACTACCAGACATCCCTTCCACTGATATTTTTTCTTCTCTTGCTGTAGATGCTATCCTGATTCATTTCTGGATGTTTTTCTTTTTCTGCCTCTATTTTTAGCATAAAGTCTGCTTGATAAATCAATAAGCATCCATGTAGCCTGCATATCCTGGATGTGTGCTCTTCTCTCTGCCAGGAGACCAACACATTAGTATCTTAAACCATAGCTGGGAAAACCACACACCATTCTGTAGTACCAGTTTTGCAGACAGCTTGCTTACTTTATCTATCCATGTATCTATTTATCCATCTTTCTACCTATCAACCCATCTATTAATCTGTCTATCCATCCATTTATCTATCTATCTGTCTGTCTATCTATCCATCTATCTATCCATCTATCTCTGTCTATCTCTTCACCCATCTCTCTCTCTCTCTCTCTCTCTCTCTTTCTCCTATCTTATCTATCTTGTTCTAGAAAGAAATTAAACCACTCTGGCTGACTATGGATTAGATTTCTCTCCTCAAATCCCAACCTTAGTTGAAATGAAGAATACTACCTCCCTGAACCTCAAGTTTCATACTTTTATGACAAGGTATCCTTCTCTAGAGTACTTCTCCATTCTCCACTCCCCACTCCCCTACTCCTTCAGGAATAAGTCAAAATGGTGGGGATGAAAAGAGTGATAAGTCTTAGTGTCCATCACATTCTGGATTCCAGTACATCAGAGACAGGTCCCTCTTGATACCTTACATCCACTGTATAACATTTCTTTCATTTTTTTTCCAATGATAGTTACCTCTTTCTTCCTGGGCCCATTAAGTGGTTTTCTCCTACTCTGTTATGCCTTTGAATTCACTTTATTATTCCATGGAGAATGAGATACTGCTTCTTTTCCAAAGGCCACAGAAGGAGACGATAGAACAGAGAGGTTAAGAGCCAAAACTATTGTATAAGCCAGGCCTGGGCACAGGTCCCAGCCTTGCCATTGATTAGCTCTATGATACATGTTCCCTGAAAAATAGGGAAAAAATTGAACACATTTTATTAAGGTTGTTGTGAGGATCAAATGAAAAAAGGTAAAATTATTAGCTTTTTAAAAACTCCTTGTTTTCATTCTACAATAAAATATTTCTACTTTATTATGAATATCATACTTAATTTTGACATCCTAAAGTGTGATTTCTTCCTATATTTCTAAATCCTTAAGCATAGGTATAATTCCCTCAATGGCCAATAATTTTTCTCCATAAAGAAAGCTTTCTTTATTAATATAATTGATGTCACTATAAAGGTATAACATTCTGAAATGTTTATTTTGTAGTGTCCCTCTCAGAATTCAGTTTTATACAGGGAGATAACACTATCTGCAAAAATGTACATTAAAAAAACCTATACCTTAAAGTAATAATAGGTAGATTACTTGTTTTGTTTCTAGTTTCCATATTCATAAAGTGAAGGGTTAGGTGCAGAGGATCTCTAAGATTCTTTTTAAACATATGCAGCCAACAATGTCAGTTTCAAATTTCCATAAGGAAGGAGATGTAATGGTTGATGACATGAGGCTGAGGTCTTGGTGGGTGTTCACCGCCTACGTTCCTCTTGTTTTCATGGCAGCATTGGATGGATTAACCAATATGTCACTGCAGGATTAGTAGACTTGGCAGACATGATGTTTCTCTCTTCTGTCCACAATAGTCCTTGTTAATTTAGCACAGATCTCTTTCCAGCTGCACTTGATAAAGTCTCAGCGTTCTTCTCAACACTGTATTGCAGCAAGCCATTACCAATCAATTGGTGTTGGCATGCAAATATAAATCAATTTTCTATTCTTGGAATAAAAATATTTGTTACAAAAAATGTATCCTCATAACATACAGGAAGCACTCAGTAGAATTTAGTTTTCTTTTTTATTCCAAGACTATATCAACTAAAGTGAAAAACATCTCCCTCCAGAGCAGATTCTTCCCTTACTAATTATGTATTTGTCCATCCTTTCATACTTACCACTTTCTCCACCGAGAGAGGGCAAGACATTCGTTACCCTAGTCATGTGACATTTGGGTTTTGGTGAGAGGAGCAAAAATTCTGTTTTGGTGACATTTCTACTGGTAACAGAAGCTCTTTCTTCCTGTTTCTTACCTCTTTTTCTCTCAGTGTCCTCTCTTTCTGAAGTTTTCAGAACTTTTATACCGCTTTCTCTCCTCAGAATAAGGAATAATTAAAAATAAAAATGTACAGGATAAAATATTGTTACCCCCATTAGTGAGAGATTTGGAAAGGCCAGCCTTGTTCTATAGCAATAACTTCCTATGATAAGATTTCAGTGAGTGAAACCAAAGGAGAAATATGCAGAAAAGAGCTGCTTTTCTGTTGCATCTCCAGTTGTATTGTTTGGTCTTCATGGGGAAGAGTGGCAAATGGGATACTCATTTTATCTTGAAAAATAGTTGGGGTTCTTAGACTAGAACTCTATGGAAGGTGTCAGAGATGAGATAAAACAAATATTCACATTCAGGAGCAGTGGCATTTAATAAAGTGATTAAGCAGTGACATTAAATGAGTTCTCAGGCCATTTTTAAGTGATTAATGTGGGTGGTTGGAGGCCAGGATTTATTGGGGAGGAAATATAGGGCTGTTTTTATTTATTAAAAATAGCAAGTAATGGTGATAAAAATTTCATGGGAAGTTTTGTTTGATTGCCTTTGGCATTAACTGGAATTGACTATTTTAATAGCCTTTTCCTCCCAGCCTCCACAGGTGTAGAAAGAGTGAATTCTATGGAGAAATGGAAATATTTGTGAGCAGATTCTGGGTTGGTGCTGGAGTTGTTCACAGACACTATGACTTCTTCTCCGTCCACTAACCTGTCCCATTTCCTAGGTGAATTTCACTGACCCAGGAGTATTGTTTCCTCACGCTAGAAGAGTATTGCCTCTAGATAGCATGGAAAGGAGGGACAATGGAGTGGAATGACCCTTTTGGAAAGCAATATTGTATTATCTGGCCTAGCTTCCTACCTAAAGAAGGATTTGCAACTCAGCTTCTCTTCAAATGTTCATTCGCTTCTCCTTTAACATTGGGACTGGGAAATTGGAATATTTACATTTTTCTCGAGCAAAAAGCAGGATACATTCTTTGACAAATATGAGTGAACTCATTGAGATATGTTGATAGACTAGTTTGATCACAGGAGGAGACTGGGATATATGGCGATTTTTCACAAAGAGCAGAGAGCATTTGTCACACCTAAGTTCTAGTCCTAATTCTGTCACTGATGAATGGTCAAGAGCTTGGGCTTTGGAGATCTGGGCTAGAATCAGAGGAGAATCAGAGGAGAAAACTTAATTCAGCACCCTTCACTTGCATAGATTCCTTCTAAGGCTCTGAGAGGGACCCTAGCAGTGTGTGTACATAATCATATAGTTTAGTAAAATATATATTTATGTAATATATTTTCATATTTGTATTTATTTACATATTTATATTTTATATATAATTTATATTTTCTATATATATTTTCTATATACATAAATATATAACACATTTAATATTTTTAAAATATAAACGTATATAAATTTATATATTTTTACTATATGTGTACATATAAAAACGGCAATTAGTAAGACTGAAGGCTCTTTCTACCCCCAATTTTACCCCAATTTCTGTTTTAATCATCCAAAGAAACACATGTGCATGTGCTCACATCCTACACTCACACCCACACTCCACAGCACACACACACGTGCGCAAACACACACGCACATGCGTACACATGCGCACACACACACACTCTCTCTCTGTCTCTTTCTCTCTCTCTCTCCTTTTTAATTGTCAGCTAGGATTCCAGCTGATTGCTCAATTTCACCCACACAGAAGTCTTGGGCTGTTGCCACTCCAGCCAGTTAACCCACGGAGGTCCTCGGAGCCTCCTTTAGGGCTCAGGAGCACAGACTTCAGACCCAGGCCATCTAGGTTTGAAATCTGTCTCTACCACCTTCTACTGTGAGCCCGTGGGGAAGCTGTTTCATGTCTCTGTACCTCAGTCTCTTATCTGTAAAATGGGGATAATAATAATATTCACCTCTGGGGTGTTGTGAAGATGAAATGAATTGACACATAAAAGACACATAAAATAAACCATGGTAAGATTTATTACATCCTTTTAACTAACACCTTGTAAATGCTCATTGAGTGTTAGCTATTATTATTCTCCTTATTGCGTCAGTTTCTGCTGGAGTGTCAGAGATTGTATGTATCTTAAACTTTCTCCCAGTTATGTAGTATTTGTTTAATTAAACTATACGCTATAAAATGAGGAAAATTAGAATACCGAATAAGTTTTTCATAGAGTAAACTGTATTACATTTTAAAATCCTTTAGTCCTTTAGAGATTATGTTCTAATTTTTATATTTTATGTAATTTTGTCAGTGGTAGATAGTAATTTATCTTTAATTGCTTTATTTGTCAATGTACAAAAAAGATCTTGCCTTAAGAAAATTGTTTTTATTAGTTCATGAAATCCAAAATCCTAGGAATCACTGGTCCAGAAGATTTTAATTCTCCTTTCAATTCTCAAGTTCTGTGGACAAAAGTATTTTTCTAAGGGTCACTGCTTCAACAAGGTACTTGGGGTCTGGGGTCTATGCTTAACACAACCTTGCATGCATCTTCTTTTAACACCCTTGATTTTTTTTTTCATGGCGCTTCTAAATGCAGATGGAGAAAGACAACTCAGGCCTTTTTTCTCTGCACTCATTAGCATTGGGTGCTATGGTCTGAAGGTTTGTGTCTCCCTGCACATTCACATATTGAAACCTAATCGTCAATGTGATGGTGTTAGGAGGTGGCACTGTTGGGAGGTGATTTGGTCATGAGGGCAGAGCCCTCATAAATGGGATTAGTGCCCTTATCAAAGAGACCTTAGAGACCTTGCTGGCCTCTTTCACCACCAGAGGACACAGCAAAAGGGAACCATTGTCTATGAGGAACAGGCCTTCACCAGGTAAGAATATGTCGGTGCCCCAATCCTAGACTTCCCAGCTTCCAGAACCGGGAGAAATAAATTTCTGTTGTTTGTAAGCCATCTAGCCTATGATATTTTGTTATAGCCACCTGAATGGATTAAAACTTAGGGTTACAGGTAAAACAACAACAACAGCAAAAACTTATATATGAAGCTGCAGGGATTTTCCGCACTGCTCTGCCCACTGGTGTTAAGAGGGCAAATAAAGGAATTCAGAAGCTCCTTAAGTATTTATCCAAGACAAAGGGAGAGTCTGTGGACAGGGAAGAATCCAAAGTGCCTGTGAACAGCAAGGTGTTCAGTTCCAACAAAGGATTCTTGGCACCAGCACCTTCCTCCTGTCCCTCATATGTGAAAAGAGACTTTTCCCACTCCTTCTCCAAATGTAAAAAGAGAGCTGTTTAATAATCAAGACCATTTTAAGGCCAGGGACAATCAATTAATAACAACTCTTCCCTGAAATTTCAACCCCCCAAACACACATTTTAATCAAAAGAACAGCTTTCCACATCCCTCCTCTAATAGATCCTGGCCTCCATCCACCCACATTAATCACTCCAAGATGGCCTGAGAACTTATTTATTGTCACTGCCTAATCACTTTATTAAATGTCATTGCTTCTGATTATGAAGATGTGTTTTGTTTCTCATCCCCACCCATCTGTCTGAGGGGTCTGATTTGAAGGACACCTATTTTCTTGTCAAGTGCAGTTAGGGACTCCTACGGTGCATTGTCTTTGCATCCACACTAAGATCCCAGATACTTTGAAATGGAATGCATTTCTGCAAATGTGCTTTATTATCACAGAAGTCCTCAGAAAGGAGGCAAACTCAGCTCCTGACACCTACTGCCTTTCCTGCCTTTCTAGGTAGAGGTTGAAAATATGAAAACTAAGCTATTTGCAAACCAACATTTTGGGAAAGCAGGCAATTTTGTGGCCTTTATTAGGAGAGCAGTACGTTCAGCTATGAACTGAAAGAGAAAGCAATCCGTTATTTTCATAACTACCAGAACAAGAACCTACGATGGTGTTTTATTATTTGTCCACTGAGCCTGACATCCAGGGCACCCCACGATTCAGTCTGATGCAGACTTCCCAGCATCACACCCATGACTTCACTAGGGAAGCCTGTGTAAGTTAGAGGCAGGCCCTGGTTGTGATTTTCCAGCATGCTAAATGTCTTCATCCTTGCCCTTTTCCTTGTCCCTAGCCAAGCCTCTTTTTTTTTTTTTTTTTTTTTTTGAGACGGAGTCTCGCTCTGTCGCCCAGGCCGGACTGCGGACGGCAGTGGCGCAATCTCGGCTCACTACAAGCTCCGCCTCCCGGGTTCACGCCATTCTCCTGCCTCAGCCTCCCGAGTAGCTGGGACTACAGGCGCCCGCCACCGCGCCCGGCTAATTTTTTTGTATTTTTAGTAGAGACGGGGTTTCACCTTGTTAGCCAGGATGGTCTCGATCTCCTGACCTCATGATCCACCCGCCTCGGCCTCCCAAAGTGCTGGGATTACAGGCGTGAGCCACCGCGCCCGGCCGCCAAGCCTCTTTATGCTAAACTATTCACTTATTTAACTGAAAACTGATTTATTAAGTTTTTACATGTGCTGAGCTTTGGGGAATGGTAATGCATAAGATAAGGCCCGTGCCTTCAAGGTACTTAAGATCTCATGTGTGAAGACTAACGTGTAAACTCAGAAGTAAATGGACATTCCAGAGGGGGAAATACCTGCTCAGAGGGCATGGTAGCATAAAGGATGGAGTAGCCAGGTCTGTTTGGGGGCTCTGGAGGGAAAGGGCTTATAGAAGAGGTGACTCTTGAGGAAGATGAGCAGGTGCTTTCCAGGTGGATGGGGAGGAGGTTGCATGAGATGGGCCTGGGTTGGGAAGTGGCATGGGGTACCTATGCATGCTTGTCCCGGGGCTTGTCAGTGTAATGTGTGATGTGAGTGTGTATGTGTGTGTGGGAGTGTGCATGCGCAGGTTAGAACATGTTGTGTCTTTCACAGCCTGATATTTAGGAACATCCGTGCACATATCCGAGACAGTCTGTGAGGCAATGAGGCTTATTTAACATTCACTGTGGGACAAATAAGAGAAAATTAAAAGAGCAATTTTAGTAGGGAATAATTGTTTTCCATACACCATAATTACAACTGCTTGTAAATGCTGCTATCATAAACGAATCTGCTGTTTAGAGTTCTCCTAAATTCTCTTGGTAATGAACAGACGCTGAAGGAAAGGGACTTCAGCACTCCAGATGGGGAAGTTGGGCTTGCACTGACCCCTGGCGTCTGCCTTCCGCAGAGGCTTCTCCCTGCTGGCACATGACTAGAGAGCAGGCTGGGAAGATTCCCTGGACACCTTTGAAACAGAAGCCAGTCTTTAAATCTCAGCCTTCTCAGGCCTTCTGAGGTCATTTCCCAATATTTGTTTTCTATGATATTTCTCCTCTGCCTCAACAAATGGCACATTCAGAAGCTGCCAGTCAGAAACCCCACTGTCATTTGAGGTGCTTCCTTCCCTTCCCCTCCATTCTCACACCCCCAAGCCAGTGTCCATCAGTCACTGAGGCCTATTCATCGTGACTTCAACATCTACTGCTTGAAATTAGGACAACGTCATGGCTCTGGGATGCCACACCAGCCTCCTGACTGGTTTTCCTGCTTCAAATTTGTTGTCACTGGGGACATTCTACTTTTAGTTCACTACATTTATTCCTCAACTAGCCTTTGATATGCTGGGATTGCTGTTAATTGCTTCTATTAAGTAGCTTCATAAACTTGTCTGTGTCATATGGGCAATCTTCTATAAAATAAAATTATGGGGCAAGAATAGTGCTTTTCTATCTTTTTACTAGAAAGACTTCTACTATTTGTTCCCTCAGCACCCTGTCCTTTCCCCTTGTTTTGAAAAAATCCCTCTTCTAACAAACTCACTGATTAAAGTAAAATTAATTTTTTGTTCTTTTTTTCATAGAAGATACATTTAACTGCTAATTGGAGTATTTGGTTAGAGGATAACTGCTGTTATCATAAGGAGTTAATATAATTCTAGCCAAAAGCAAAACAAAACACCCTGATGTTTTATCTAGCCTGTGCAGCCTTATCATCAATAAATCTACACTTCCATTAGCTATTTTGAAATACTGAGAATAGCACATGACCTCACATTATAACTTTCAGATCCCCATGATATAAAGGGATCAACTGAAATAAATGATCACAAAAGTCACATCTGGCTCTGAGATTCTAGGTGTCTCAAGCATTCATATCTTAAATTCCCCTTAGCATTTCTAGAGTGAACCTAGCCCATTCCTCTTTAATTGCACCTGGTCCATAAATAAATATTCCATCACCAGTGCCAGCTCTAATTAATTAAAGTTGGGAGGAGTTGACCATGCTACTTGCAAATTGAGCATGTATGTGTAGAGAACTTAGAACAAATTAATTTCACATTGATTTAATGATTGATTATTTAATGCATGGTAATTAAACATTTTTGGTAGGGTATGAAGAGTCTAATTAGCATTACTTTTTACATTGCCAAATCATATTTCTAATTTTTCTTTATCAGTCCATTAACATCTGAAAAGTGTCATTTTTTCGTTTGATGCTATGCACCATTCATCTTGCTTTTCATCATCAACGTCATCATCACCACCATGTCATATTTACCAGTAATCTCAGGGAAAGGTCCCTGCTCTCCAAGCAAGTAGGTCACTTTATACCTAGTAACTCCTGTTTCCTCATGGTGCAAATATAGCTCATTAGAATCAGGCTACTCGAACTCTTCCCACCCTACCTTACTGCTTTCCTTCTTTACATATATGTATCAAATGCATCATGTGATCCTTGCTGAGATCATAAATGGGGGTTTGGGGATAGCTAGATGTAAATTTAAGGACAGTTGGGAATATTTTAATATAGAACTGTATGCAAGATAAAGTTATTGTGTTAATATTAAATTATTTGGGCATGATAGTAGTATTACAGTTCTAAAGGAAAGAGTCTTTGTTCTTAAAGATACATGCTGAAATTCTCAGAGTGAATTGACATGATGTCTGTTACTTACTTTCAAATAGTTTTCTTTAAAAAAAAAAAAAAGGAAAGAGAGGCTTCTGTGTGTGCGCCTCTACATACATTACATAAAGAAAGATAAAGCAAATGTGGCAAAATGTTACCAACTGATGAGTCTGGGTGAGGAGTCTATAGGTGGTCATTACACTAGTTTCTACACTTTTCTGTAGGTTTGAAAGTTTTCAGAACACATGTTGAGAAAAGTATGTTTTGAATCACTTGGATGTTACTCAGTTTTTATTTCATACCTCTTCTTTCCTTAAAACCCCAATCCCTCCCTTCTATACTAACCTCAGGAGGCAACTTTCTCCTTGTATTCAGTCAGGATGGGCTAAGTTATGATGCAATAACAATCTGAAAATATCAGTAACTTAAACCATCAAAAGTTTCTATCTCACTCATGCTACGTGGCCATTTCAGATCAGTGGGAGTTTAAAGCCATCTTTGTGAACATCTAATGTACCTCGTTCTCACCTCATAAAAGCTTTGTGTCTGAGTGGACTTTTTTCCATTATTTTCAAAGAAAGAGGTTTCTTTTCTCTCATTTAAAGATAACTGCTTCACGTGAACTCTGGACCCCTGCTCCTTCTGGGATTTTTCTTCCACAAGGTGTACCTCATTCCTCCATCTTTTACAACTTCAGCCTCCTTCTCTCCATGTGTTCCAATCTCTGTATCTCAGAAAGTCCTATCTTTGATCCTATTATAACTCCTAATTTCCTCTCTTCCTGTTTCCTGGTGAACTCTTTAAGCTGATGGCCTTTGCTAATGTCTCCACCTCTGACATCCCAATCTCATTTTTCATACAAGCTGACATTTGTTTCCAACAAATACAGACATACTTTTTTTATGGCACTTCACTTCATTGCACTTTGCAGATATTGTGTTTTTTACAAAATAAAAATTTGTGTCAATACTGTGTGTAGCAAGTCTACAGGTGCCATTTTTCCAACAGCACGTGCTCACTCCAAGTTTCTGTGTTGATATTTTTCAGCAATGAAGTATTTTTCAACTAAGATACATACATTTCTTAGATATAATGCTGTTGCACATTTAATAGACTACAGTATGGTATAAACATAACTTTTGTATATACTGGGAAACCAAAAAAAAGTGTAAGTTGCTTTATTGTGATTTTTTTGTTTTATTGGGATGGTCTGGAACAAAATCCACAATATCTCTGAGGTATACCTACAACCATTTTAGCTCTCCACTCCATTATCCTTGATCTCTGCAGTATGGCACTATTGATCATTCCCTCACTCTTGATATTCATTCCTACTTTCATCTGTGTATACCTGATTTGGGGGGTTCTCCTCCTATCCTCTGAGATTACACTTTATCTGTCTTCCTTAATGCTTTGTTTCTCTCCTGCCTTCTTACTTGTGAGGATTCTCCAAGGACTTTTCTTTAGTGCTTCTCCTTGGGCCTCTCTGCCCAATTCTTCTGAGAGCTGACTGTCACCTACAGTACATCTCTCCAGCCCTGGCCTTGTCCTTGCTATTTTAACCTCACCATCACCACTGCTTATATGATTTTCCTGTTTGAGTGACTGGCCATCACCTCCAATGAACTCATTCAAACTTAAAATCATCACACTTCCTTTTTCCAAACACTTCATGTTTCTCCCTCAATACACCATGTTTCTTCCAGTTTCCTAGACTGATAGAATCTTATCGGATCTTCTGATATTTTATTCTTCTTCATTCCCCATTTTCATTTCTAATATTCCAAGGCTCTATGATTTTCCCTCAAATGAACCCTTTCCTTGTTCATCTTGCAATGCAGGCTGTTATGAACATAGCTTAGATCACAGAGAGCTCTGACTTGGGCTTTGTACTTCCTGTTCTTGATTCCCTCCAAGCTGCCCTTCCACCTGCTATAAATCAAAACTTCTTCCATGACAATCCCCTATTAGGAACCAGCTGACGGAAGCATCATAGCTAGACTCCCTAGCTTTGAATATAATTTGGCTTCATCCAACTACTCACTGACTCTACATCTACAGCCTTCCAGGTAAGCCATCCTAGTTTAATTCCAGCCTCTTTCTCTAGAAATGCTCTAATTCTTCTATTCTGGCTTTTTTCTTCCTCTTCACTCCTCTCCTTGCTTTATTCCCACACTTTCCCTTTTTCCTTCATTATTTTTCCCCAAGTTTTTCTTCCCTCTCCCTTCTCTGTTCCTTCTTTCCCCTTCATTCTTCTTGTCCTCTTTTCCTCTTTTTTTTCCTGCATTTCTTTAGCCTTTAAGACTTTATTCAGTTCCTACCTTCTCCATGAAAGTGCCTCTCAGTGTTCAGGTTCATGCTGAAGTTTTCCTCATCTCACTGTGACTAGAGTCAGTCTCAAACAGTCTGCTAGTGAATTATTTAATATATGTTATTCTTTTCTTTCCAATTAACTCATGATCTCTTTGAAGTGCTACATGGAAACTACTACAGTGCTGGGCACATGACTTTGGTCAGCAGAAACTTAGGAGTTGATTAGTTGATTTCTCCAAGATCTAATGAAAATTTTTAGTTGTGTTTTTTATTCTCTTACCCCAGGAAGAATTACACCTTGAAATTTCTGAAAAAAAAAATATTTTTTCCTCTTTAATTCCATATGGAGTAATTTGGTCCCAGAAAGAGCAGCTGGTGATATTAAAGTTCCAGGCCAACCCATTCCCTTGGAACATCTACATCTATATTATGACACAGTTAACTTATCCTATACTATAGAAATTGTTACATTGTTTTTATGCCTTTTCATACTTGCCATTCCCATAATTTCCATCTTTGCCTTTATACTTTATGAATAATAGCACTTTATAAATAATAGTGCTTTCATTTACATTAGCTCATTTAATCCCCTGCACAATTATTTTAGGGCTGATGATATCACTAGATTGATATTATCGTTATCCTGCAAAACTGACAGTGGAGCTCAAAGAACTTCCATTGGCTCAAGATCATACAAAAAAGAACTCAATCCTATTTTGTTTTTGTTAAATTGATTCAAAGCCCTTTGCTCCTTCCATCACTTGAAGTCCATTCTGATCCACATGCCCTTTCCCTGGGCTTGCAGTTTCCATTCGCCAAATAATTTATTGCATGGCAGTGTAATCCTTAATTTACAAATATGTCTATCCAATAGCAAAACTGTGAGTTTACTGAGAGTGGAGACCAGATTTTATTTTTTATTTTCAATGAATAGCAAATGACATGTTTAGTGAATGCCTGAATTAAGACATCAGTGAATAAATGAATGGGAGAGGATTATGACTTGTCCTGTCCACCTCATAGAGAACTTAGCACAGACTCCACACAGATGCTATGCTCTCCATGGTACATTGTACATGATTGTAAGAAAATCTAAAACTCCCTTTCTCTTAAATCTCCTTACCTATCCCCTTCTCCAATGTCCTCAAAAGCACACATTCCACTGATGTCTATGATGTAGTGTAGTGGTTACAGCTTAGACAGACTTGGGTTTACATCTTTCTTCTGCTGATTATTAGCTATCTGACGGGCTGTGAATAATCTCCTAAGCTTCAATGTTCTCATCTGTAAAGTGGACATAATAATAGTAAAAAATGATGGAGTGGTGAGAATTCAATGCCATAATTTATTTGAAGTCCCTAGCAAAGAACCTGGAACATTTAAGTCTTTAATCCATCTTGAGTTAATTTTTGTATAAGGTGTAAGGAAGGGGTCCAGTTTCAGTTTTCTGCATATGGCTAGCCAGTTTTCCCAACACCATTTATTAAATAGGGAATCCTTTCCCCATTTCTTGTTTTTGTCAGGTTTGTCAAAGATCCGATGGTTGTAGATATGTGGTGTTATTTCTGAGGCCTCTGTACTGTTCCATTGGTCTATATATCTGTTTTGGTACCAGTACCATGCTGTTTTGGTTACTGTGGCCTTGTAGTATAGTTTGAAGTCAGGTAGCAAGATGCCTCCAGCTTTGTTCTTTTTGTTTAGGATTGTCTTGGCTATACAGCTCTTGTTTGGTTCCATATGAAATTTAAAGTAGTTTTTTTCTAATTCTGTGAAGAAAGTCAATGGTTGCTTGATGGGGATAGCATTGAATCTATAAATTACTTTGGGCAATATGGCCATTTTCACAATATTAATTCTTCCTATCCATGAGCATAGAATGTTTTTCCATTTGTTTGTGTCCTCTCTTATTTCCTTGAGCAGTGGTGTGTGGTTCTCCTTGAAGAGGTTCTTCACATCCCTTGTAAGTTGTATTCCTAGGTATTTTATTCTCTTTGTAGCAATTGTGAATGGGAGTTCACTCATGATTTGGCTCTCTGTCTATTATTGGTGTATAGCAATGCTTGTGATTTTTGCGCAATGATTTTGTATCCTGAGACTTTGCTGAAGTTGCTTATCAGCTTAAGGAGATTTTGGGCTGAGACAATGGGGTTTTCTAAATATACAATCTAAAACCATAAAAACCCTAGAAAAAAATCTAGGCAATACCATTCAGGACATAGGCATGGGCAAAGACTTCATGACTAAAACACCAAAAGCAAGGGCAACAAAAGCCAAAACTGACAAATGGGATCTAATTAAACTAAAGAGCTTCTGCATAGCAAAAGAAACTATCATCAGAGTGAACAGGCAACCTACAGAACGGGAGAAAATTTTTGCAATCTATCCATCTGACAAAAGGCTAATATTCAGAATCTACTAAGAACTTAAACAAATTTGCAAGAAAAAAAAACAACCCCATCAAAAAGTGGATGAAGGATATGAATGGACACTTCTCAAAAGAAGACATTTATGTGACCAACAAACATATGAAAAAAAAAAGCTCATCACCATTGGTCATTAGAGAAATGCAAATCAAAACCACAATGAGATACCATCTCATGCCAGTTAGAATGGCAATCATTAAGAAGTCAGGAAACAACAGATGCTGGAGAGGATGTGGAGAAATAGGAATGCTTTTACACTGTTGGTGGGAATGTAAATTAGTTCAACCATTGTGGAAGACAGTGTGGCAATTCCTCAAGGATCTAGAAACAGAAATACCATTTGACCCAGCAATCCCATTACTGGGTATATACACAAAGGATTATAAATCATTCTACTATAAAGACACATGCACATGTATGTTTATTGCAACACTGTTCACAATAGCAAAGTCTTGGAACCAACCCAAATGCCCATCAATGATAGACTGGATAAAGAAAATATGGCACATATACACCATGGAATACTATGCAGCCATAAAAAAGGATGGGTTCATGTCCTTTGCAAGGACATGGATGAAGCTGTGGAAACCATCATTCTCAGCAAACTAACACAGGAACAGAAATCCAAACACTGCATGTTCTCAATCATAAGTGGGAGTTGAACAAGGAAAACACATGGACACAGGGAGGGGAACATCACCCTCTGGGGCCTGTCGGGTTGGGGGGCTAGGGAAGGGATAACATTAGGAGAAATACCTATGGTAGATGACAGGATGATGGGTGCAGTAAACCACCATGGCACATGTACATCTATGTAACAAACCTGCACGTTCTGCACATGTACCCCAGAACTTAAAGTATAATTTTGAAAAGAAAGACAAAAAGAACCTGGAACATAATAATTTGTTCCATGAAAGTGGACAACTACTTTTCTGTGGAAAGGTGATCAAGGTACTTCAGGACTCACTTGGGCTATAGCATAAGGCTCACTGAGTAGCATGTTTTCAGCTTCAAATCTGCAAAGATCTTTCCTTGGCCAAACTAAAGTAGAAGATGTAGACAGTGATCCAGTCATGTTACCCCTAAACTCTACTTTCCTCTGAATAATTCTGAGAAATGGTGGGTTGAGGTCAGTCTGGTGGTTTTCTTTGAATCTTACACAGATTTGGAACAAGGGGTTAGTTGCCATTTATCTTTGGATAATGGGGCCTTCCTACCCCCTCCCCATCTACCTCTTGCTGCACTGTCTTTCCAGAGTGGATGCAATGCAGTATGTGTGTGGCTATGTGTGTGTGCACACACATGATTGCGTGAGTGTGCATGATGCTTCCTTCCTTAATGGACTGAGCTGCTACCAGGTGTCCAGAGGCAGTAAAATAAAGCATCACTGTTGGGTACTGCTGAAGCGCATTTAGCACATACGTAAATTCATCTCCTGGGGCAGAAAGCCGCATAAATAGAGTTAACATCACATTAATGCTGTTTATCACCAAATGCAGGGCTTTGGATTTAGGGGAAAGATGAGCCATGTCTCCATACAAATTATCTCAGCTTTACCAGATCTCTGGCAAAAGACAGTGCCTGCTTCCTTCATCTCAAAGCAGTGCTCCAACCAGTCTATTTTATAGGCGAGCAAACTGAGGTCTAATGAGGACAAACTACACACAAATCTAGTTTTGAGCAGAGATTGGAGGAGAGCTAGAAAGGGCTGTGGCCAATGTCTTGCACTCATGTTAAATTGGAAAGAGATTGATCTTTGGCATCAGAAAAAAATGATGTAGGATCAAATTGTAACTCTATGGGTGTGTGAACTTGGACAAACTTTATTTTCTCTTCTGTACAATAAGGACCATGATACCTCTCAGGGTAATTTAATTATTCATCCATATTACATATGTTTATTGCAGATATATTATGCACCTGGCTCTGATATTGTAAGAATTAGGTGATATTATAGATGATCATTTGACCAAATGCAGGACATATGGTGGATACTCAATAAATGTTCTCCTTTCCTATCAAGACTTGCAGCACTGACTGACTTTTCTCCAGGAAGAATTCACCTACCCACCTTTGGGAATGGGTCAAATGTGGAGTATTTGCAGACTGACTTCATTCCCTGTATCCCCTCTCCCTCTCCACTCCCAGAAACTTTCCCTCAGGGCTCTTGGAACCAGAATACCGTAGTAACTCTGACAGATGATCTTTGAGGGGAGACAAATGTCTGACACTCCAGGTCCTAAGTGACAGCACAAGGATATTCAAAGTGATCCTGCTCATACTAGATAAAGGCGACTTGTCAAGGGGGACAGGTTGTTTTCAGCATCAGCTCAGGGGAAGCCTGACAAGTGAATAGTTCTACTCATTCTTGGACCAGGCCTGTGGCCTTCCTTAAAGGTGAGAAAGATGCCAGGGTCACAGGGAGACAGAATGGTTTGGACACAGGTCAACTGGGAGGGAGGATCAGCTAAAGGGAAGGATACTTGGGCAGTGGACCCAATTCACTCAGTCCTCGTGAGTGCTCACTCTCACTGCATCCTTTGCGTGTACCTCACCCTTTGCTCTGAGTGCCTTCTCCACTATGGCCCCAAGGATGACCCTCTGTCCTCTCCTATCTCCCTCTCAATGGCATCCATTTCTGACTCTTGTTAGCGCTCTGCTTCTCTTTCCATTGTGGCCTTAGCCATGGCAACGAATGCAGGGAAATATAACAACATAATCCTCTTCACACCATTCAGTCCCCAAAGGTCCTTATTCAGAGTTCTCCATTTATCTGGTCATTAGATCTAATTAAATCCCTCCAAATTAAAGCACTGATGAGTGGCACCACTTTCTCTCACCAATTAAAGTAGAGGAGATTAAAGAATTCCCTTGACACTTGGTCCTTGTGAGGGTGGTAGCAGGGGAAGAGACAGAAACACAGAAGACTGTCCTTTATCTTCGAAGACAGTGTTGATGTAATGTGGGCTCCTGCCATGAAAACGGACGCTTTGTGTGGCTTTTCCAGCTGTGGTCGTAAATGTCCATTAAGTAGTCTCTTGTCCCTTGTAGAAATATTTCTCTTTCCAAAGATAGCGTGAACAGCTTAAACAAAGGATATCTAAGATAAGATAACTAAGTAGAAAACAAAAAGGGAAGTTGGGAATGGAGAAAAAGGGAGTTAACCAATATATTAATCCAAAAGATTAATTAACACATTCGTGGTAATTAGTACAGACTCTGATTGGAGCTTCCTAGTAGCTAAAGCAAAAAAGGAAACTATCCCCTATTCTTAGGGGATTAAAAAAAAAAGTTCTGATTCTAAATCCTGAGAATAACTTCCCATGTGGCACTTCATTTAGGAGACATTGGGTGATAGGCAACGTTTTCAATAATACTGCTTAATATTCAATATCTTACATGTAATATGTGATGTTCTGGGTGTCTAGGGTTTTGGAACAGTGCTAGCTTCTTTGAAGGGTTAATTTGCCCATGTAGGACTCAAATAGTGACCTCAGCTTTATTAGGACACTATTCAGGCCAACCCAGCTCACTGAATCAAGCAGAGAAGAGGGAAACGCCATGGACACCAACACCACATCTGACTCCCCAGCAAGGTCCTTTGGAAGAAGTACCCCTACGTTTTGTCCCTCTGAAAACAGGCCCATCTTTTCTACCCTGCCCCACTGATGTGCTTGGCTCATGGAGACAGTCATCAGACAGAAAGCGGGGTTCAGCACTCTGAGGACAGAGGCAGGCTTCAGGCTCATCCCCTGGAAATCGTCTCAGCATAGTCTGTCTCTCTTCATCAGAGCATTATTGAACCAGACCTTGTTTTCATCCCTTTTCTCCTGGCATTCCAGGATCTTATTTTTGGAGGGCATGCATGAAAATATTCTTTTCAGCCTTCTCTACTACTCAAAGTAGAATACATCCTTGTGTGGTTGAGAGGATTTGAAGGCACTGGGGTATGAAGGCAGAGGAACAGGTGAGATGATCTCAGTGCACTAACCCTGATGTCTGTTCCTTAAGGGGAGCCAGGCTTCCACTCAAACACAGGCCCACAGGGAAGCATGCTCCTACCAAAGAGGATTCTTTAGTGTACAACTTCCTCTGTTCTCATCCTAGGCTCCTTCAATGGACTCCAAGACAGAGCCTTGGGTTCAGTCAGGGGCAAGCCCATGCCCTACACAACCCACTCCCACCCCCCCCCCACCCCATTCTGGGCACTCATAGCTCTTCCTCTGGGTCTCTCCATCTCCAGACCAACTCAAACAGCTGTGTCTTTAAGATGCTTCCAGATAAGAACCCCCCGCCCCTTTGCCCTTGACTCAACAAAGTTTGCATTCAAGATCCTTCTAAAGAATGACCTTCTTTCTTTTCTTGTGTTCCTGTCTGCAATACTTGCCCCCCACTTCTGGGCTTGGCTTCTCACCCCAGGACCCTGGATTTCTCTCTGCACTTTGGACTAGTTCTTTGTTCCTCTTCATGTCATCCACTGGTATGATGGTTAATTTTATGTGTCAGCTTGACTAGGACACAGGGTACCCAGACATTTGACTAAACATTATTTCTGGGTGTGTCTGTGGGATTGTTTACAGATAAGATTAGCATTTGAATCGGGACTGAGTAAAGTAGATTGCCTTCCCCAGTGGGGGTGAGGATTATCCTATCTGTTGAGGGCCTAAGTAGAACAAAAGGTGGAAGAAGGGAGAATTTCTTCTCTCTGCCTGACTGAGTTTAGACATCTCTTGTCTGCTCCTATCCTCAGACTGAAACTTACACCATTCACTCTCCTGATTCTCAGGCCTTTGGGTTTCGTCTGGACTACATCATCAACTTTCCTGGGTCTCCAGCTTAAGACGGCAGATCGCATGACTTCTCAGCCTCCATAATCATGAGAGCTAATTTCCTCACCCATCTCTCTCTCTACGGCCCTCAGTTGGCCTACCAAAGTGAGGCAGGTAATGCCTCTACTGCTCTTGAAACTGCTTCCCGGAAACTGATCAAAACGTGAAGCTCAGCAGTTTCTCTCCTTACTGACCAAACCCTGCAGAAGCCCCAGCACTATTGTACCAGAGCATGTTCCATGTTTCTGAGTTTCAGTCTGGGGCTGTTTGCACGCTGTGGCAGCTGCCACCTGTTCACTATCACTAAGGGCAGAGAGAAGGCACAACATGGAAATGCAGAGAAAAAGAACATTTGTAAAACCTGCCCTTGACTATTGTTACTCCAGGTGTACTCTCCATTTCCATCTAAAGTCCTGCAAAACTTCTTGTTTAGTCCTTCGGACACAGTTGTTTCTTTTCATTGTGATTTCAGTGGAGAATCTGAAAAAGGCCGTTGTGAAGCAAGATGTGAAGGAGGCGGCTGCTAGTCATGATTTTCCTGAACCAAACTGCATACAGCGTATTTGGTTATCCGCCGGGACGGTAACCCTGGCAGCCACTCCTTGTGTGTCCTTCGGAGGAGGGCTCCTTACATTCTCCATGGCTTCATTAATAAACTGGCTGGAGGCTCATTTTGTGTATGAGGACGTAATGAGACTGCGCATGCCGAGTGTTGTGGCGTGGTCCTTGTCCCACTGAAAGGTGCTCCCTGGAGGTCAGCCTCATTTCTCCTTCCCCCTTTCGCCCTTTCCCTTTTTCCTTCCCCATCTCTTGCTTTTTCCCTTCTTGACTCAAGCCCGAGCTCCTGCAAGGCGTGGAGAGAAGCCTGCGCTGCCAGTTGCAGTAGGAGCATCATCTCCAAAGGGGGCGCTCTAACATCAGGAAACAGGCCTTCAGGGACCTTGACTGTGTCTATGAGGACTGTGCGCTGGTACCTATGGCTGGACATTTAAAAAATGGCTTTTCTGAAATCTTTGCCTTGATATGCTATCAATTTTTCCAGATGCCTTTTCAATATCTGTCTACAGAACTGTATGAAATTATAGTAAGTCCTACAGCTGGGGGGATGACGATATGACAGACATCTCTGGCTTGGATGAAAGAAGCTGGCGACATACTTCTGGCAGTGGGTCCGCTCTGGGGGACTGCCAAGCTGCAAGCCTCCCAAATAGGGGACGCTGGGTGCACCTAAGTGGGAAGCTACCTGCACCTCTTGTCGCTGTCTTCCTTCCTCCAGGTCCGCCTTCAGGCAGGAGGCAGATCTAGGCCGTACGCTTTTAGGCAGCACAGGGTGAGAGGCTGGCCAGGGTTTGCCTCCCTCTGCTAGACAGACCCCAGGGCCTTCAAGGTGGGACGAGGAGAGAATAAGGCCCTGAATAGCTTTTGTTAAGCTCTCCTGGACTGGAGAAAGCAGTTGTTAGGGGGGGCAAGAGGACAACACCTTTTCTAGAAATTAGAAACCTCAACTCATCAGCCTGTTGAGTGGTAGGAGGGAGGATCTTGCATCTCCAAAGGGCTCCTGACCACTCATCTCATTCCATTTATTACCTTTCAGGGTGCACAGGGCACAGGGAGCACATTCCACTGAGTTCTTGAGAAAAAGGATATGAGAAAGGTGAATAGCGCCTGGCATGTAGGTGTCCCCCACGTGGGAATGAGTGAGTGAACGCAAGCATCTGAAACAAACTGAAAGCCTCCCTTCCTGTGGGGGTTTTCCCCTCTTTAATTTATACAGATAAAAGGCTTATTTAATAGAGGGCTCTGAAGGCTGGGAAGTTCAAGGTCATGGCCCTGACTTCTGGCCAGGGCTTTTGCACTGCCTCATAACATGGCAAAGAAGGTCAAAGGGTGGTAGATACTTGCTAAGAGGTAAAACTCCAGCAGCCTTCTGGAAGAAAAGAAAAAACAAAAAAACGAAAAAAAAAAACAAAAAAACCCAGCCACTCTCAGGGGAATGAATCTGTTCCTGTGGGAACTAATCCAGTCTGGCCACAGTGAGAATGCAATTCATTACTGCAAGGATGGCACAGTGCCACTCACAAGGCATCAGCTGCTATGACCCAAACACCTCTCCTGTGGGTCTTTATCTCTCTCCATGGGAGGACCTGGGCATTAAAAGGGAGGATCTGCTAGGAGACAGCTTGGGAGGGCCAGAAGTGCTCCTGTGTCTGCAGAGGCCTGGGGAGGATGAGGGTGGCTGCACAGCAGCCTCAGGGATTATGGGGAGTGCTGCATCCTCTGATCCAGCGGCCCCCGTGTCCGGGCACAGGAGAGCCCACGAGGAGCAAGGTCCCAGGCATGTGTTACAACAACCTGCGGGTTGCTATTTAACAGCACTTGTCATCTTGTCCGTTTTGTCCACCTGCCAAGCCTGTTTCCACCGAGCTCTCCAGAGTGGGAGGCTGCTGAGGCTCCCATCTGCGGCTGATAACAGACGGCCTTGCCTTGCGTGAAGCGCAGGAAGTTAAGAAGCTTTTCTTTGCTGTTGTGGAGAGACCTCTGGCTCGAGGCAGTGCTCTCCGAGGGCAGCGGAGATACTGTCAATTACAAGCCTGTCCTTCAAGGCTCGGGGCTGGGCTGCGACAGGCTGTCTGCAGTTGGATGTGTGCGCACATCTGGGAGAAGCCTTCGTGCTGGGAGCCCAGTGGGGTTTGGCACTGGGTGGGCCTGGGTGTTCCCTTTTTCCTTAACTCATTGTAAAGTAATCTGTCAAGATGACATCACCTTAGGGGAAAATTACATCCTATCAAGGTGATCCTGTTTAAGTGGGAGTCTATCTAATATATCTATCATATTAGTATGTCTGCCCCGATTATGCATACCTCTGACACCCTACCCCAGAGATTCCCACACTTGTTTGGTTCAGAGCATTGTTAGTCTATCAGTAGTTTTTCATGGTACCCTCATGACAAAAGAACTAACAGCTGCATTTTTTCAAATAGCTAGGGTCAAACAACTTTATAAGTATTAATGTCCCAATAACTTAATAGCCATTTGAAAACATTATGAACTGAAAGAAAAAACATTTTTATTTTATTCCTAAACAATAATTATGTACGAATGGGCTGTGTGCACCTGTTGGGCACTGCACAACTTCTCAAATGTTGGACACCAACACTTTGTTTCACAATGATTTTTATGAAGGACTTGCTTCTTATCGCAGCAACCACAGAAAACACACCTTCAAAAAGATATGACCTAACAGACAGGAAATCGTGAGATCTAATGTTGAAACTGTAAACTACTTTGAGTTAGTAATTTGCTCAATGTTTAGTGGAAGTTGAGTAGCTTTGTGTCTCTCTTCAAAAATTAACATATACTACAGGAATGTGAGTTCACTATGGTGACCCAGGATACCTTGTTACATGATTTGGGGACTGTAGCCCTACTCTATGCATTTATTGTATATTCTCATGTTTAAGGAAATGGGGTGAACTAGAAGCCTGGTTGGGAGCAAAGAATGAGGAGATAAAAACTGCTGAGCTTAACCTACATCTTAACATTCTCAGGGCACATTCTCAGGTTGTGCTCTTTCCTAGTAAGAGTCATGAAGCTGGAGTCTTTCCTGGGAGTGTTGAAGACAGATTGTATTGGGCAGGATGAGGCATTTCCATGAGTTGGAGGGCTGGGTCCATAGAGTCATGCCTAGTATTTTCTGATCAGTTTTCCTCCAACTATTCGAGATCCATTTTCCTGGCTTCCTTCCTTCCTTCTTCAACAACTGTGTATTGTGGTTCTTCCCGTGTGAGCATAGTACAGTGATGAAAAGCAGGACTCAGGAGCAAGACTGCCATCTGCTACCTGTGTGGCTTTGAGAGTATCTGACCTCTGTGCTTCAAATTCTATATCTGTGAAATGGGTTTAATAAGATGGTGCACCTCATTGGCTTGCTATGTGATTGAAATGATCCAGTGGAGATTAGAACACTGTTTGCCGTGATTCTGAGTGAGCAACTGAGCAAATAACTGTGACAAAACAGACATGGTCTCTGCTTTTACCTGGCTTACAGTCCAGGGGCAAAGAAAAATATCAAACCAGTATTTGGCCACACAGTTAACTGATTACAATTCTGATGTGTGTTTCAAAGAAGTGTAGTATTCTATGGGAGTATGTAATATGAGGATTTAACTTAGATGGAGGCAGGGGAAATGGTGTCTCATAATCCTTCCCAGAGTAAACAATGTTTAAGTCAGGACTCAAAAAAGTTAAATAGGAGTGATTTCAGCTGAGATCTAGTGGGTGAAGCAGGTCTAGAAGAGTGTCCCAAACAGAAGGAACACGATGACAAAGACCTTGACTCTCTGGCTAGTGGTCAAGAACAAGGATGAGAGAGTTAGACAGGGTCAAAATCATGCAGGGTCTTGGTAGTCCTTGCTAAGGAATCTTTAAGTTTTCTTCCCAAGAATGACGAGACAGCATCAGAGGTTTTTGAGCAGAGGAATGGCATGATGTTATGTCTTGTAAAAGGTCATTTTGGCTGTTGGCTGAAGACTAGGCTCCAGTGGGCAAGAAGGAAAATGAAAAGACCAGTGAGGAGCTTATTTGTAAATCCTTTGGGGGAGATGAGAAGTGACTCTGTATGGTGGCAGTAGAGAAGAGGACAGATTTGAGAGATAATTTGGAGGTAGGAGAGATCTGGTGGCTTGACTGTGAAGAGACAAGGGAAACCAGGCAAATGCCCAGGAGTCTCCCCCAGAGCAGCTGGGAGGGAGGAAGGTGACTTGACAGGGTCGGGGTCCCTGGAGGAAGGAGCATGTCCATCAAAGGCACTTGGAGCTGATGATCCCACTCTCCCAAACCACTTCCTGCAAATGCTTCCTAGATAATTGAAATAAAACAGGGTTTCTGTGTTCCCTCCTGAACTATAACCATCTCAGGCCTTCACTTTATTGTGTATAAAGGCTAGTGCATCAGGGATGGAGGAGGAAGACCTCCATTGTGACAAAGAACCCGTTGTGGCTTTAAAGTTCTTAATTGAACCTAGGACATATTTGGAGTAATTAGAAACAAAGTTTATCATTATGCTGGCCACGAGCAGGCCTGTCCACACTCACTGTCAGTTCCTTTCCCCCTCTCTCTGTAGCCATCTTTCTTTCTTGTATTGAAGGAAAAAATGTTTTTGATATTAATTAAGTTACATGGCAATTTCCTCCCCCTAATTAAAGTGGAACCTTTTCACAGGACACTTTGAAGTGTGGCTCTGTGGATATAAGAAACTTTTCTTCCTTCGCCAGAGCTCTGTAGTGTCTCTTCATATTGTTCACTTCAGTCAGAATAAAACTCTTTCTGATAATGAAGGGAAGAGCATTTAACTTTTTCCAGCTATCACACAGTCAAGTCAGCCTGGAGTGGGGTGTGGGGAGAGCCTGCTGGGGCCCTGGCCTGGGGCGGTGTGGGGGGCTTGAGCCGATGCTATGACTCAGGTGCACCTGGGAAGGGGTTGACTGGGGTGGCTGGATGGTGGGCGAGGGAGGCCGAAATGGGAATGGGGTAGTGGGTGCCAGGAGCCACTTGGAGCGGGGAGATCGGAAGAGCCGCAGCATCCCATCCCCGGGTGCCAGCTCAGCTCTGTCAGCAAGTTCTTGCTGTGAGCTTTGATGTTGCGGGGACTTCTGCTCTGATTTCCAAGGGACAGTTTCTGGCTTTGTTTGGGCTCAGAGGACCCCCTGAGATGCCCAGAGATGGGACAGTGACAATGACCTCCAGAGTAAACAGAGAAAGTGAGAAAATGGACTGAGGGTAACAGCAGAAGGAAAAATCAAGACAGGAAGGAGGGCTCAGTCCCTCACCCTGAAAGGACTCGCTCGCTCAGGGAGATATTTGAGACTTTTCACACGCCGGTGATTCCTCCGACTTACTTCCCCTCCCTTCACCTTTTCCTGTCTCGAACCCCTCCAAATTCCCTCGAGGTGAGTGACGAAAAAGAAGGAGTCTTCTCCCCTCCCTGCCCAGAAACCAATTTCTCGTGAAAACACTCCAGGGAGGAAGCAGAGGCCACTGGTTTTTATCTGTGAATCTCACCGCGAGTGTTTTCCCTGTAGATATCGACAGCCAGTAAAATTCATATCACAGACGAAACCAGCAACAACCCCCATGTGTCCACTGCCTCCCCGTCAAGAGGCCACCAGTCCAGAGTGTCAGATGCTTCAATTGGATTATTGCTGTTTCCCAGGCTATCTCAAAGTGTCTCCCAAATAGCTTCAAAGCCACTGACAAAAACAAATGGGAGAGGCCGAGTCTCTTCAGGAGGCACATGAGGGAGGTGGAGATGGACCACAGGTTTCCCTTTCATGGGTCCAGCTTCAGCAGCTGCTGGGCTCCTGTCTTGGGCCAAGGAGGCAGGAGCAGGTCCCCAACAGGAGGCCTCGGCTGCCTGTGTGGCCTGCAAACACCACGAGGATGAGGACAAAGAGGAGGAGCTGTGCCTGCAGGAAATGGGTGCTGATGCTGGGTTGAGGAGAGGCACAGGAAGGGGAGGATGTGGTAGAAGAGTTAGGAAGGTCGTGGGGTTTTCCTGATGTCCTGCAGCTTCCTTTAGTAACTTTAATTCTGCTCCATATTGGTTCAGTGATTCCTGAATGCCAGGCATTAAACAAGGTGGCAGGATGAAGGCAGAGTTCCAGCCCAGCAGGGAAGTGGCCCTCTGTACTGGTAACTCTAGTAGAAGGTGGTTGCATCCTGTAAATGTAAGAGAAGAAAAAAACAACATGCTGTAAGAGGCTCAGGAAGGCAAACTTGATTCTGACTCAGGGCGATCTGATAAAAACCTTATGGAGGTATGATTTCAGCTGCCTGGATTACATTTGGGCAGGTGGAAAGATGGCAAAAGAAGAAGTTCCAGACAGAAGGAGCCACAGAAGAAAGGTGCTGAGGAGTGGCAGTACTAGTGTGTTTGGGTACTTTAGGAAGGTATTGTTTGAGCCTAAGGGCGATCCAGGGGATGTGGCGTTGGGGGAGGAGAGTGATGAGGGGTGAGGCATTGCAGTGAGGGAGTGCAGCGGCGTGAGGCTTGCCTATCAGGCTGAGGAGTGTGGCTTTTCTTTTTTGTATCATGGGAAGCCAGGGGAGACTTACGAGGTATGGAGTGATGGGATTAGTACTATATTTTAGAGAAATAATTCTGTTCCCTTTTGACACATACTCCCTTATCCTTTATCCCTGCCACATGGCTTGCCACTGAGAAGGCTAGGAACATGTAAACACACTTTAATGTGGGGCTTGGGAGAAATTCTGAGCCATGGCACTAGCTTCCCCTACCTCCTGAACCTGGTCTCTACTCATCTGCAGCTTCCCTGTGGGTAAGTTCAGCTAGGCTCCAAGGGAGCAGGGCACAGAAGACAGAATTGCTTTTCCCAAGGACCCTTGGTTAAGTAAGCACCATCCTCATCCCTGGCCATGCTGACTTTGATGAGGGATTATCATGATAAATCCATTAAATATACCAATGCCAAAGGATTTGCAGGAAAAGGGTGATGGGATTTAGACAGGGATGGGATTAATCTGGGAAGGCTTCCTGAAAGAGGTGGCCTTATGTTTGAGATCTCACAGGTAGTGGTAAAATGAGTTGGTGGGAGATAAAAGGGAAAGGCCATCCAGCAAGATGAATCATCAAAGCAGAGGATAGAAAATATGACCAGGGGCAAGGGCACAGTGCATTGGGGAGGAAGGCGAGATGGGAGGGTTGTAACAGGACTTGAAGGTGGAAATGCCAGTCTAGGGGGGCCATGAATTCTGGGTAGTGGAAGTCTGTAGGGTGGTCTATAAATAATGGTCCATGTCAGCCCATTTTTTGGAGCCCTTCCTCCTTCACCTCCACCAGGAGTACAAACAGACTCCCCTTATTTTGTTCCCATGGGGTACAGCTATGCAGGATGGATGACAGTAGACCCTCAACTGGTTCATCTGGAGTAGTCATCAAATCCTCCTGTAATTAGCAAGGGTGGGAAAGGTGCTCTGACCAGGGCAAGTGGCCCTGCTGAACTGAACAGTAGAAATGACATATGTGCAGTCGTCCCTCGGTATCCGTGGTGGATTGGTTCCAGGACCTCCCACAGATATCAAAATCCATGGATGTTTATGTTCTTCTTGTACACTTTAAATCATCTCTAGATTACTTCTAATACCTAATACAATGTAAATGCTATGTAAATAGCTGTTATCCTCTAATGTTTTGGGAATAATGGCAAGAAAAAGTCTGTACAGGTTCAGTATAGACACATTTTAAAAAATATTTTTGATCTGCAATTGGTTGAATCCATGGATACCAAACCCACAGGTACAGAGAGCTGACCGTGTATCTATTCCGCAAGGCAGCTAGGCCCAAGGCCTGAGTGATAACCTGTGCTCTTTCTGTCTTGGCAATGAATCTGTGCTGCCCAGCTGAGAGGCAGGATTGGCTTTTAGATGTGCTGTGAATACTGGGAACTTACTCCAAGGCATGGCTTCATCAGGAAATCTTCTTGGAAAAGGCACCAAACTCCACCTGGAAGAACAGGTAAGTAAATAAGTTGTTTAACAACCATTTTGTGCCTTATGCTTTTATAAAAGCCATCCACATACCATTTAATGTTCACAGAACACTTATGAAGACTCCAGGAGAGATTTTGTTATGCCCACTTTACAGACAAGGAAACTGAAGCTCAGATAAGTAGTTTTTCCCAAATCCCACAGTTCCTAGTTGTAGAGCAAAGACTCAGTCCCTTTTCTTCTGAGGATAAGTCACGTGTATTTTCTGCCACAGACAGGGTCCTAAGGAAGATAAATTTCTCTTCATCAGGACGAGGTATGGTTCTTGAATCCAACACCTGATTCTTATTGCAGAGATTCCTAAGGGCTGGGTCTTTAGCACTGATGAAAGCCAGATTCCAGCCGCCAGCCATAGGAGATACCTGCAGGCGTTCCAGCCAACCCAGAGACCTAGAAAGAAAACCCAAGCATTCTTAACCTTTAAAAAGATCTTAGCCTGTGGACAGATAAATTAACTCCAGGGCTCTGGGGAGATTAAACCTTATTTTATGGTTTGCTTGTTAAAAACGCATAACTCGAAATCTCACCAGAGATTGCAATTAAGATAGCACGGGGCTAAAGCTATATGAGAAGTATTATTTACTCCGGCTCCCTGCAAAGTCCAAAACGACAATGGGCTTTTCCATTTCGTAACCTGCAGTCGATCTGAAGCCACCTGCCTTTGTACCTAAAATGCTTTAGGACACGTGCTTCTCTCCCAGCATAGCTGCTACCACAGTTCTGTTATCCTTTGTGGTTGCCCAAAGTAACCATAAAAACCTAAAGTTAAAACAAAGTTTGCAGGGCGTTAATGTTCAAGAGACACCAAGAACATTTTCTACCATCTGCTTCTCTACTGTTCCCACCTGAGGGGCCCTTTTTCTGTGTTCGCCTTTGAATGCCTGACATGTATGAGCCCCAAATAGCTCCCTAATTTCTAGCAAAGACCCAGGAAAAGCCAGATCACCCCAGAGCCGACTGATCTCACTAAAATATGACCGAAAGAGCCATTACAACCCTTCTCAACCATTGCTATTAGAGATCACACATAGTGACTCAAATTTTTTTCCTCCTCTGGAAGTTCTGTGAAAAGTTGGTTACTTTGTGTGCTCAAAGACAATTAGCAAGAAAGACTGTTTAGATTTTCTTTCTGGGGTCCTCTTTACTCCTTGAGATTAATGGTTTGTTTTTCCATCTTCTGTGTGTATAGAGGAGATGCGTAATGAATTTATGAGCTCCTTTCTTTGAGAAATTTCATCTTAGGCACTGTGGTGTTGTGAGGGTCTTTCTCAAATTCATCTTTTGCACATGGAGTATTTGGTTAGTACTCAGATTCCTGACTCCATTCAAGAGTTGCTCAACCAAGTGATTCTTATAATCAGGTGAATTTGGAGATGCTGGTGTAGTGGAAAGAATGCTCTGCTGGGAGGTGGGAGAACTGGGTTTTAGACTAAACTTTATTAGCTACTAACTGTTTGATCTTTATCTAGCTAGTTGTTAAATGCCTCCTTGTAAAAGGAGAGGGAGCTATGATTAAGTGTGCCAGGCATGTTCTAATTGCTTTGTAAGCATAAACCCTACAAAGTAGCCTCAAGGTCACACAGCTAGTCAGAGGCAGGGCCAAGGTTCAAACAGATTGGCTAGACTCATGAGCCCTGGCTTCTAACTACTATGCTATGCTACCTCTGTAGATAGGTTCTCTCAGCTCCACTGTCCCACAAGTTTCTTGTAGCCAAAGAAAAGACCTCACACATTCTATGAGAAGGAGACCTTCCATTGCAACTTGCTCCATCTCTGTCCTGGGCTAATCCCGCAGCTCCCAAATAACATAAAGACTTTGGACCAGCCCTGCATTTTTTTTTCCTTTCCTGGTCATTATCTGGGGCTGATTTGGCCAAACTTCTAAGTCTGTTGCCTAGCAAGTCCCAGCACATCTGGAGTCCTGCTGTTGTCTCAATTGCACAGCTGTCTGCGGCAAAGATGCAGTCATCAGAAAGCTGCTGCCCAATGGAAATCCAGGGAGCAATCTTTATATGGATCAGCTCTTTATACCTTTGTGTGGATTTCGCGTCTCACTCACAAAGACAACGGAGCAAGCTAGCAGAGTTCATACTGAGATGTGAGTGGCTTTATAACCAGCATGAGGAAGATTTCCACAGAAAAACCTCTTCTTTCCTGGTGACAGACCTGAATTTTTGCTAAGGGGGGAAAAAAAGCTCTCTCTTCGAGAGCATTTGTGTGGACCCAGGTGCTTTGAAATGGAGAAAAGCCAGAAGATTCCTCTGAGGCAAAGAGATACCGCCAAATAGTGCAGGCCCCAAATTTAGGTTTTTGTAGACCTGCACATTAAAAAGTTTCCAAAAGCTTAAGGAGGCAGAGCCAATTTGAAGCTTTTATTTCGTGCAACAGAGTAGAGGATATTGTTTTGGGGGTGGGGAAGATTGAAACCTGCAGTGAAAGTAAATGAAAAACCAAAATCTCTGCTGGAGGTATAGATAAAAACCAGAAAATAAAAAAGGAAGCAAAACTGACCAGTCTTATTTAGCTCCCCAAGGAGAGACGTGCTGCAGAAAAGAAGAAAGTAACAACAGTCTGCCCTGTGATCTCGTATTCTATTAATCAGGCCTCTCCGTAGCTGACACTCTCCCAGACAAAGGCCATTGATGTTCAAAATGGCGACACAGGCACTGTAGGGTCCTGAAGTGGCTTCTGCATGAACAAAGCCCAGTGAAATTACACTCAATGCTGAACTTCAGAATGTCAAACCTGGATGAGACCTTAGAAGTCTTCCAGTCCAACCCCCTCATTTTGCAGTTGAGGAAACTGAGGCCCAGAGGTCATGAGGCTGTTCAATGTAAAACTGGGAATGAGACCCCAAGCTTCTAGATTCTACCTGCTCTTTCCTTGACACCATGCTGACAACTCAAACTCAATTGTTATCATTATCTGAACATGAGTAATCTGAATAATAATAATGGGGTTACTTTTATTTGCCGTGTTATTTGATGGAGTACAGCTCATCAATGGCTCAGTTAATTAATATATTAATTCTATTAGCAGTTTCCTCCCCCTGTCTATGGTGTGTGTCTTTAGCAACACTGTGTTCCAACGTGCTGCTCTGTCTCTATGAAGGCCAAAAAGTGATCCAATGAATTGAGAGGATAATTCCCTCCCTCTCTGGGTATTGTCGCTGGCCTAATTGATTAATTTTACCTCCTTCCCAGTTTAGAAACCTGGACACAACCAGAGCTCTTCACATTAAGCTGTCAGTATTGTCATTCACATTTGTATCAATAATACTGAGCTGTGACAACTTCCCCTAGTTTTAGGCCTAAATCCTATTTTATAATATAAATATCACACTCTAGGCAGGGCACCATAAAGCAATTATTGCACTTCCCAGGTGAGGTGAATTTCTTGGCCTCGACTCTTCAAGGCAGCACCTGAGATGTGTTCTAATCACTCAGAGACACTGGGACAGAAGATTATTATACTATTAGATAGTGTAAAAAAAAGAAGACACCTGTTCAACTGGCAGAGTGCCAAGTCCTTCCCTCCAGAGAGAATAATGAAGGTGGGCCTGCTTGTGAATGTATGTTGTGGTGCTGTAGGAACCTGTAATAAGGGAACCTATGCTAGTTGAGGAGCCCAGGACGGTACTCCTGAATTTGTACTGAGCTTTGCAATGTTCAAACACCCTTTCCCTGCATTGCGGTGCTGATCCCCGCAGCAGCAGTTTGTATTTTTATCTGGAAGGTAGATTATTGGACGATGTCCTCAGTAATGCGTTTTCAAATCTCTCATTGTACAGATGAGGAAACTGAGGATTAGAGAGGAGAAGTAATTGGGTATTCAAAGAGCTGGTATTCAAATTCAGATCTTTCTACCCCCGCCCCCCGCCCCACCCCACATGACTTAATATGGATTATCCCCACACTCCAGCAAATTAGGTCTGGCAAAAATGAGGTTCTGAGTTTCACTCACTGACCGGATATTTGTTTGCTGACCTGACATTTGTTCAATTAATATCAGTAGAATGCCAGTGACATATAAGGCACTGTGTCAGGCTGAGGAGTACAGGTTGCTAAATTACCCTTTAAACTCAAAGAATACTTTTTGGATAATTTTTAAACTTCCATGATTAGGAATTATTGTGGATTCCAGGTGGGCATCCGAAAAATATCTTTTAGGGAGAAAGTGGTAGAAGGGTTCAGAAGAAACACCCATATCATTGTTTCTAGTTTGCCTCATCCTGAGAGGGCTAATGCAGTCTGCCCTTCAACCCACACCTACCCCTCACATCCAGCTGCCCCACACAGACAGCCACAGGTGATCTGTGTTGGGAAGAGCCCCCCCATGCAAGCCCCACGCATGGTTCACAGTACCGTACAGTGGTGCACACATACAGCCTCACACACTGCTTGGCTGGTGCCATTCACCCACATTGCACTCTGGTCCATGACTTCCCTCCTCCAGGTCCCTGGTCTGGTGAGACTGCACTGTGGGAGTGGTGCATATTGCCTGAGAGCCACAAACACCCCAGAACATCTGCCTGTCCCCAGGCTAATGTCCTGCTGCCGCCCGCAGCTCCCTGGCCTCTTCTCCCTGCATACTCAGCAATCACTCCAACCTCTGTGTCACACTTTCCCGGAGCTCCCTCTGACAAGTTTATCAAGTTGAGAGAGGACACTGTCAACAGGCGCACACACACAAAAAAAAAGTGAAAAAGAAAGGGAAAGTGGGGAAAAAAGCTCGGGAGCCTCCCTTGGTGCTGCAAGGACACCTTCCCACCCTCCCAAGCTCATGCAGGCAGGCTGGGAGGGGCATCCTCATTCTTCCCCATCACTTGATTCTTAAGTGAGCCTCCTCCGTGGGTGCCTGGTGCAGTTCCCTCCTCTGTGGCGTGGGGTGGGAACGGGGGAGCATCACGTTTCAGTAGGAGATTGCTTGGTAAGACAATGGCTGAGCTGATAATGCCAGCAAAGTCATGACACAAGGGACCTCTTACAATTCTAAGATCCAATCATCTTTAAAATATTACCGTCTAAGACGGATTTGAGCAGGGGCTATAGCAAACAATTGATCCCAGTATATTTACTGAGAGTGCAGGCACCCTGCTGAAATATTCATCTGGGCTGGGGAGTTGGAGAGAGGAGGGACTGAAAAGCATTAGACTGACCAATTATTTCTAAAAATCCTTTGAAAAAAAGTTTAATTAGGGAAATACAGATGCTACTATGTATGTATCTATCTATCTATCCACCCCTCTGAATCCTAGTCTTTATAAAAATTCCAAGAGTCAGCAAAATAGAAGACTTGCCTCCTTTCTCAAGCCTCTCCTCAACTCTGCCCATCCCTCTGCCCGTGTCCATCCCCCATTTGACTACTGAATATTGTTCATTGGTTGCCTGGGACCTCTTTTCTTTGGGACTCGGCTCTTTCCCGCTTTCTGCATTTCCTCCTGCATCAGTGACTTTCCTGTCACCCCCTGGAGGATCTGCAGCCTCAATCCAGTCTGGAGGGATGTGGTCCAGCCCCAGGACATTCAGAGTAAGGGGCTAGGCTCTTGTATAATAATAAAGACCTTGGAAGTGGGAGGTGAGCTGGAGTATCGAGCAATTTATCCCGCACACATGTCTAACAGAACAACATCAGTCCTCTACCTCCCCCACCCATGGAAGCATCAATAACATCAATAGAGCTGCTGCCCCCAGCATCAGCCTTTCAACACGGCCATGAGAAGAAGGACAAAGAAACAGCCCCTTTTGTGGCAGAGCTGAGCTTATTGCTTGCAGTTAATGGGAGGGTAGAGGAGAGGACCAGCCATGTGGAAGGCTGAGAAATTCCAGTCACTGACAAGCAGGGCCATGGTCAGAGGAGCCAAGTGGAGCCTCAGGCTGGACATGGGCCTGGGACCATTGCAGACACTGCTGGAGGAAGGGCACACGCCTGTGGCCCAAAGGAGCAGCCGAACATCATCTCTGGGGAGACGGCCCCCAGAGAAAATCCTGTTCATATTCCCAGCAAGAAGGACCACCAGTATCTCTCCAGTTAGAGGCATGGGTTTCTTCCTAAAGATATGGATGAGGATACTTGCATTCCCAATTTCATATTTGTTTTGGAGACACTGGCCCACTGGTCCCCGGAAACTGCCATGTGCTGCCTCTCGTGTCCCTCTGACTTTGTTCTTCCCTTTGCCTGGAATGCCTGGCTTTGGGAAAGATGCCTCTGCAGGCTCTGGTTCAGGTCCATTGTCTGTGAAGCTTTGCCTGACCTTCTTTAGGGTGAGCTCTTTATCACCCCTTCTTGTGTTTCCATAGTACATTGTGTGGATTTCTGCATCACGAATCATCATATTAAATTAGAACTTTTCTTGCCTGTCACTTCCTTCGATTGTCATCTCCTTGAGGGCAGGGACCTTCTATTTTTACACCACTGGTTCCTTGTAAAGTGCCTAGCAAGTAGGTGGTGTTCAAAATCATGCCAAATAGACAGAGCAAGGCCTCTCATTTTCCCTCAGTCTTTGCCAATAAGAAATGCTTTCTTCTATGCTAAATCAATTAAGCCATGAATCAACTCTGGGTCAATGAACAAAATATTAACTTGACAGACAGGAAAAATAAGTTCAAAAGATCTATTGTACATCATGGTGACTATGGTTAACAACAATACATTGTATACTTGAAGATTGCTAAGAGAGTAGATTTTAAGTTTTCTTACCACAAAAAATAGCTATGTGAGGTAATGCATATGTTAATTAGCTTGGTTTAGCCATTCCATTTAGTACTCCCTTGGTATACGTATATTGAAATACCATGTTTATACCATAACTATATATAACTTTTTATTTGTCCATTAAAAAGATATATAAAGCACATGTATAAAAATATGAACTCAAACCATATGAAATTAGTAATATTCAACTATTTTACACCTACAAAAATGGTTATTTCCTATGCTTCAACCCACTCTCTAGCATAGACACTACCCTTACAGAGGAAAGGAATAAAAGAAAACCAGCATTTATTGAACACAGCTTTGTACCAGGCACTTTATAAACATCATCTCATTCAGTTTAATCCTCATTTACTGATGGTCCAGGAGATAAAAAATAAACATCAGAGAAACAAAATATTTAAATGCTGAGATGGGTGGTACAATGGGGCAGTGGGATGGGAAAAGAGGGTTAGTTGGCTCAGAAAGGCTTCACATCTGGGGGGCTTCAGTGAACCCTGAAGGGCCGGCCTCTTGAGGCGGCCTTGGTAAAGCCAGGCATCCCTCTCCTTTTTCCCATGACACACTCGCTCCACTTATCTCCATTATTACTCTCCTCACATGACATCCTTGCTATTAATTTACTCATCTGTTTCATTACTCCCCTCTGGGTCAAGCCCTCAAAAGCAGGGGTTGCATCTTGTTCATCTTTGTATTCCTCTGCCCGGAGCCACCTGGCAGGCATGCTGCTGTACTCAAATGTTTGCTGATGGACGAATTCAGAGAAGGCCATGCAGGGAATTCCCTACAATGAACTCAAGGACTTCTCTGAGTCAGATATGCACAAGCTCCTCAACTTCCCCACCAGGGGACTTACGCACTTACAATAAGCCCTGCTGCTCCCTGTGTCAAGATATCTTGCCCCTCGCTGTCTCTGAAGAGCCCCCTCTGGCATTAAAGCTCATCTTGACTCAGGAGTATAGGGCCTAATAGGGCTCAGCTAAGCAATAAGGAGGACAAGACCCCAGAAAGGATTACAATTCCAAACAAGGGTCAATAGACACATTCTCTTTCCATTTCCTGTTTCTCTCTCTGGTTAGCATAGTTCCTAAATAAACCCTAATGTCAGACCCTACAGTTGTCCTTCTGTAAGAAGCCAAAGGTACATTTGGGAAGACGCACACTATACTCATAATAACAGCTATCATTTACTTAGCACTCTAAGATAGGTATTTCATCCCCATTTTATAGAAGGAGAAGTTACACACCTTGCTGAAGATTACAAGCTACAATTCCAGGTGCCTCTGATTCTAAAACTCATACTCCCAATCACGAGGTTTTATCAGCACAAAACCCAGATTTTCGCTATCCCCAATTTCCCAGAATGTCTGGAATTTGACATGTCTGTCCATAGTCTCTGGTGGCCTGAGCAGCAGTCAGGGCCAGAAGTGCACCCAGGAGTCCTCCCTGCTCCTCAACCATGGGGACAAGTCAGGCAGACATTTTAGCAATCTTGGTCCTGCACCAAGCCCAGCTTTGTGCCAGGTCTCGAAGCTTTTCATTCATCATCCTCTATGAGGAATTAAATCATTGGGGTTGATTTATGAAAAAAGGAAGGAGCCTTTGCCAACAGAACCCATGCTGCTCCCTATGTCATGATATCTTCCCCCTCCCTGTCCCTGAAGAGTCCCCCAGGGATTAAAACTCATCTTGAATCTTAGACACCAACTCATTGTAGATTTAAGCACATGCCCTCCTGACCTCTAGGATTGGGTGTTTTTTTTTTTCCTCTTAATCTTTAAGGAGGCGTATCTCCAAGGGGAAGGCAGAGAGAGTTTCACAAAGAGGAGATGGAGGTGGCAGAGAGAACAAACCCTGCATATGCTAAGAGCTCTATTCCACAATTTGAGTGACAGCGAAGACACCTCTTGTCAAATTACTGCTTCAGTCAAACACAGCTAACTCTCACCAAAGTTGACAACAGAATGATTCCGTTTGAAAAAAAAAAAAAGGGTGAGAGAAGGGTGGAATTGAACCTTGGGCTATTAACAGGGTTCCCATGTGTTCTTACAGACTCTTTAAAATGCTTTGCTGTTGGTGGTTGTGGAAGATAAAGGTCCATGTTCTGTATATGCCCAAACTATTCTTTTAGTTGAAATAAGACCCCTCTGGGGAAGCTGCCATGAGGAAGCCGGGCCACCCAGGAGTTATGGAAAGCCAGTAGAAGTGGTATTCCACCACAGTTGTCTCCTGGCCCCTTACCTAGTCACAGGGTGCGTACAGAGATCTCTGTGCCTCTGGACTGGTAGTTGTAATTCAGGCAGAATAGCAGGTCATGCCCTTTCAAGATATCAGTGCTGATATGGCAGTGGAGAAACAAAAGCAGAGATTGAGTCAAGATCAGACCCTGGGGAGAGGAAGCACGTTACCAAAGCTAGTATGAATGAAAGAATGGATAAGGTAGGGTGAAAGTAAAATTGAAGCAAAGATGGGAACAGCAGATGAGTTGCCACCAAGGGTGAACTGGAGAAACAGCAGTGGGAGAAGAAATTCACACTTGGTGCCAGCAGCCTGGGATGAAGAAGTAAAGATGTCAGGCGCGGTGGCTCACGCCTGTAATCCCAGCACTTTGGGAGGCCGAGGCGGGCGGATCACGAGGTCAGGAGATCGAGACCATCTGGCTAACACGGTGAAACCCTGTCTCTACTAAACAAAATACAAAAAATTAGCCGGGCATGGTGGTGGGCGCCTGTAGTCACAGCTACTCGGGAGGCTGAGGCAGGAGAATGTCATGAACCCGGGAGGCGGAGCTTGCAGTGAGCCGAGATCGCACCACTGCACTCCAGGCTGGGCGACTGAGTGAGACTCCGTCTCAAAAAAAAGAAAAAAAGAAATAACTAAGATACGTGCTGAGCAGCTCCATATGCAGGTACAGGATTGGGATATAATGGCTTTGTAAAGTTCCATGGGCCCCCTCCCCATAGGGGTGCCTTTGGCAGATTTAAAAAGGGGTACTCAGAGCCCCGTTCCACCAGGGAATGTGTCATTCAGCCCTTGGTGAAGCAGTTCTTGCCCCGTATTAAAATTTTTATCATAATGATTGCTGATGACTCCATCAGAGCTGTCTCCTTGGGTTTTACATTTGGCCTCCTGCAAACTCTTATTTCTATATGCCCTTTAATCTGTGTCTTACTAGTCTGGACTCTGACCCCCCATCTATTCCTGACTTTACATTTTTGACTTGGTAAACTTAATTTCTAATTTCCTGCCTGTATTTATCTTTTAATAACTCTCTGCTCCCAGCTACAAATCAGCTCTTCTAGATCTAGTGTCTTTCTGGTGATTCTTCTCTTACTGCTGCTCTGGGGCCAAAATGATCACTGTAATCCTCAAGGGAAGTAGAAGCCATGTGATACCAGCCATCCACAGATGATATACCATTTCTATAAATCCAAGTTCACCAGTAAGTACTCATTATCTTACAATTATAGACAGTTGGATTTGGGAGAGGCTTCAAAAACATCTAACTTGATGCTTCCCCCATTTGGTGTGCAAATCCTCTTATATCAATTATTTCAAAATAACAAGAGCTGCCATTAATTGATTCTGCTAAACACTTTACGTATGTTATCTCATTTAGTCCTGACATCAGTTCTGTGAGGTAGATATTATTATTCTCATTTTATAGCTTAGAAAACAAAGTCTATGCTCTAACCACTACCCTGCATTGACACCACTTACTATTGGTTCTAAAGCTTCTGCTTGAATGTCTGCGGTAAAAAGGAACTTACAACCTCTTAGCATATCCTGCTTCACCTTTGCACAGCTGTGATTTTAAAAAGCACCTCTTTATGTTGAGCTGAAAACCCTCTTATAATTTTTATCCATTGCCCTGGTTTTACACACTAGTGATACAGAACAGGTCCACATCCATCCATCACATGACAGTTCTCTAAATACCACATCATGCATGTTTCTCTTGAAATTTGCAAAACATCTCTAAGTTCAATTTTTCCTCCTATGTCTGCTTTAGACGATAGCTGATTGCTTCAATTTTCCTTCAGTTGTGGTACCTTGGATAGGGCCCCAATCATTGTATTGTAAATGCAAATTATATTTTCTACTCTATTTTCTGTGTTACTACCACTTTTTTTTTCTCTCCCAGGCAAAATTTCACAGACTAAACAAAAGACATAGAAGACAAGGCCCTTGTCCACAAGTTAAAAATCTGTCATTTTCTTGGGTAAGAAAACAGTAAGGCAGTATATTTAGTAAGCTATTTATTGTTTGGAACTGACTGTAGATATGATAGAAAACCCAGCGAGAGGGAGGGTTGTCTGGAGCCATCAGGGAAGGCTTTGTGAAAGGCTTGTGGCTTAACCTGGCCTTCTGCGATGGGAAGCTTTGGGAAGAGCAGAGCAGAGAAGATTGGGTAGTAAACTGCAGGGATAAATTGCAGGTTGCATGTTGAAGGTAAAGCACAGACTGTCTTTGTATGGGTTGGGGAAATGAGGAGCGAAAGGCCAGATGGTGATGAGCATGGAGATGGGGAAATTTTGAAGAGAGAACTGAAGGATATATACATATGTGAACACAGAATCACTGAAAGAGAAGGATGTTATTTTAAGAGAATTTCGTTCAGCTCAGCCTTTCATATATCTCACCTTCACAGACCCAATATTTCTCTGCAGGGCACCTATGCTAATTTCTATCACCATTGCAATTTACTGTCTCTTTCAATCAGAATCGGTTTCTTTGGCTTTACCTTTGCCTGAATCCCACTTTACCTGGCAAGTGCTATAGTCCTACACATAGTCTCATCATTTCCTGTTGGGATTATTGCTCTGAGATACCTGCCTGTCTCCTGCCTCAGCTCCTTCCCGTGATCCCCCCATACATGTGCCAGACAAAGCACAAATCTAATTTAGCACTTCCTGCTGAGTCTCTCCCGTCGGCTCTCCATCATCTTCAGAACAAAGTTCACACTTCCTGTCCACTTCCCCAGCCTCATTTCCAGCCACTTCTCCTGTGAACTCTATGCTCAGCAGTTACCAAAAACTTTTCAGTTGCTTCATCAGACCATATTCTCTTTCACTTCTTGGCTCTCATTCTAGATGAAGCACCCTTCCCCCTGCTTGTTCATATTGCAATAATATTTTTCAAGATTCAGCTTAGTGTGGCCTCTGGGGACATTTAGTTGGCCCAATCATGATGAATTAGGTGCCCCTTCACTTCCAGATCATCTTGTGGCATGTCCTGAGTGCTCAGTATACTGGGTGTGAATGTGTACCTACCACACCAGGCAAGAAGCAATAGAAACCAACTAGACTATCTTATCTTTATTGCAAAGCTATCAGACTTGCAGAATCCAAGCTGGAGAACCAGGCTTGAAAAATAAACAGGTATCAGATGAAACATAGAAGTTTGGCTGCAGGGACCACAGTAAAGGCTGTGCTGTAGGTGCAATCTGTCTGTTCTGTATGCAGCTACTACTGCAGGGAGGAATTTGACCTCCAAATGTTCCTATCATAGAATAGGAAATTCCCACTCATGGGGAATCTTTAAATTAGGGGATCTTTGTGTTCTATTCTTCCCAAGTCTTCTGCCTTCTTAGTTTACATAATCATAGTCTTCCTTCAGGCAAGGGGATGGATGAATTGCACCCCCGCCCCCCCCAACCCCATCCTGAGGAGTAACTCATTCTCAGCTGTGAACCATGAAAGCTCAGGAGGCAAATTAACTGCTTTGGAACTATCCTTCCAACTCACAGAATAGTTCAGAGAAAGCTCAATGGGAACCTGTCAGAGTAAACAACAAGATGATGCCTAAAAAACAATTTCCAGCATTTTGTGGCTAATAATAATTGCTAACTTAAGTGTTCTGAAGCTTTAATTGGGTAGGTCTGTAATCAATGGTAGTTTTTGCCCTAAGGTAGGAGAAGGCTGAGTGACAGAGATAAATAGCACGCCTCTGTATATTGACAATCCTGGGAGGTGAAGGAAGCAAGAGAAAGCCTTCCCAGTTTGCAAGTGGTTGGAGAAGGGATGTGAAGGAAGGCTGGATCTAGACTTTGCAGATGAGCACAGGGAAAGACTCTAGGAATTTCAGAGATGGGATTCATTTTTCAGTAGGGATTGGCTACCCTCCTGCATTCAGCTTCCCTATTCCTCAACTGGTTTCCCAGTCAGCTCTCCAAGGCTTGGCTCAAAACAGATCTCTTTCAGGGTTATGGGGTTTCAACTTTCCAAAATAATCCTAACACAATAGGATCCTGCCTATACAACTTCATTTGGTCCTTGAATGCATGATACCCAGTTTCCAACTTTGGATTAACTCTTTATTCATCTCTCCCCGTCTGTTTAGTCCCTGTTGCCCATCCTTGCTTTGGTATTCTGATAATAGCATTCACATCCTGGAGAGACTCCACCCTGCCAGGACATGAGTTCATGTCCACTCATCAGTTGGCATTCAACACAACCCCTGAGGGAAACCACTCTTTTCCAGTTAGGATGGTGCCCTTGCTGGCAAATTGTTCTATCTATCTCTGGCCACCATGCACCTGTGCATGTCTTACATTCAACTTAGGGTGAAAGACTGCAATGATAGCACCTAAGTCTGCTCAGCCAGCCTAGGACCAAACCCTGGAATTCACTAATGAATTTTCAAAAGGGGCTAAGGCCATAACTTCTCCCCAGGGATAGGTTCACCGTGGGTAGAGGAGGAAGTTGCTTATATGGTATGATTTGCCTGGTACCAGGTAGATCCACCCTATCCCAAAACAGCTCTCTCACACTCCTATTCAGTACCTAGAATTCCCCTATCAGCCATGGGAAACTGTGGTGTTGTAGGAGAAAGGACATAGGACTTGGATTTAAAAGATACACCATCTTTGATGCCTTGTTCTGTCCAATCTGTTTGCTGGGCAGATTCTCAAGCTTTCTGAGCCCCAGTTTATTGTAGGAAGCAAATAAAAATAACATAAAAGCTTTTTGCATTTAAAAAATTTATTTTAGATTCAGGGTATACATGTAGAGATTTGTTACACTGATATATTGCATAATGATGGGGTCTGGGCTTGTAGTATAAATCTTAAAGCTCTGTTCGCATATTAATTATTGTTGCTCTTTATTCAGTCCTTGAAGAATTTTTTATTTTCCAAAACCAAGTTTTAATTTCAAATATCCATGGGAGGAGTAAACTTTTATGTATATTATTATAGCTAAAACCTTGGAGCTTAGAAACTGAAAATAAGTATCAGAGAAAGACCTAGAGTGATACCCTTAGACACATGTAGAAGCTACTGAGATAAAGTGGTTAACTGTTTCCTCTGAAATTCAAAAAAAAATCTCTTGCAACCCCCTTTCTGTGTCCAATATGTAATAATAGTAAACCAAAGGCATAGTGAATCACCCACTTGAATACAATTTCTGTTGATTTACTTATCTAGCAAATATCCCACAAGAACCTAATGAGTGCCAGGCTTTCTGCTGCTTTCTGGGAATGTAAAGATGAACACATTCCTGGTCCCTGCCTTCACAGACCAAACAGTCTATAGGCAGAAACAGACATGTAACTAACCAATCCCAACATAGAGTGATGAGTGCTCAGATGAGCAAAGTGCTGTGTGAGATGTGTACCATTGGAATTGCTGGAGGAAGGCTAAGAGCTGTTGAGCAGGTTAGGCAGAGCACTGGTGGGAAAGGAGTTAAAGTTTTCCAGGCAGATGGAAAAGTATGGTGAGTCTGCAGGGGACTGAAATATGATTTGTTTGGAAAATTTTAAAAAGTTCAGTATAGATGAAGCACAGAAAGCTGGAGATGTAAACGGAATCTGTGTTAATAGGGATCCGTGTGCCACAATAAGAAAGTTGGCCTTTAGGCAGGAAGCAATGGGTCATGGAAAGGTTTCCTGTAGGAGACTGGTATTCAGTATCGCATGACTCACGGTGTATTAAAATAAATCTTGATGTGACTGATCTCCCTCCTCACCCAACTAGGCTATGGGTTCCATGGGAGCTGGATAATGTCACATTAATCACTATATCCCAAGTGCCTAGCATACAGCAGACAGTGTCCCTCCTCTTAACTTCCTGGAACTGCTCTTGAAATAAACTGACATGAAATTAGAAAGGTGAAACGAGAGTTTAGTGGAAACCAGGAGGTGGCCTACCGTGTCTCTTTTAGCTGACACCCCACCTTCTTCTATTTTCTCTCCTTCTGGGCCCACAGCCCAGCAGAACAGCCTCAGACTTCTCAAGGAGATGCTTAAATAAGGGTTAGTAAGGTAGCTTCCGCCAGGTCACGAGGTCCTCAGTTCACAGCAGGCATTTTGGCACCCCTCCCTCCTGTATTTATGGCACGTGGAGCTCCTCAGGCTCAGCACCCTTTCCCTCCAAGCACACACTCATTCTCAACACATGTTGTCTCAGCAGAGCTTCCCTGGCAGCTACCATCTATTAACCAGAGTTTGCTCTTGAGATGAAATCTATTTGCTGTGCCAGAGCTAAATGAATTCCATGAACCTTTCAAGTGAGCCATAAGACAGGGAAGACATTTCATTCCAGCAACTTTATTAGATGGTGTCCGTGAACTTTGGGACGAATAATGCTTATATTATAATACTGTGGTTGAAGATTTTCATACTAAAACAATCTTCATGTGAAGTTCTGAGGCCCACATCCTTGAGCAGCTAGTGTCAGAACTAGACAAGTCACTTAAAGTAATTGCTTCTGGGCCAAGGCTCGGATCTCCTCTTTGATGTCTGAAACAGCCAATATTTTGTCTGTCTGTGTAGAAACCATGGTTAAACTGAGAAACAATCTAAACCGAAGTTAAATTGGCTATCAGACTGCAATTGTGCCCAGATCCTTCTATTTCTTTAGGTCTTGCTTCTGCTTATATTTCCCTTATTTATATATATATCTAAAAGAGAATACTGCTCTAACATACATTTGTGTTTTAATAAAAACCTATTTCACTAGGAAAATGTCAAGCAATATTTGAATCTTGTGTATTTAGCTCTGAGATTTTTAATGATAAATGGCAGCACAAAAACCCCAAAATTTCTGTCACCAACAGGTAACAGTTACCTGAATTGCAGCTACTGTCCCCAGGAAAATTGGACAAACTTTTAATGACCTGCCCTGTAATCTTCATCTCTTTCTCTCTTTGGGCTCCTCCTTCCCTCTGTTTCTTTCTTTTCTCCCTTCCCTTCCCTTTTCTTCTTTCCAGAGTCTTGCTCTGACACCCAGGCTGGAGTGCAGCAATCTTAGCTCACTGCAATCTCTGCCTCTAGGGTTCAAGTGATTCTTCTGCCTCAGCCTCCTCAGTAGCTGGGATTACAGGCACATGCCACCATGCCTGGCTAATTTTTGTATTTTTAGTACAGACGGGGTTTCACCCTGTTGGTCAGGCTGGTCTTGAACTCCTGACCTCGTGATCCTCCCGCCTTGGCCTCCCAAAGTGCTGGGATTACAGGCGTGAGCCACTGCACCCGGCCGGGACTCTTTCTTTTTCTGCCTTTTGCTACTTTTCATAGTTAATAAACCATATCTCTTTCATGGCTCTCCAGTTTGCCCCTGTCTCTAAGTTTCTTTGTGTTGCTCTAGTCTTTGTTAACATTTCATCTAGTCCCTTGATCTTCCTGTCTTGACTGTGTCCATCTCTTTCAATCTGTACCTTCCCAGGCCCGGGTTCTGTCTGCACCTCCTGGCTGCCCCTCCCTCAAAGGTGGAGAGCCGTGAAAGCTGCCTCACGCGCTTTCTCCACACTGTCGTATAGCAGGCGTGGACTCCTTGCCGCTCTCACTAGAAGTAGCTTTTGCCTTTTGTTGCCAAATCAGAATGTTCTCAGCAGTGAAAATGTGGCTTATGAAAGCAAGTGCCTTGCAATTAAATAAATGGGTAATTTCAGTGTTTTTATTTTTATTTTTCTACCTAAGGATTTCCTTAGTAACAGGAGGGAACAGATAATAGTTCTTTAATTCCTATTGATAGAGAAGAGAAAATAAGTTAGTCTATCTTTAGGTTTTATTTGGGTATTTGTGATAATTAATAAGAAGAAAAGGAAACATCTGTCCTACAAATGGAGAAGATGAGAGGCAATGAAGCAAAAAAAAAAAAAAAAAAAAAAAATTGGTGGCATCAGTTAAGACTGCTGGGAAAAGATAAGGTTGGCAAAAATGCTGGCTGAGTTATCGTTTGGAGAAGAGTTAAGGAAAATAAGAGTTTCATCAAATATATCAGAGAATGGAGTGGTCCTGAGGAGGCAGGCCCACAGATAAATGAGATGGTGATGAAGTGTGACCATTATAAGCCAGTGGGCACTTTGAGGGGAGAAGGAGCCAAGGAGGAAACAGAGAGATTCCAAATCAAGACAAAGCAGCAGTCAGCCCGACAAGGAGACCCCCTGGGTGGGAAGGAGACTTGCCGATGTGTTCTGTGCACTGCTTACAATCATTCTTCCAGGCCTGTGAGGCAGAAGGGGGAGAGCAGAGGCTGCACCCGTTTAAACAGCAACAAGGAAGTGTGAGGCAAGCCTCAGTGCCAGAGCTTCAACAGAGGAATCTGCAGCCAGAGGGAGCATCTATACACATTGAGAGGACAAAGGGCTCCGGAATGACAAGCCTAGAGAGTTCATCTCATGACCGGCGGTGTTAACAGTTCCCCTCCCTCCCTTCATCTCACCCTCCCTCCCTTTCTTCCTTTTCTCTTTCTCTTTATCCTTCCTTCTCTCTGCACTCCCTCCCTCCCGTCTTCATCCGTTTTCTCTCCTTCTTCCTCTGTCTCCCTCCTCCCTCTCCCTCTTTCTTTCTAGGTAGTGTTTCTAAGGAAATATAACACAAGCTTCTTGGTCTGTGACTTCCGGCTATTTGGATCCAATGCAATTGTGCCTAGATCCTTCTATTTCTTTCCAACATTCTTCCAAATGTTCGTAGGTTTAAAATTATTTTCATTGGTCCTACTTATGGGAACAATTCTTATTAGTTCACAGCAGTACAGAACAAACAGCATCTTTACCCCCAAAATTGCAAGCTTCTTGGATGAGCTGACATTTGTCTCTGGGAATAAGGGGTTAACCAATCTAAAAATAATTAAACCTCACATGCACATGATATAATTTTTCTTACTCAAAATGCCTTTATAATGTCTCAACATCACTGTGAGATGCTTGAGCAGATATTTTTGTTTCTTCTAAAGCTACGCTACAATAAAATGTAAGGTAGTAGCGAAGGTTAGACTCTTGACATTCTTTGATTATTCAAACTGTTTGTTAAACTGATTTTTTTTGCTTTTCCTGTAAAGTGCCTTTTGAGTCGTATTTTATGCTGTTGTTGTTAGCAGTGAAGTTTCTATCTAGCAAGATATCTGCAAACCTCGTACCTAGTAAGAAGTAGAGTGTTGAATTTGTTAAATATTTATCTTTCATATTCTAGCATTATATTTACTTTCCAGAGATAGTGTGATGTCATGAATAAATACTGACATTGGAATCAGAACTCCCAAGTTCAAGTTCAAAGCCCACCAATTTTACTTACTGTGTAATCTTGGACAAATTGTGTAATCTCTCTTGGTCTGTTTATAACACTGTTTAAAAGAAGATAAAGATACCCACCTCACAGGATTTCTGTGGGGATTAAATCTGACTAATGCAAAAATCTTGTGTCTAGAATGTAGTAAATGCTCAATAAACAAGTATCATTGTTGCTGCTGTTGTTGCTACTGTTACAGCATTCAACACAACTTTATAATCTATTAAGTTCTAAACTATGACAATTACTGATTAGTATGTGAAATTATAAGAAACTATTTTGTAGCTCTTGCGATCTCCTTTATTTGCAAATGAGAGAAACCCAGCTATATGACTTTTATTCATTCAACAAACACTGAGCACTTCTCTTTGCCAGAAGCTATTCTAGATGCTGAGGTTAACAGTAGTGAAAACACAAAGTCCCTTGTTTTATGGTGCTTACATTCTAGTAGAAAGAGAGAAAATATAAAGAAAAAAGGAAAAGAGAATATCAGATTGTGATAAGATACTTAACCTAGTATATAGATTGTTACTAAAGAATCAGAGATAACTTAGATTTAGGGGAGAGAGAAGTCTTCTCTGAGGCATTGGAATGATGAAAAGAAACCAGTTGTGCAAACATTCTGGGCAGAGATGAGCAAATGCAAGGCCTTAAGGCAGACAGCAAATTTGACAGTTTCAAGGAAAGAAGACTTAATGAAGGAAGAAGATGAGTTGGAGAGATGGACAGGGGACAGATCATAGAGTCTTGTAGACCATGATAAGAAGCCTGGATTTTATTAATTATTGTAAAAGCAATTGTAGAAAGTTAAGCATGGGAATGGCATTAACTCATTCAGATTCTTAAAAGAGTGCCCTATGTGCTGCGTGGAGTTGGAGAATATGTTATAGGTTGTCAAGAGTAAAAGCAAGGAGACCAGTTAGGAAGCTGTTGTGATAGACCAGGATGTGAAGAAAAGGAGAAGAAAAGGAGTAGGCAGATGGGAGATTTATTTTAGAGGAAAAACCAGCAGGATTTGGTGATAGATTGGATGTTGGAGGTGCAAAATAGGGACGAGTCAGGTTTCTGGACTGAACCATGAAATATGCAATTGGTGGTACTATTTACTGAGATGGGAAAGCCCAGGTTAGGGGGTAGGGGCAGAGAGGAGAGGAGAGGGATGAGTGTTGTGTTGGACAAGTCAGATCAAAATGACTACCAGACAGCGGAGAGGCATTGTTGATCAGGCAGCCAGATCTATGGGTGTAGAGGTAAGGGCTACACTTATAAATTTACAAGCCATCAACATAAGTGGTATTTAAAACCATGAGACTAGATGAGATCACCAAGAGAGTGAATAGATAAAGACAAGAAAATGGCTTGGGACTGAACCTTGGGGATGCCAAGATTTAAACGTCATTTAGAAGAGGACGATCCTGGAATAAAAGGCAATTCATTAGCCCAATAAACAACCCAGATTTGGCAAGAGTGGGTCTGACCTCAGGGACAACAACACTCAGGGTCTACAGTGCCATTGGAGTGCTGCCGTCTTTCTTTGCCACTCTGGGTTCTCCCTCACTGTCTCTCCCCGTCAATCTTTCAACTCAGTCTAATTCCATCTGTAGTCTTCATTACAGAATTTTTCTATTTGAAGGAAACATAGCCACAGGCAGCTCTGAATTTCATCTTAGAAAAAGTCTTCCTCCCAACTTAAGTGTGAAATATCCTACAGAAGATCACTGATTTGTCCGGGTTTGGGTCACAAGCCCATCCTTGGAACCAGTCACAGGCCAGGAGAACAGAATAACACAGTTGATTGGCCCAGCCTGGTTATGTGCTTCCTGGGGTCTAGCGTGGACTTTCTTATTAGAGGAAAGTAGCACACTTGCAGTTGCTGATGGAATCATTGAGCTAGACAGTCTTTTATTTTTTTTAATAATTATTTTTTTCTTTGTTCACTGCATATCAACACCTGTGATACGCAGCCTTTTGAAATTTGAGTCTAATTCCTAATTGTAAACTTGATGTGTCTGTCTATATCTCCAAGTACAGTATGACATGACATGATGCCGTGGGGTTTTAGTTCTTCCTCTTGTTTGATATCTTTAATCAAGTTTAAATAAATACACTTTTGCTTATCTAAAGTTGAGATTGATGTACTCAACAATTATACTGGAAAGTAAAATGAGTCATGGAAATAAAAAAGATAATTAAAAAAAAACGGAGAATTAGGAACCTTCTGCAGACATGAAACCATCTGATTCCAGGGGTGATGTGTTTACAGAGAGGCCGTGGTGAAGCAGGGCCCGCAGGTCCCCAGGGTGTGAGATCAGCATCTCTCAAGGAAGATCAGACGACTGCTTCTCCACCAACCTGTCTACTCAGCGCTCTCCTGCCTGCAACAGGCTCAGCCAAGGCCAGAGGCAGGGGCCACACGGCCTTTGTCAATTGTTCTGTACACTCAGTAATTGCCTTTTTGATTCCAGCCTGGGCCTGTTCCCATTTGTTTTACCCCTGTGCAGAAAAAATAATGAAAGAATTTATTTCTAAACCTACACACTTCAGGGGACTAAGAAAAACTGACAACCCGAACTTACTAACTAAAAAATGAGGATGTGGATAGCACATTTTATAATAGTGACAGTTGGCCTATTTAAGATGCACACTTCAGTCGCTGTATTAGTCTGTTCTGGTGGCTATAACAAGATACCTTAGACTGGGTAACTTATAAACAGCAGAAATTTATTTCTCACAGTTCTGGAGGCTGAGAAGCCTGAGACCAAGGCACTGGTGGTATCTGGTGAGGGTTCTTTTCCTCATAGATGGTGCCTTATAGCTGTGTCATTAAAAGGTAGAAGAGGCAAACAAACTCCCTCAGGTCTCTCTCTCTCTCTTTTTTTTTTTGAGATGGAGTCTCACTCTGTTGCCAGGCTGGAGCACAGTGGCACAATCTGGGTTCACTGCAACCTCCACCTCCTGGGTTCAAGCAATTCTCCTGCCTCAGCCTCCCGAGTAGCTGGGACTACAGGTGTGTGCCACCACGCCTGACTCATTTTTTGTATTTTTTCAGTAGAGATGGAGTTTCACCATGTTGGCCAGGATGGTCTCAAACTCCAGACCTCGTGATCCGCCCACCTCGGCCTCCCAAAATGCTGCGATTACAGGCATGAGCCACCATGCCCGCCCCCCTCAGGTCTCTTGTATAAGGGCACTAATCTCATTCATGAGGGCTCCATCCTCATGATCTAATCACCCCCCAAAGGTCCTCCATTTAAAACTGTAACATTGAGAATTAGGCTTCAAAATATGAGTTATGGGGGAACAAAACATTCAGACCATAGCAGTCCTCCTCTATATCTACTCTACAAAAGGGCAGTTTCAAAGGTATTCAACAGGCTGTCCCTGCAATGCACCTGACTGCAGTCTGCAGCCTCTAAGACTGCTCAGTCAGGTTGTTGTTTAAAGGTACTCCCTTTTAACTTTCCCAAAGGAAGCTCATCAAGTATCAGGGAAGATTTCTAACCACTCCATTTCCCTCTGCTCCCTATTCCCATAGTCTGTACTGGAGAGTGTGGCCTCAAGGTTAAGAGATTTGCTCTGGGATTTGCCAAGGTCTATGGTTTTGTCCCTTTATAGCCTTCACTCAGGAAACTGTGTTATCATCTCCAGCTAGATTCTATGGTCTGCAGTCTTATCTTTAAGGAACATGAAATGATCAAATCCTTGCCTACCAAGAGGCTGAAGAGGACAACATCAATAGACAATTAACTTGCCATTCATTGTGGACTGTCTGTTCACCATAAAGCAATCACATTTTATGAGTGCAGAGGCTGGTTTTTGGTTTCTGTTCATTTTGGGTTTGGGTGTTATTTCTTTTGTTTTTGTGTGAGTGTATTTGCATTGTCACTTTTTATTTGCCCCTTAAAATGATTGGTCTTAGAGAGAAGTCTTCATTTTTGTCTACATAGTAGAATCAAGATAAGGAATAAGAACCAGCTTAGATTGGGGTCAGCAAGAAAATTACTGAGTGAGTTGCTTTGTAGCTCTTCTTCCTTCTTTAACAAAGTTTAATATTGTTGTGTCCTTGTAGGAAAATGCCCCAGACCTGAGATGTGGCTGGAGGAGGAAGACCAGGGCTTCCTGAACAAAGGCTTCAGATGGAAAGAACCACAGATCTTGGCAAACTCCACACTCTGTAGACTACTATCCAGATCCTATGGATTAGATTCATGGATGCTGAAGGAATTTGAAAATGTAATTTCCCTTATGAAACTCCCAGGGGATGTTTTCTCTTTAGAGTATATTTCTATCTTCTTCTTCTTTGGAGTGGGGGTCTAAGGAAGATTTCTCTCTTGTAGCTGCTAAGGAGGTAGTCAGATTAGGTACAATCAGAGCTCACTCCTTAAATGTAAGACAAAATGAAGCTTTCTCAGTGATTCCCAGGATCTCTCCCACAGGCTAAACAAGTAACCTTGGGTTACTTTTTGGGACCACAAGGAGTTTTTTTTTTTTTTAAAAAAGGTAGGGAGGGAGATAGGAACAGCTCTGGTCTACAGCTCCCAGCATGAGCCACGCAGAAGATGGGTGATTTCTGCATTTCCAACTGAGGTACTGGGTTCATCTCACTGGGGAGTGCCAGACAGTAGGTGCAGGACAGTGGGTGCAGCGCACCATGCACGAGCCGAAGCAGGGCAAGGCATCGCCTCACCCGGGAAGCACAAGGGGTCAGGGAATTCCCTTTCCTAGTCAAAGAAAGGGGTGACAGACACCACCTGGAAAATCGGGTCACTCCTACCCTAATACTGAAGCTTTTCCAACCAGCTTTAAAAATGGCATACCAGGAGATTATATCCCACACCTGGCTCAGAGGGTCCTACGCCCACGGCGTCTCGCTCAGTGCTAGCACAGCAGTCTGAGATCAAACTGCAAGGTGGCAGCGAGGTTGGGGGAGGGGCGCCTGCCATTGCCGAGTTAGTTGCTTGATTAGGTAAACAAAGCAGCCGGGAAGCTTGAACTGGGTGGAGCCCACCACAGCTCAAGGAGGCCTGCCTGCCTCTGTAGGCTCCACCTCTGGGGGCAGGGCACAGACAAACAAAAAGACAGCAGTAACCTCTGCAGACTTAAATGTCCCTCTCTGACAGCTTTGAAGAGAGTAGTGGTTCTCCCAGCACGCAGCTTGAGATCTGAGAACAGGCAGACTGCCTCCTCAAGTGGGTCCCTGACCCCCGAGTAGCATAACTGGGAGGCACCCCTCAGTAGGGGCAGACTGACACCTCACACTGCCGGGTACTCCTCTGAGACAAAACTTTCAGAGGAACGATCAGGCAGCAGCATTTGCAGTTCACCAATATCCGCTGTTCTGCAGCCACCGCTGCTGGTACCCAGGCAAACAGGGTCTGGAGTGGACCTCTAGCAAACTCCAACAGACCTGCAGCTGAGGGTCCTGTCTGTTAGAAGGAAAACTAACAAACAGAAAGGACGTCCACACCCAAAACCCATCTGTACGTCACCATCATCAAAGACCAAAGGTAGATAAAACCACAAAGATGGGAAAAAAACAGAGCAGAAAAACTGGAAACTCTAAAAATCAGAGCGCCTCTCCTCCTCCAAAGGAATGCAGCTCCTCACCAGCAATGGAACAAAGCTAGACAGAGAATGACTTGGACGAGTTGAGAGAAGGCAGCTTCAGATGATCAAACTACTCCAAGCTACAGAAGGAAATTCGAACCAATGGCAAAGAAGTTAAAAGCTTTGAAAAAAAAATTAGACAAATGGATAACTAGAATAATCAATGCAGAGAAGTCCTTAAAGGACCTGATGGAGCTGAAAACCAAGGCACGAGAGCTACATGACGAATGCAGAAGCCTCAGTAGCCGATGCGATCAACTGGAAGAAAGGGTATCAGTGATGGAAGACGAAAGGAATGAAATGAAGCGAGAAGAGAAGTTTAGAGAAAAAAGAATAAAAAGAACAAAGCCTCCAAGAAATATGGGACTATGTGAAAAGACCAAATCTACGTCTGATTGGTGTACCTGAAAGTGATGGGGAGAATGGAACCAAGTTGGAAAACACTCTGCAGGATATTATCCAGGAGAACTTCCCCAATCTAGCAAGGCAGGCCAACATTCAGATTCAGGAAATACAGAGAACGCCACAAAGATACTCCTTGAGAAGAGCAACTCCAAGACACGTAATTGTCAGATTCACCAAAGTTGAAATGAAGGAAAAAATGTTAAGGGCAGCCAGAGAGAAAAGTCGGGTTACCCACAAAGGGAAGCCCATCAGACTAACAGCTGATCTCTCGCCAGAAACTCTACGAGCCAGAAGAGAGTGGGGACCAATATTCAAAATTCTTAAAGAAAAGAACTTTCAACCCAGAATTTCATATCCAACCAAACTAAGCTTCATAAGTGAGGGAGAAATAAAATACTTTACAGACAAGCAAATGCTGAGAGATTTTGTCACCACCAGGCCTGCCCTAAAAGAGCTCCTGAAGGAAGCACTAAACATGGAAAGGAACAACCAGTACCAGCCACTGCAAAAACATGCCAAACTGTAAAGACCATCAAGGCTAGGAAGAAACTGCATCAACTAACGAGCAAAATAACAAGCTAACATCATAATGACAGGATCAAATTCACACATAACAATATTAACTTTAAATGTAAATGGGCTAAATGCTGCAATTAAATGACACAGACTGGCAAATTGGATAAAGAGTCAAGACCCATCAGTGTGCTGTATTCAGGAAACCCATCTCACATGCAGAGACACATATAGGCTCAAAATAAAGGGATGGAGGAAGATCTACCAAGCAAATGGAAAACAAAAAAAGGCAGGGGTTGCAATCCTAGTCTCTGATAAAACAGACTTTAAACCAACAAAGATCAAAAGAGACAAAGAAGGCCATTACATAATGGTAAAGGGATCAATTCAACAAGAAGAGCTAACTGTCCTAAATATATATGCAACCAATACAGGAGCACCCAGATTCATAAAGCAAGTCCTTAGTGACCTACAAAGAGACTTAGACTCCCACACAATAATAATGGGAGACTTTAACACCCCACTGTCAACATTAGACAGATCAAACGAGACAGAAAGTTAACAAGGATACCCAGGAATTGAACTCAGCTCTGCACCAAGCAGACCTAATAGACATCTACAGACCTCTCCACCCCAAATCAACAGAATATACATTCTTTTCATCACCACACCATGCCTACTCCAAAATTGACCACATAGTTGGAAGTAAAGCACTCCTCAGCAAATGTAAAAGAACAGAAATTATAACAAACTGTCTCTCAGACCACAGTGCAATCAAACTAGAACCCAGGATTAAGAAACTCACTCAAAACTGCTCAACTACATGGAAACTGAACAACCTGCTCCTGAACGACTACTGGGTAAATAATGAAATGAAGGCAGAAATAAAGATGTTCTTTGAAACCAACGAGGACAAAGACACAACATACCAGAATCTCTGGGACACATTCAAAGCAGTGTGTAGAGGGAAATTTGTAGCACTAAATGCCCACAAGAGGAAGCAGGAAAGATCTAAAATTGACACCCTAACATCACAATTAAAAGAATTAGAAAAGCAAGAGCAAACACATTCAAAAGCTAGCAGAAGGCAAGAAATAACTAAAATCAGAGCAGAACTGAAGGAAATAGAGACACAAAAAACCCTTCAAAAAATTAATGAATCCAGGAGCTGGTTTTTTGAAAGGATCAACAAAATTGATAGGCTGCTAGCAAGACTAATAAAGAAGAAAAGAGAGAAGAATCAAATAGATGCAATAAAAAATGATAAAGGGGATATCACCACCGATCCCACAGAAATACAAACTACCATCAGAGAATACTACAAACATCTCTACGCAAATAAACTAGAAAATCTAGAAGAAATGGATAAATTCCTCGACACATGCATCCTCCCAAGACTAAACCAGGAAGAAGTTGAATCTCTGAATAGACCAATAACAGGCTCTGAAATTGAGGCAATAATCAATAGCTTACCACCAAAAAAAGTCCAGGACCAGATGGATTCACAGCCAAATTCTACCAGAGGTACAAAGAGGAGCTGATACCATTCCTTCCGAAACTATTCCAATCAACAGAAAAAGAGGGAATCCTGCCTAACTCATTTTATGAGGCCAGCAACATCCTGATACCAAAGCCTGGCAGAGACACAACAAAAAAAGAGAATTTTAGACCAATATCCTTGATGAACATTGATGCAAAAATCCTCAGTAAAACACCGGCAAACTGAATCCAGCAACACATCAAAAAGCTTATCCACCATGATCAAGTGGGCTTCATCCCTGGGATGCAAGGCTGGTTCAACATACACAAATCAATAAATGTAACCCAGAATATAAACAGAACCAAAGACAAAAACCACATGATTATCTCAATAGATGCAGAAAAGGCCTTTGACAAAATTCAACAACCCTTCATGCTAAAAACTCTCAATAAATTAGGTATTGATGGGACGTATCTCAAAATAATAAGAGCTATCTATGACAAACCCACAACCAATATCATACTGAATGGGCAAAAACGGGAAGCATTCCCTTTGAAAACTGGCACAAGACAGGGATGCCCTCTCTCACCACTCCTATTCAACATAGTGTTGGAAATTCTGGCCTGAGCAATCAGGCAGGAGAAGGAAAGAAAGGGTATTCAATTAGGAAAAGAGGAAGTCAAATTGTCCCTGTTTGCAGATGACATGATTGTATATCTAGAAAACCCCATTGTCTCAGCCCAAAATCTCCTCAAGCTGATAAGCAACTTCAGCAAAGTCTCAGGATACAAAATCAATGTACAAAAATCACAACCATTCTTGTACACCAATAACAGACAGAGAGCCAAATCATGAGAGAACTCCCATTCACAATTGCTTCAAAGAGAATAAAATACCTAGGAATCCAACTTACAAGGGACATGAAGGACCTCTTCTAGGAGAACTACAAACCACTGCTCAAGGAAATAAAAGAGGATACAAACCAATGGAAGAACATTCCATGCTCATGGGTAGGAAGAATCAATATCATGAAAATGGCCATACTGCCCAAGGTAATTTATAGACTCAATGCCATCCCCATCAAGCTACCAATGACTTTCTTCACAGAATTGGAAAAAACTACTTTGAAGTTCATATGGAACCAAAAAAGAGCCCACATCGCCAAGTCAATCCTAAGCCAAAAGAACAAAGCTGGAGGCATCACACTACCTGACTTCAAACTATACTACACGGCTACAGTAACCAAAACAGCACGGTACTAGTACCAAAACAGAGATATAGACCAATGGAACAGAACAGAGCCCTCAGAAATAATGCCGCATATCTACAACCATCTGATCTTTGACAAACCTGACAAAAACAAGCAATGGGGAAAGGATTCCCTATTTAATAAATGGTGCTGGGAAAACTGGCTAGCCATATGTAGAAAGCTGAAACTGGATCCCTTCCTTACACCTTATACAAAAATTAATTCAAGATGGATTAAAGACTTACATGTTAGACCTAAAACCATAAAAACCCTAGAAGAAAACCTAGGCAATACCATTCAGGACATAGGCATGGGCAAGGACTTCATGTCTAGAACACCAAAAGCAATGGCAACAAAAGCCAAAATTGACAAATGAGATCTAATTAAACTAAAGAGCTTCTGCACAGCAAACGAAACTACCATCAGAATGAACAGGCAGCCTACAGAATGGGAGAAAATCTTTGCAACCTACTCATCTGACAAAGGGCTAATATCCAGAATCTACAATGAACTCAAACAAATTTACAAGAAAAAAACAACCCCATCAAAGAGTGGGCAAAGGATATGAACAGACACTTCTTAAAAGAAGACATTTATGCAGCCAAAAAACACATGAAAAAATGCTCATCATCACTGGCCATCAGAGAAATGCAAATCAAAACCACAATGAGATACCATCTCACACCAGTTAGAATGGCGATCATTAAAAAGTCAGGAAACAACAGGTGCTGGAGAGGCTGTGGAGAAATAGGAACACTTTCACATTGTTGGTGGGACTATAAACTAGTTCAACCATTGTGGAAGTCAGTGTGGCGATTCCTCAGGGATCTAGAACTAGAAATACCATTTGACCCAGCCATCCCATTACTGGGTATATACCCAAAGGATTATAAATCATGCTGCTATAAAGACACATGCACACATATGTTTATAGTGGCACTATTCACAATAGCAAAGACTTGGAACTGACCTAAATGTCCAACGATAGACTGGATTAAGAAAATGTGGCACAGATACACCATGGAATACTATGCAGCCATAAAAAATGATGAGTTCATGTCCTTTGTAGGGACATGGATGAAACTGGAAACCATCATTCTCAGCAAACTATCACAAGGACAAAAAACCAAACACCGCATGTTCTTGCTCATAGGTGGGAACTGAACAATGAGAACACATGGACACAGGAAGGGGAACATCACACACCAGGGACTGTTGTGGGGTGGGGGGAGGGGGGAGGGATAGCATCAAGAGATATACCTAATGCTAAATGACGAGTTAGTGGGTTCGGCACACCAACATGGCACATGTATACATATGTAACAAACCTGCACGTTGTGCACATGTACCCTAAAACTTAAAGTATAATAATAATAAAATAAAAAAAATGCAAAAAAAGAGAAAGAAATGGCTTTAAAGACCACACACACAAAAAAAAGGTAGGGATAGGGGGTGTCTCTTCTCCAATAGCCTCATCATTGTGATCATGAAGAAGAGAAAATATGCAGATTCCAACTATCACAACCAGGCTAGGGGAAAAGAATGGTGAGAAAAATCCAAGCATGCAAAATAGACGGAACGAGGCAAACAGCCAGGCAGTGGTAGGAAGTCTTCAGGCAGATGGCCGGGCCTTACCCCTGGGTTGGGATTCAGGTAGGACTCCAGCCTCCACACTGGGGACTTACAAGTGCAAACCCCACACTCAAGGGTGCTGAGAGGGACACAAGAGTATCAGCAAGGACAGGATCCAGGCACCAATACTGAGGGCACAAGGAAGGGCTGGGCTAGATGGCATTGCACTGTGGTCACCAGTCGTAGGGCCAGAGAATGCAGTTAGTATGGGTTGCATCCTTAGCTCTGTCACTTATTACCTCCATGACCTTGGGAAAGCCACTGTACTTCTCTAGGCTTCAGTTTTCTCATCTGTAAACTGAGGATAGTAATGTGTACCTTAGAGAACTGCTGGGAGAATTAAATTAACTATCGCATGCTTAGCACAGTGTCTGGCACATAGCAGACACTCAAAAAAATGATAGCCATTATTATCACAAAAATCAGTAGAAGCCAGTTTAATCAGAAAAAGGACACAACGAAAGAAGCATATTATCCAGATTAGCGTTGAGAGCAAATTGATTTTTAATCACACACAGTGGAGTTTGAGCTCTTTAAATTCCTCCTGCCCCAGGCCAAGATTAGTCCTAGCGCCTGGGAGCAGAGCTAAGTCCAGAGGTGATCAAGTGGCCCCAGCTGAGGACAAAGGGGGATAGCAAAGGCTGAGAGCTAGACAGGGCCTGACAGTAGCTTAGCCATCTTTGGGTAGGTTATAGGATAGCATCTGGAAAAGGGATATCACTTGTTCTCACTTCTGTCCCAGAGCATATCTAAAGAGACAAATTACAGTTTAAAATAACAACTTTCTAATAATTAGAATTATTTTCAATGTAGAGCAGGTGGCACTGGAAAGGGGCAAGCTCAGTTTTATAGAAATGTTCCAGCAATGATGGATATGTGGAAGTTCTAAGAGGAGAAATCTGAGTTAGAAGTTACACTGGTTGACTTCTAAGGTGCTGTGGAGATGCTAAGGTACCATGCTCTGTTGGAATCATGCCAGCTTTTGAGCAAAAACCTAAGAAATTTCCAGCAAAGTTTCAGGGCTTAAACCTGGTCTGGTAGGTTTTGGTACCCTTGAGAGAATCACCTTTTCCAGGGCTTAATAGAGATGGTGGCCCTTCTGCAGGGCTGTCAGCTTCCCAATCACATTGTGCTGCTTCTGATCTTTGCAAAAAATGAGATAGTGGTGTTGCTGGGAATGGAGTGAGGGTGAAGGTGGGGGAGAAGGTGGCAAGAGAAGAGGAAGTGGGAAAAAAATAGATGCACTTTGAAGCCTGCAATTAGTTTGTACTGTGTTATTTCCATAAAGTAGACCTCACACTTGAGATCTGAAAGGTAAATCATCGGAGATGTCAGAGCCTGACTATAAATAGCCAAGCTCCTGGGCTTATGGCTGCACCCTGGGGAGAGAGGCCGGCAGCGAGGTGCCCTGCTGGGGCTCTGGGGGTCAGGGCCACACTCCCTCAACTCATCCTTATTAATGCCAACTCCCAGAGAATCTTGATAGCTATTTATGCCCTGATCAACTGTAATTGCTGCACTCATCACAGGAAAACATCCTGCAGGAAGACTAACTTCACTAGACAAAGCTGCTGTATCCACCCAGTGGTTATAATCAAAAAGGTGTAATCACAGGTTCCTCCCAGGAGCTGCCATGAGATCCTCCCTCTGGCGTCTCCCTCATTCTAGGATCTGTTTGTCTGGGCTCATCTTCAGGTAGCTGCTCCCAGCTTCCTCCTTGTAAATCAGACCATTCATCTCTCTGCCATGTCCACAGAAGGCCTGAGGAGGGACCAGGCCAGGCTGGTTTGCAAACAGAAGCTTGGGAATCTCCAAACACACGCCCCTTGGAACAGGCTCATAATCTGATGGCATCTGCGAGCTGCAGCTCAAGCCAAGACTCCATACTGTGGGCTTCCTTGCACCAGCTCAGTGGCTTTCTCATCTGTGCATGTTCATTTATGTGCATGCATGCATGTGGGATGGGGCATGTCTGGGGGAGTTCATCTTCAGGTGCACCTTGCACAGTCTCCGGCCTCCACTGATAATGTATCTCATACATACTATGTGCAATTATCTGTCAAATGCTACAAATGTTGCAATGAATAAAACACATTTTAAAGTATGGCTTTTTGTCATTACATGGTTTCTTGATGAATCGATACTTAGAGAAAAACTACTTTGATGTGGGAGATTTCAAGGTATTTTTAGCATTAGAAAGAAGAAAAACATTGGGAACCATTGCTTTACTAAGCAAAAATCCACATGAAGCCATTACGATAGGGCTGTTTTTATGCTGTGCATATTTCAGAAATTTAATATAAAGATTAAACTTGCAGCTTGCACAATTAACAAAATGTGCAAAGAGAACCTTACGCTGTTCCTGAGTCTCACTCTATCTTTGACTGTACCTCTCTCCATGTGCAGCCTACTGCACAGGACCAGGCACATAAGACATATCAGTCAGAACTTGTTGACATGTTCCTTCCCTGAGCCTCTCTGCCCATTTTAGATCCCTAGGTCATCTCTAACTTCAGTTTTTCTGATTCTTGTAAACATTGAAAGCCACCCAGGTAAGATCAAGTGGGGTTCAGCAAGAACAAAATTATGCCCCAAGCTCCTTGACCTTATGAGCATTTCAATGGTTTCAATGGTTTGATGAAGGGGGTGGAAATGTTGTGGGATGGGTCTAGCTTAGGTCCCCTTCATATGAGTGATCCCTCTACCGGAGGGTATATTGCAAAGTGCATGGGCTTTAGAGCAGAAAAATATGCATGCCCATCCAGGCCCATCCATTATTAGCAGCAATTAACCTTAGGCAAATCACTTAGCCTTCATTTACTTGTCTACAAAACACCGTTACTGTAGGCTAGGCATGTATGTACCTATTAATGTAAGTTCACTTCCCTTCTCCCTTATCGTTTGTCCAAAATTTGGTGAGTTTTTTGGTACTCCTAACTAATTTTGGGCAGCAGGCATAGTCCTTACCCTAAAGATAGACAGGTATAATGCAACTGGGCGAGTGATATATGCAGGGCCAGTTTCATGGGTGTGTAGTCACTCAGTGCCCTGTGCTCAGAAGGACTCAGTCCGCAGTTTAAGGGACTGCTGTTACTGTCCTGAAGTTTTTCTTGAAACTTTTAAGAAAAGGACCTCTTACTTTAATTTTGCACTGGGATCTGAAAATTATGTAGCCAGTCTTGGATATATACATACACAACACCCTTTAAGAACATACATGCAATGGACTTGTCAGCATGACCCAAGGACATGCGAGAATGCTGATGGAATACAATGGTAAGGAGAGGTTTCCTGGAATTGATCAGAAGAGGAAGACAATGAATGATAGAACTCAAAAATAATGAGAATTCAAAAGCACATTTCTCAGCATGTTCCATCCCAACAAAGAATAGGGCCCTTCTGCTCCAGCCTGGATCCAGAGAACTATTGGGCCCCCTAAGCAAGCTGTCCCCAAAACCTGCCCCTATTTTCAGAGGTTAAGTTTGCTCTCCTGAAATTGTTGAAAGTTTTGATTTGAAGAAGTGGCCTCCAATGGCTTCATTCCAAGCCCTAAAGTCTCTGCAATACCTAATTTGACTTTTGATTTATCTAAAATTGTCAAAACTGATTAAATGTATGTTTTCTGCTCCTTTCCACCTGACACATCCACCTCTACCTGTCCCCTTTACCCAGGCTGTTTCCACATTAGGAATGTGTCTCTTTTCCTCCTGTTCATGTTTAAATCCTGGCTTTGTTTCTTACTAGCTGTGTGACTTTGGCCAAATCACTCAACCTCTCTGTGCCTCAGTTTCCTTATGTAAAAAATGGGGATAATAATAGAGCTGAACTCATAGGTTGTTGTGAAAATTCAAAAAGTTAATGCATATAAAGAGGTTGGAATCATGCCTAGCACCTAGAAAAGACTCAATAAATGTTGTAATTATTATTATCAGCTTTTATCCCTACACAGCCCCATCTAACCTATCATGAAACCCTAGTTTCTACTGCTGAACACTCTCACATGTGCCCCAAATTCTCCATCTTCCTTTCATCACTTTACTGCAGGCCTCTGTCTCCTCTCTCTTGAATTCTGCTGCAGCTTCCAAACTGAATCCCAAGTTCCAATCCTCATCCTCCCCACAATGGCTAGCACACTCTTGGCATGCAGTAGGTGTTCAATATATATTGAATGAATTGGTTAGTGAATGAATGAGGAATGAAGGACAGCAGTAGAGTGGAAGTTCTAAAGGGCAAACCTGCCCACCTCTGTTCTGCTGAAACTCCTCAATGCTCAGAATAAAACCCAAACTCTTTAACTGAGGCCTTCTTGCTCTGGCTTCTTCTCAGTTCTTAAGCTTCCCCTCTCACTATTAACCTCTCTGTGGTCATGCCCCAGCTCCCCAGCTCCCCAGCTCCAGCACTGTGCCTGCGGGTTACCTTTCTCAGAACTGCTTTCTCTCCTTGGCCTTTGCTCATCTGTTACTCTCTCTACTGCTTCCCCATTGCTATCCTATTCCCACATCTGGCCATCTCCTGCTCACCTCCCATAACTGAGCTTAGATGTTCCCTCCTGAATCCCCAAGGCTGTATCAAGTATCTCTGCTACACATCCCACAGTACATATTTCCCTTGTTCGTTTTCTTTTCTTTTTTTGAGACGGGGGTCTTGCTCTGTTGCCCAGGCTGGAGTACAGTGGTATGATCATAGTTCACTGCAGCCTCGACCTCCAGGAATCCAACCATCCTCCTACTTCGGCTTTCCAAGCAGCTGGGCCTACAGGTGTGCACCACCACACCCAGCTAATTTTAGTTTTATTTAAAAATAGAAACAAGGTCTTACTATGTTTCCCATGCTGGTCTTGAATTCCTGGGCTCAAGCCATCCTCCTGCTTCAGCCTCCCAAAGTGCTGGGATGACAGATGTGAGCCACCATGCCCGGCTGTGTTTCCCTTTTCCTTGGCAGTCTCTCCTACTAGAATTGAAACTCCTCCATGGTCAAGACTATGCCTTACTCATTTCCCTATTTTCAGTATCTATCACAGTTCCTAACATAGAATGGACATTTAATAAATGATGATTTATCAAATGAATGTTGCCCTGTAATTCCTTTCTTTCCATTCTGCCATTCCTCTGGATTGTAAGGATATCAATTGTGGGAGCCTTGGTTTATTCGTATTGGCTTGTGTATCCCCAGGGTCTAGCACAGTGCCAGACCCACCGTAGGCATGTAATGCATATTTATTAAATACATTAATAACTTTAAGATGTTTAAATTTGAGTCTATCAATCTATACATATTTATCATGTGCCTTTCACAGGCAAGATATCCTATTAGCATAAATTGCCAGACGATACACAGTGACAGGCTGAGGGAGAGGAAATTCCAGGCTGAGAAGACAGCATGGAGACAGATGGTGAGCTATTAAACAACATGGAGACTTTGGGGGATGGTAGAAGGCAGTTAGGGTGGGGGAGTGTCATAGCAAGACATAAGATTGAAAGGGTTTGGACTCTAATCTATAAGTAATAGGGAGCCATTGCAGGTTCTTGAGGATGGGATAGACAAGGAACAGCCTAGGTTTCAGAATAACAATCTGAGGAGTAGAGGAAATCATGGATTAAGGTGGCATGGGATGTGAGGCAAGGAGACCAGGCAGAGGCCACAGCAGCAGTGACAGGACAGAAAATATGAAAGTGGGGAAGGAGAGAGGTGGACTTAAAGGTGACCACTGACTCCAGGAGGCAAGTAGCGTTGGCGAGTCTGAAGATGACTGGGGTCTAAACTTGGAGAGTAAGAGGATAGCAACACTGTCACTTTGGAGGAAGAGCAGGTTGATGGAGGCAAGTTTGAATGTGCTGCTGGGGAACAGGTAATGAGCTAGCGCTTGGATGCTTTGGGAGGGATGAACAGTCCCTGGAGTATTGCATGGCAGGCAGCTGGAAACCAAGGCTCCAGGGAAGAGACAGGGTCAGCGGAGCTGCAGAGAGCAGTGAAATGTGGGCCCCTCATCTAGTACTACATCTCCAGGAAGGGGTGCAATTAAGGATGTCGGGACTTGAAGGGGAAGCAGGCAAACTGAAGGCTGCTCAGCTGCAGCCTTTCAGGGTAATGTTCACAAAATGTAATCGTTAGTGAACAGTGTTGGAAAACACCAAACTACAAAACCTGACATTTCTGAATAGCAGGCAAGCAGGCGAAGGGGGCTCCCACAATCAGGCTGGGCACCTCTGCTGCTTCCTTCAGAACCTAATTGAAATGCAATGCAGAAGGCACTTCCACCGAGGCAGGAGCAGGATGCTGTGGAGGAGCTGAGGGGGATTGCAAATGCCCTCCTGTCTAAGCATCCTGCTGTCCTGCATGAACAGGGGCTGGGGAAGGAGAGGGAGAGGGGGAGAACAGGAAGGGTTTAGTGGGGCTGCGGGATTCCCCCACCCCCAAAACATAGCACATAAAGAGGTAAGAAAGCCAAAGATTTCTGTCAATTGAGAAAGCTTCTGCAGCAACAGAGATATCAGCTCAGGAGCCAAACTGCCATTTCTGCTTTAATTGGAGCCTCTCCGTGAAGGTTGGGAAAGCAATGAGAGAGGGGTGGTGGAGAGAGGGCGAGGGAGAGAGAAAGAGTCAGAAACAGAGAACAAGCTGGAGAGAAACAGCAGCACAAGAAAAAGAGACAGCAAGAGATCTTCTGCAGAAGGAACAACCCTCAAACAGTTCCTAGGCAGCATCTCAAAGCTTCTTCTATGGGTCAGGTTGCTGGTTAGACCACAGGGGGAGGCCACATGTGTGGGGTGGCCCCTCCATGTGGGTGCACAGGTTCTGTACCGGGCGAGAAATGAGAAGGGGAGGGGTCTGAAGTTTATTAATATTCTCTTCCTTCTTTGTCATTTATTAAAAAGGTAAAAAAAATCCTTTTTCATTTTTTCTCCAGTGCCCTGACTACTTGTGAAGCCCACATAGTTTTCACTGCATCAGGGAAGCTCAGCCCACGGAAAGCCAGGGCATATATAGATCTAATAAAACCTAAGCCTCTGCAGCTTCCTCAGCTTTGCAGGTAACCGATGGAGCAGGGGCACAGCCCTTTCTGCCTCCACCCTGCCCAGGCCCCTTAACCCTGAGCTTTCCTGAAAAACTGAGAGGTGCATCAGAGGCAGAGCCTGAAAGGAAAGAAATTTAACGAGGTGATAAGAAGAAAAGAAGCCGTGTGTGTGCATGTGAGTGCCTCAGTGTGTGCATGTGTGTGACACATAGAGAGAGAGAGAGATCACAGATTAGACATTATATAAGGAAGAGTGAAGAGGAGAAGGGGAAATAGAGATAAGGAATAAGATATAGACAGTGGGAAAAGGGCACACAAAGGCAGCATTTGAGCATAGCTAACATTTGCTTCTTGTGCCTGGTCTCCTAAATATCCACAGACTTATTAAAATAGAGTTTGAGAAAAGCCTTCAGGAATCACAAATTCAACCTTCATTTTACGGATGTAAAACCGGAGGCATTGATGCTCAGGGAAGCTAAGAACCTGTCTTGCAGTTACAGAACTTGTAGGCAAAGGTTAGGATTTGAAACTGGATTTCTCAGCTTTCGTATCTGTGCCCTGAGAGCCTAGCACAGTAATTTCTGTGGTTTGGTCTTGTGGATGTGTCATCATAACTACCACTGAGTACTTACCATGTGCCAAGACCATGTGCCAAGTATTGCCTAAATACTTCACATATGTTACCTCATCTAATCTTCACAACAAACTTAACAGATAAGTAGTAGTATTTTCCACATTTCAGAGTTGAGGAAAAGGCACAGAGAGGTCAAGTAGATTGCACAAGGTAGCAAAGCAGGTAAAAAGGAACGGGGATAGAAACAAAGGCAATCTGATTCAAGTGCTTATTTTTACCCACTTTGCTAAGCCAACTCTCAATAACAAGGTAACAGGTGAGTAAAAAAGTCCATGTAGTTATTCTAATCAAAAGGCAGAGGATAGACCATTCTCTTTCCAGAATGCCAAAGCCTCTGAACTATGAAGGCAAAGAGAATTTCTCATGGCTCCCCTGATGTCTCCTGGTTCATGTGCCTCACCCAAGATTACAGTTCAGTCTAATGTTCAGTCGGGAGGGTGGTCCATGTCCTCACCTCTCAATAGCACTGTTGCTGAGCCAGGCTTCATCCAGAATATGAGCTGCCTTCATGAACGCACAGAAGAACATGGACTGAGCATCTACCCTGGGGCAGGCCCTGTGGTAGTCACAGGGGACGGGGTCCTCATCAAGTTGACCCAGCAAAGAGCTTTTCCTCAACAATCTCTTAGTCTCTTAGGGGAGCTAATACATGTACACAAATAACTGTACCACAAACTAGAGAGTCGTAAGTAACACCAAGAAATATCCTGAGAGAGTGCTAAGAGGCTTTGGGGTGGGGCACCTGGGAGGACTTCATGCAGGAGATGAGCATCAACTTGGTTATCAAGGAGTCAACAGAATTTGGCTGTGCAAAGGTGGGAAGGAGATAAAATGGCATTCTCAGTAGGAGAAATGCTTGTGTAAAGGAAGGAGATAAAATGGCATTCTCAGTAGGCGAAATGCTTGTGCAAAGGCTCAAAAATTTTAAAAAATGTGTGGACAGTCCCCAACTTACAATGATCTGACTTAACAATTTTTCATCTTTATGATGGTGTGAAAGTATTATGCATTCAGTAGAAACCATACTTTAAATGTGGAATCTTTATCTTTTATATTTATTACAATATTTTATTTTTATTTTTATAAAATAAGCTTCGTGTTAGAAGATTTTGCCAAACTGTAGGCTAATGTAAGTGTCATGTTTAAGGTAGGCTAGGCTAAGCTATGACGTTCAATAGGTTAGGTGCATTAGATGCATTTTTGACTTAACAATATTTTCACTTTACAATGGGCTTATTGGGATGTAACTCCATTCTAAGTGTAGGAGCATCTGCAGAAGGATCTCAAAGGGCTTCCAAGGATGGGTGGAACTTCCTCAGAAGGGGACCCCCAGAACCACAATGCATTTTCCATTTCCTCCCAGTAAGATGACCTTTCAGTTCCAGCCCTGCACAAACAGGCCATTGGGAGGCACGCTGTGCTCAGAAAGGCCAGCATTTTATTAAGTGTATGTCAAACCCTGCATGCGCACTACCTCCTGCAAACCTCACAGCCACCCTATGCAATAAGTACAGTCATTATCTTCATTTTACAGACAAGAAGATGGAAGCCAGAAAGGTTAAACAGCTTACCGCAGACAGATGGCCAGTAAGGGGTGAGGCTGGGGCTCAACCCCAGGCAACCTGACAACAGAGCCCACACTTGAGACCACTGTGTCATTTTGCCACCTGTGTGGTCTTTGGAAACCGGCTCTTGGAAAGCAGGCACTTAGGAGGGCTGTTCTGTTCAGTCCTCACCTGGGAATGAGATTGAAACTAAATTATAGCAATGACGAAGGGGCCACGGGCTCCCCACTGGGTTAGGAAACCTGGGATTCTGCACCTTCTGCAGGAAGCTGTGAAGTCTGTATGTGTGTTAATAACACTTTGTTCCTAAAGGTTTCTAGGGACTATAGAGTGCTCATTCCAGCAAACTAAACATGCTTAAGGTGCAGATAATCTGTAGAGCTCTAGTTACACATACCTAAGTGTTGATCAGCAGAAAGCTTGTGTTCATTTCTAAACCATGTCTAACATCTTAGCACTCTATTGTGAATATCTAATATATAAATTCCACCGTGGGGTTTCAATCCTAGAGAGCCTCTCGGTCTTTCTCCTTTCCCTCTCTCCCCCCTCCCCTTTCCACTCTCTCTTCTTCCTCTCCTCCTTCTTCCTTCTTTTCCTCTGCTGTCTTCCTCTCATCATGAGCTACTAGGGAATCACTCCAAAGTCCCAACAGCATTTACACAGAAAATTTGCATCTCTAGATTTTAGAACCCACTCCAGAACTGAACTCAGGGGCCCAGGATTCCCACAGCTCAAAGACTTGCTGACCGTCCAAGACCATGTCCTGTTTCTTTTCTGCGTCTTATTGGCTTACATGGAAAGAGAAGGTATTGAGGGGTGGCCAAGGCCTTAGGCTTGAGGATAAAGTGGTCAATTTGTGTTCTTCCATGTGAGCCATTTCACGTGTCTGCCAGAGACAAGATCTGGGGCAGAATGAGGCCGGGAGATGACTCATCCCAGCTCACAGTGTTTCTAGGAGGGAAGCTGCTTGTCTTGAGGCCCAGCTGCCTCAACCTGGCACCTGCAGCCTAGAGCTGCTCCCTCCTTGCTGAACCCAGCAGCAGCAGCAGCAGCAGCAGCAGCAGCAGCAGCAGTCCCAGCACTAGAAGCACCTGTGCCCCGTCACCCCACCCCCATCTCCCCTCCCCCACCACCTGGGCACCTGCAGCTCTCTTCAGTAACTCCTTTCCAACCCGGCCAGTCTCCACCAGGGCTGCAGTTGATGAAATCTGGGAGCTATTTTGAAATTTCCCTTTTTTAAAAAAAGTCCAAACTGATTAGTTGATAATTACATGTTGGAACATCTGCTCTGATTTGTTTTATTCCTTCTATTTTGGAAAATTGGAATACACTGAAGTTTTGCCTTCTGGAATTGCCGGCCTGGCTCTTGGAGTGTGAGCAGCCCTCCCGCTCGGCAGCACCTGGCTGGGCCCACAGCCCAGCTCCCAGGGAAAAGCACAACTCTTCTGCCTGCGGTGGCAGCGCGTTGTACCTCCCCACCCCAACCTTGGCCTGGCAAGGGTTACAAAACCTCACTCTCTGTTGTGACACTAGGAGCCTCCATTTGCCCTACCTGCCTCCAAAGTTTGGGGGTCCGTGAGGAGCACAGACTCAGCAGAGCCTGGAGCTGGATTGAGGTGGGGCATGACAAAGCCCAGTAGGGTGTTCCTGTAACACCCTGGGCAGCAGTTGGTTACTTTGCTGGTTTCTTTTCTTTCTTTCTTTTTTCTTTTTGAGAGAGTGTCTCGCTCTGTCCCCCAGGCTGGAGTGCAGTGGCGCAATCCCGGCTCACTGCAAGCTCCACCTCCAGGGTTCACGCCATTCTCCTGCCTCAGCCTCCCGAGTAGCTGGGACTGCAGGCGCCCGCCACCACGCCCGGCTATTTTTTTTTTGTATTTTTAGTAGAGACGGGGTTTCACCGTGATAGCCAGGATGGTCTCAATCTCCTGACCTCGTGATCCACCTGTCTCGGCCTCCCAAAGTGCTGGGATTACAGGCGTGAGCCACCGCGCTCGGCCTACTTTGCTGGTTTCCTTCTGGAAGTACCTACACGCTCCCTGCCTCCTTCAGTAGAGGGCAGGCCCATACTTCCCAACACATGCTTGCTATTATTTAGAGGCTGAGGCTTGCTCAGGTTTGCTTATGGCAGAATCCTGGCATTGAAAACCATCGCATCTCCAAGCTCCAAGTGGCTGCCATTCGGAGGTGAGTGGCTGCTCAGAGCCTGAGAAGAGACACAGCAGGGTTGAGGACTTGCATGCTTACTGTCATCTCTTCATCAGTTAGCATTTCTAGACTGCTTATGCAGTACTAGGGGCTTGGCATGAGAGGAAGGGGAAAGGCCATGAAGGTGAATCCAAAACAGACTGTACCCTCAAGGGGATCATTGCTGCCTCTCTCCAATCCCTTCTCCATCTCGCAGCCAGAATGACCATTAAAATCTAAAACACAAATATGATTATGTTACTCGCTTACTTTTAAACCCTTCAATGGCTCCCTATTGCCTTTACGATAAAGTCCGAAGTCTTTTACTTGGCATGCACGGCTCTCCTAGGTCTGAGCCTGATTCCCCGGCCAGCTTCACCTTCCTCAGTCTTCATCCCGTCTCAGACCCCATGCTCCAGCTACACTGCCTCATTTGCAGTGCTCTGGATGGTCCCTGTCCTTTCTTGCTCATGTTGCCTTCACACATGCTGTTCCTTTCCCCTGGACTACTCCTCTTCCCTCTTCTCTTTGTTCCTTCACCTGGATCACTCCTACTTATCTCAAGTCTTCACCTAGATGGAAATTTCTCCAGCATCCTCCTCAATCTTTCCAAACTTCTAAGGGTTAGGTGCCCTACCCATGTGGTCTTGTAGCATTCTAAATTTCCTTTATGACTTGCATCATACTTTACTGACGCTGCCTGATTACCTATCCATCCTTCTGTCCAGATCAAAAGCCAATGGAGGACAGATACTACACTTTCATTATTGTACAATCTCAGGCAACTAGTGCAGTGCCTAACATATGATGGGGCCCTATAAATACAGTTGGCCCTCCATGTGCAGGTTCCACATCCAGATTCAACCAGCTGAATCAAAAATATTCAGAAAGAAAACAATAACAAAAAATGACACAACAATGAAAATACAGTTTAACAACTATGTAGCATTTACATTATATTAGGTAATCTAAAATTTATTTAATGTACATAAGAGGATGTGTGTAGGTTACGTGCAAATAATCTGTGATTTTAAATCAGGGACTTGAGCATCCGCAGATTTTAGTATTTGTGGGGTATGGGGAGTGGTCTTGGGACCAATCCCTAGTGGATACCAAGGGGCAACTGTAATTGTTGGGGATAAGTAAAAGATTGAATGAATGAATGAATGAATGAATGAAGCAATGTTCAACTTATTAAGGTGATGACATTTCCACAAATAATTTAATATTGGGAAGTATTATGATGTATCAGACAGGATAGGTTATATTATGCTGCAATAACAAGCAGCTCCCAAATTTCGGCATCATATAAGAACCAAAGGTTTGTTTCTTGCTCTCATTCTATTTCTACCATGGGCCAACAGAAATATTCTGCTCTATGGTGTTCTCATTTAAGAATTCCAGCCCTAGGAGAACCCCATCTCTGTGTTTCCATGATTGCTGATGTAGGAGAAAGAGGATACAATAAATCTTGCACTGGCTCTTAAAGTTTCCACTCTGAAGTGACACAAACAATTTCTGCTCTTATTTTATTGTTCAAAGCAAGTCACATGACCACACAGAACTTCAAAGGGGCCAGGGAAGTACAATCTGACCATATGTCCAGAAGGAACATTGGAAATATTTATCAGCATTCATGCTCTTCACAGAAAATCTGCGAGGAAAAGTCCGTTTCCAAATGAAAATATCTAGTAAGGATTTAAGAACAAGGTGACATTTGACTTGGGCCTTGAAGGATGAGCAGGCTTTTTAGGCCACCTAGTTCAGTTTGCTGAGCTTTGATTCTTGAGGCTGGGAATGCATATAGCTTTCTTCATTTTCACTTCCTACCCCTATAGCTGGAAGATTTCCTAGGCTCCCTGTTCCAATAATTATTCAAATAAATAAGACAAAGTTCCATCTCTCAAGGAGTTTGTGGTCTAGTAGGGAGGATAAGTTTTGAATGTGTACAAATATTCATAAAACATTCATGAATGTGATATGCACAATGAAAGTAGAGCAAAGCAGGAAAAATTCCACTTGGAGGCATTGAATACTACTACTTGGAGACAGGTAGCATTTTGAGAAGGCAGAGCTAGGGCCAAAAGTGGAGAGGGGCTCTGGGTAGAGGAATCAACATGGACAAAACCACGGGAGTGGGCATTTACAAAGCCAACTAACTGGAAGAAATACCCTCCAGGCTGGCCAATGTCCTAAACGCCAGGGCAATGGGGTGGTGGGACAAAATGGGAAACTTCCTGAAATAGAGGACCTTCAGAAAGGGGGGGCACAGAATAAGAGAGCAGCATTGTTTTCTTCTCACTAAAACCTTCTCTGAAGGTTCAGCCCTAAGAGCCATCACTAACGTGCAGTGATCTTTGGAAGGCCTCTAGGAGGTTGCCTCTGCTTTTCATATCTCACAATGAACCTCAAAGATTTGCAAAGTGTGCAGCCTTCTCTGCCCCATCTGTCCCCAATTTCACCCACAGGGCATATAGATTTGCAATCTTGGTGGCTACCTCCTCCTTCTCAATAAAAAGCAGACAATTCTAGGAAAGGTTTGGAGATCCTGAAGACCTTGGATTCTGTAAGAAAGCCTGATCTGGGATATTGCCTCCATCCATGGAGATGTCCCCCAGCCCCATGGGACTCAGGGCCACCATTTGCTGGGGCCCAGGGACAAGCGTAGCCAGCCCTGACCATCTACTCTGCCTGGACCTCCTTCATTGACCTTGTCCCATTATTCTTATGACTTGGTCATTTTCAGATCAATCTATCCTCAGAATAATATATCAGCTGTTATGGTGAGAGTGACAACAATGAGGAATATGATGATGATTATTGTTAGTTTTCATTTTGTCAGATTTTGCTTTGTTTTGTTTGTTCAAATTGCTGTTGCTGGGGACTTATTTCCTGAAGCCAAAGTTTCCTGCCTTTCACTCACTTCACACTTTGACTCATTTATTTTTCCTATTTCCCCAAAGACCTTTTGACACTTTGAAAAGTGTTTTACTTAGATACAATCCTGGTCTCTTACCTTGTGTTTCTTCCATTTCTCCCTTCTTGCTTTTTATTAATAAATCATAAAGAAAGTGTTTCCAGGCACACATCACTCACTGAGTAATAAAACCTGGGGTGGAGGGCAGAATGGAGCAGAGAAGTAGAGGCTGGGGAGCCACAGGAAAGCCTTTCCTGAGCAGTGCGCCACATGTAGGTGTGAGAAAAGCCATGAGAGAAGAGCCCCAAGCAGCGTGGCTTCATGGGGCCACTAGGGCCTCCTTCACACCAGCTGGGAGATCTCACCCACTGGGAGATGGGCTAGACTTTGCAATTTTGCAATACTCTGCTTATGCAGATGAAATCACAGGCTCCTGGATGTCAATGCTAGAAGAAAGCATGCAGATCCTCTCCTTCAGCTTTTACAGATGAGGACACTGGGGTTAATGACTTAGCCTAGATGAGTCTGTTAGAAGCAGATGCTAGATCAGAATCCAAGTCCAGGGCTTTCCAACACAGATTTTAGTGTTTCCTTTGAGGCATGAAGTGATGAACCCTGAGAGCCCACCCCAAGCCCTCTTCTTACATGTCTCACTTTCCCTGGGGGCCACTGTCATCAACACTCTGACAACTCCAGGTCTCCCTTCTCGCCGCAATTCTACACTCACAGGTGCATTTAATTAATTACAAGACATTTCGACCTGAATGACTCACAGGCACCTCAAGCTCTTTCTTTAATCTCCTAGTAGTTATCACTGTTAAAACTTACTCAGTAACTAAACTATAAAATCTCAGATTTCTTTAAACTGTTCTCTATTCCCAGAAACCACATTCTACATTGAAAACTCTCTCAAAGCCACCCTTCCATCTCTCAGTTCCCATTGCCAGTTCTGCATTCCAGGCCTCCTCGTTCCTCTCCTAGCCTGCTTGTCTCTCTGCCTTTAGGCTCTACCCTCTCCAAGGCGCCTTTCAAATTCTACCAAAGACATTTTCCTACAACTCAAGCCAGACCATGTTCTTCCTATGGCTAAAAACGTAATCACCCCCATGAAGGCAGATCAGGCTTGCAGGAAAGAGGCTGGGGCGTGTAGAAGAAAACCACTAGCACAGGGTCTGCGCCTGAGCTCTCAGCTAGTGTTTGATGAATGACTGAATTGTTAATGAGAGCACAGGAGGGCTGCACAGAGAAATGGAAAAATCATGGCCTTGCAAACATTTCCCAGCCCTGCCACGTACGGTTGACTGCAGGCAAATACTGAGCCACTTGGAAATGCAGATTCTTAAAAGAAGGTGACACTTAATACCACTCCACTTAGCTCACAGATTGGCATAAGGATCCTTGAGAAAAAGGTGAGGGCATAGAACAACATGCAAAGAGAAACTATTGTTATGTCCATTTTGGAAAGTCTGAGGACACTCATGTCCTGATTAGATGGCAAGTGCGGTCCTGGACAAGTCACTTCTCCTTTCTGGATTTGGAATGACATCTATAGAATGACAATGTCGGACAAAAATATCTCAAACCCCATCCTGTGCTGACTTCCTGGGATTTTATGTTCGGATCCAAGGCTCCCAGGTGTCCTCAAGGAGGCTTGCTTATTAGCTGTTCAGTCTGCTGTCAAGAGCTGGGACCCGGCTCCCATCTCCAGATTTAACCTTACTACGCGGGCTTCTGCTTTCAGCTACTAATAAAGAATGAGAACTCAGATTTAAATCTCATTCTTTTCTTCTTCCATCACATGTGACACAAGTTTCAATCAACCAACCTAGGTGGTTAACTTAAAAAAAAAATAAGTTGGGAAAAATTATAATTAAAAAGCAAATTGGACCTCGTTATCAAAAATGCCTTAATTATCCCCCAAGGCTGGCTCTGGTACACATGCATCAAAGGGCCCAGCAACCCCAGATCAAAGCTTGGAGCTGGGTGTTGTGGCCAACTCCTCGCTTGTTTCCATAGCAGTTGTGTTCAAAGGAACAAAAGCTCTGAGTCCACAGCCTGGAAAAACTCTGGAAACCTCCAACCTGATTCTCTAGGGCTCCTCCAGCCACCTCCTAGGGAGCAAAGAGTAAACTTCAGCAGGGAAGATCCTCAGGGAAATTAGGCTCTCTCCTTTCCCTGGAAAAGGTTTGGGCCTAGAGGATTTGAGATCGAGAATGGGAATACAAGCAAGGGTTACCCTGGGGATTCTGAAATTGGGGTTAAAAACCCCAAGCATTCAGATCAAGCAAACAAATCAAATGCATAAATGCAAATAATTCACACTGATAAATTGGGTGCCTATGAAACTACAAGTCAGCTATTTGTGACCATTGCATTCTATATGGTAATAGCTGCTAGTTCCTGCTCACAAATCTTCAATCACTCCCCACTGCTTCCAGAAAGAAGTCTGACCCTTCATTCTGGCCTTGGAGGGCTCTTACAATTTGCCTATCACAGACATTTTCATCTTTCTTTTCCACAGTCCCTGAATTCCAGACAAACCATTTAATTCACATTCTCTACTGATTTCCCATGCTTTTAGAGATTCCTAGGTTCTACACACTTGCTTTTCCTGTGATCCTACTGTCTTGTGTATTCTTTTTCCATTAGTCAAAATCCTCCCTGGCCACAGGTAACTCTGTGTTTCTCGTATAGCACTAATTTATTTATTCAGCACACTTTTGGGGGGATTCTCTCATGGACAAGACCCCATTCAAAGGCCTTTGAACACAAAGAGGAGTAAGAATGTCCCCACCAGAAGAGTTCATACTCTAGTGCAGGAGATAGACATGCATTCAGTAGCTACATTAAAGTATAAAGGCCAGGCATGGTGGCTCACTCTGGTAATCCCAGTTCTTTGGAAGGCCAAGGTGGGCAGATCATGAGGTCAGGAGTTCAAGACCAGCCTGACCAATATGGTGAAACCCCATCTCTACTAAAAATACAAAAATTAGCTGGACGTGGTGGTGCACACCTGTAATCCCAGCTACTTGGGAGGCTGAGGCAGGAGAATTGCTTGAACCCAGGAGGTGGAGGTTGTGGTGAGCCGAGATTTGACAGAGCAAGACTCTGTCTCAAAAAAAAAAAAAAAAAGTATGAAAAATACTATCACCAGTGCTGTCGGGAAATATGTGAGTCACAAAAGTAATTTAAAATTTTCTAGTAGCTACTTTTTAAAAAGGTATAAAAGAAACAGGTAAAAAATAAATTTTATTTAATTCAATAAATCCAAAATGTTATCATTTTCATGGCACTAGAAATATTTCAAGTACACAAGAGCCACATGTGGTTAGTGGATTCTATATCAAAATGGCACAGATATTGCCAGGGAAGTAATGCATTTAGTCTAGGGAGTTGGGAAGGCTTCGTGGGAACTTGGTAGATGAGTGGGTTTTATTTGGTGGAGAAAGGATGAAATGCTTTCCAATCAAAGGGAAGAGTCTGTAGGAAAGGCAGAAAGGAGAAAAGAGCATGGCATGTCCATAGGCGTGTGGGGTAGCAGGCAGGATGCACTCTGAGGAGTGACTAGAGGTGAGCTTGAAAGGGAGGCCTCGTGTGTCCTCCGGTGGAACGTGCAGAACTCATGCAATCTTCTCTGTGATTGAAGATGATCTTGGCACCTAAGCTAAGAATGGGCTGGAGGTAAGAAGGACTCCAGGGCTAGGTGGGAGCCTCTTGCCTAGATTAGTGCTATTGCCTCCTAATTTGTCTCCTTGCTTCTGTCCCTAATTCATTGTGGTCTCTTTTCAACACCACAATCTGAGAGGTCTGGCTAAGCTGTAAATTCGATGCCGCTTGTCTGCTTAAACCCCCAGGACGTCTATCTCACTCATAGTAAAAGCCATGGTTTTTGGAATAGCCCATAGTGGCAGACAGGGCTGGACATTATGTGCCCTGCCTACCCCCATTACCTCTATAACATCATTTCCCCTCTATTCTCCCCCATTTACACTGGCATTCTATTATTTTTCAAACATGGCAGGCATATTCCCTCTTCAGGGCCTTTGCACTCACTTGCTGTTTCCTCTGCCTGAAATGCCCCTTACCTGGATATTGCATGGCACACTCCCTCGCAGGCCCCAAATCTTTCTCAAATGTCACTTTCTTCATAAGACTTTCTTTGGCCATGCTGTCTAAACTGCTTTTTCCTCTTTTTTGCTCTATTTTTCTCCTTAGCCCTTAGCACTGGCTAACATACTAAATGTTACTTATGTATCTTGTTTCTTACCCAGTAGAGTTGAATATCCAAGAGGAAAGGTTTTTTCTTTGTTGTAATCACTGCTGTTTCCAGCACCATGTCTGGCATGTAGTAGGCAATCAATGGATCTTGGTGGAATGAATGGATAGAGACAGGCAGGCCCAGGGTGTCAAGAGAGCTGTGGGAAGGGGCATCTAAGCCACTTTGTCTGGAGGGGAGGAGGACAGGAAAGTTTTCCTGGCAGAGGAAAAACCTGAGATGTAAGAGTTCAAACAGGCTATGAGAAGAGGAGATGGTAGGGAGGGCATGACAAGCAGAAGGGACAGCAAGAGCAAAGACAAGGAGGAAAGAAACACCATGGCACATGAAACTGCACACAGCTTGGTTTGTTGGAGTTAAAAGTGCATGCTGGGGAAGGGCGGAAGACGAGGCTGGAGAAGTAGGCTGGGGCTAGATTACAGAGAGCTGTAGCCAGTCGTTCCATGGCAGGGGGCTTTGACTGGAAATAGTCTCAGGTATGGCTTGATCTGCTTTTCAAGTAGTTCATTCTTGCATTTGTCCAGAGATCACACATGGGAAAGACAGAGCAAAGCCAAGACCATCAGTTGAGGAGGTTATTGTGGAAGGCCAGGGATGAGACAATGAGAGCCCAGGCCAGAGTGGTGGTAGTAGAAATAGAGAGGAAATGGGAGAATTGAGAGAAAGATAAAATTGGCAAGATTTGGCAATTGACTGCTGTAGGAGAAAGTTGCATCTCTGGTTTAGGTGCTGGTCCTGCCAAGTGAAACAGCAAAATGACAATAGGAATGAATTTGAGAAGAAAGGTTATTACATGAGACAGTTCCATGAATATATCCAGGATATGCTCAGACATATTAGTTTGAAACCGGGGCCAGTGATGCTGGCTAAAGAAATATTTTGGGAATCAGTAGCAGGTAGATGATAAGAGGAGCCTGTGTGAGTCAAATATAAGGGACAGGCACCCAAAGCAGCCTGTGATGGCTGAGGCAGTGAGTGGGGAATAGAAGTAGAATAATCATGTAGAGAAATTTACATCACCGTGAGGGACACAGTGTTGAACATGCCATCCAAAGGGCAAAGGAGAGATGGAGGGTTAGGGCAGGAAAGCAAGAATTAGCGGAAAGGTCAAAATCTGATGAATGAGCAAATCTGGTACAAAAAATATGTCAGGGAGGGTGGCTTAAGTCTGGGACCATGAGCAGCAAATAGGGTGAATCCTGAGGGAGGATATAGTAGCCTAAAGGAGCTATTGTCCAACAGACGCATTGGTTTTCATACTCTTTCTAGCCACAGAACCTCTTCCTTCAAATAGCTTCTAGAAGGCTATTAACTAAAACAAATAACAAGTAGAGCTGCTCTCATTGAAGCTGGTTTGGACCCCAAACATAACAAGTAGCTCCTACCTTTCCTCCCATCCTTGGAAAGTTCCTGAAACACAGGAAGATTGAAAACTGTTTGTGTAGTGTAAAGAATGGTGGACTGCATGCTGTTCATCTATTAACCAAACTGCATGCAGCTGGGAGTCTGGAGATTGCCAGCCCCAGGTCCACCTCCAACTACTTTGTGACGTAAGCAAGATGCTTTCCCTCCTCTATGAGCATAAGACATGGCAGGGGCACAAGATCTTTGTATCGGCCCCTTTCTGCACTAATATTCTGCAGGAATGCAAAGGACACAAAAATGGCTAAAGATAAGGTCAGCCAGTCCTGCAGGTCCTCTCTCTCCCCCAGTGCCATTTATCCCTCTGCCCACCCTCCTCTCCAAGCTTTAGGAAAGGCTCTCCACTTTTAAAGCACTGCCTTTAACACCTTGTTACCTTTAACAATAACATTTTTACCAGCCTGGTCATATTTTTGTCTTCCCTGCCCAATGACTATATTTTCCAAGAAAACAAGCTCCTTCAAAATGCACTGCCCTCTGCCAAGCAGGGGAGTGCCACATTATCTGCGGTGGGCACCAGCATTAAGGAGGAAATGATTTTCTTTCATCTGTCCAAGTAAATCTTTCCCCAACACTTGTCAAGCTGATTGCTGCCAATTTCCAGCTAGAGAAACACAGCCATTTAGACGGGGAGACATTAGTAACTAGAAGATACTTACAACATTTAAAACGGGGCTTTGCCTTTTCCTTTTTTTTTTTTTCTTCAGGTTGTGTATTTTTTATTTTTTTTTCAGTGTTTGCCAGCACTGCTGTTTAGGAGGAGGGAAGTGGAATATGTGTGTTTAATACACACACATAATAAAAATATGTTAAGATAATATGCATGTAATACACACACCATATATGTAAATACAAATGTTTGTCTTCATGTACTTAACGCATGTATACATATATAGTATGCATATATAATGCATGGGGGGAGAGAGAGAGACAGAGAGAGAGATGGATAGAGAGGGAGAGAACCCTCCCTTTTGAGCTCATGGCCCTTCATCGCTGTCCAGACATAAAAGGAAGCAGAAAGCCTAGCAGGCGTGTGCTAAGCTTCCATCCTGGCCTCTGTGCTGATTCTCCGTATTGTATGTGCCAGGCACTTCCACATTTACCTCTTGCAACTCAAGCATGGGAGAAGGAGAAAAAAAAATAAAACACTTCCTCCAAAGAGCGTAGCCACGGGAATCACAGGACTAAGAGCAAATAATGATTTCCTCCTCTACTTTTTAAGTAAATACTGCTGCACAATGAGCTATTGGGCAGGACAGGTGCAAAATAATAGACTCTTTTTCTGGTCTCCCTAGCCCCCATGAGACCACTGTTAACTGCATCAGGTACTCAATTTTCTTTTGTTATTTAAAAATGTGTTTGTGGATTCCTGGGGGGCAGGGGAAGAGGGGGGGAGTCCTGTTCTAGAATCACCAAGAGAATGGCTTAATTTGTATTTTTGCTTTATTAATGGAAAACTACCTGTTGGTCCCGGGATTTCTCTACCCAGGGGAGCTTTTAATGCATCTGTCCAATGCAATGGGGCTTGGGGGGAAAAACCCACTCTTATCAGCAAAGTCTTGTGGGGAAGGGAAGCACACCCAGTGGAAATAGCTGGGACTGTCAGAGAGGGAACTGGACTCCTGCTGGGATTTGGGCAAGCCCCTGGACCTCCCAGGCCTCAGTTTCCTCTTCCATGAGAATGGGAGAATAATGCATATCTTACCTATTTCAAAGCACTCATGATGAGGTTATTTTAACCTCATGATAGCTTTGAAATACCTTAATGCCTCAAAAGGGTAAAGAGACACAGTAGTAAGAAAAATGCAAGGGGTTCTTAATAACGTTTTCATTCAATTGGGTATAATTAATCATTTCTCATTTTCTATTCTGAAAGCAGTTTGTCACTTCAGGTAAAGTCAGACACAATCCCAGAAGCATCTGGCTGGAGAGGACATGAGAGCTCATCTCATTCAGAATCTCACTTCCAGATTAAATCACGTGGTGATGGATTCAGGTCTTTGCACCATACATCCCTCACAAGTATCTCTCATTATCAAAGGGGGAAAAAAAGTCTAGAGAGAAAACCTGAAGCCTCAAGCAAATATTTCTGAAAATATTTTACTGCCCTTGTTAATTGAAAAATATATAGATTATCTCCCATTTGCCCACCCCTTGTGCATCTACAAAATAAGAGCTATTTGTACAATCTGAGGTGGGAAACATGAGGGTGATATTTATTCTGTGTCCAGCCCCCTTTCCTTGCTCTTCCATGGTGGCAAAGCTACAGAAGTAATCCTCCAGGAGGCAAATACAGTAGATCAGGTAGATCTTCCAAGGATGGGATCTGTCTTTACATTTACAAGGTTTTGAGATTTGAGTATGAATATGGAGCTATTCTTTTCTTACTCTTTATATAGCACTGAATCAATTCATGGAAAGTTTGAGGGGCTAGAGGAGTCTTTCCCTAGGTGTGAGCTGAATGATCTCTGATCTGCTTTTTGGAGCATTACCCTCCTGGAAGCCCCAGCTCTCCAATGACAGCTTCCTTCACACTGCTCTTTCACACTGCCCATCACCAGTATTTACTAGTTGGGCTGGTCCCTTGGGGTGAAAGAGCTGCTGAGTACAGGTGGGCACTAAGGCTAGGGGACCAAGGTCTGCACTGGAGCCACACTGGGGAGGCACAGTGCACCTAGCAGCTAGGGCTCACCTGGTCCCCCAGATCATCTTCCCTTATCCAGGCTAGCCTTGCGCCAATGCTTACTTTTCTTCTCAGAGGGATCCCTAGAGAAAAAGAACCTACACTACCCAGAAATCCAAATTTATATTTGTTACTTGGTAAACTTTGCCCAGTTTTTTTCTTCACCTCTGTCCTCCTGGCTTCTATGTGAATAATATATTAATTCATTAGCATTCATTAAAAACTCTGTTCAATTTGGTTGAGCAAATTAGCAGAAACTGTGGCATTTAGTTCGAAGGCCAGGGAAATTTTGAGGAAAAAAAAGGGGAAGGTTCAGGGACATGTCCACAGGTGAGGGTACTAGGAGTAGGGGTCAGGCCCATTGGGCACTGCGGTCAAGAGCTCTGATCACCTGGGGGCACCTCTGAGCACCTTGGGTGCTGATGGGATGGGAGGTGCAGTCCATAGGATACCCGTCCATCTGTGTGATAGACACAGAAACCAGTGCATTGAAGACAAACTTTATCTACCTCACTGTTTTGTATATGGATAGATCTGACTTTTTCACTAGTCTGGAGCAAGTGGAGTACAGGATTTCAGTAGAGACATTGCACTCACTTTGGTGTCAGAGAGCTGAATTTTAGTTGTGATTCTGTAATGTCCTAGCTATGTGACTTTGAGTTTGCTATTTAATCATCAAGCCATAGTTTCTTTATCTGAGAAACAGTGATAATGATAATCCCTACCTTGTAAGGTGATTCTGATGAAACAATGAACAGAAACTTGAAAAGTACTGGCATATAAGTGGTTCCCAAAATTAGACATTGTCTTAGTTCTGGCAGCTATAACAGAATACCATTGACTGGGTTGCTTAAGCAACAGACATTTATTTCTCATAGTTCTGGAGGCTGGGAAGTCCTAGATCAGGGTGCCAGCATGGTCAGATTCTGGTGAGGGACTGCTTTCCTGGTTTGCAGGTGACATTCTTCTTGATGTGTTTTCATGTGGGGGAGATCAAAGAGAGGAAGCAAGCTCTCTAGTATCTGTTCTTACAGGACACTAATCCCTCATAATAATCACTTCCAAAAGGCCCCACCTCCCAATACTACCACACTGGGGATTAGGCAGCAACATATGAATTCTGGGGAGACACAGACATTCAGTTCATAGTTAGTATTGTTATAACCTATCTCCTTCCCCTCATTATTTAAAAGGCTCTCCACTTTTAGACACACTATTGAAAATACATTTTAGAATGATCTCCTCCATCCAGCCTGCTTTTCTAATATAGTTCTTGACATCAACAGAACCTCTGGGAAAGATTAAAGAAAACTCTTAGCATCAAGAAAAAGTTAAATGTCTCCTTAGATATACGGGCCAAAGATACAAACATCTAATTTACAAAAAAAGAGACATAAGTGTTCAATAAACCAAACACACACACACACACACATACACACACACAAAACTTCAGCCTTGATAGTAATAAAGATGCAAACAAAAATCAATTAAATTATACTTTTCATTTTCCAAAATGATAAAAGATTTAAGATGTGATGAGGTTAAGTGTTGTCAAGGGTGTGGAGGGGCAATATACTCATACACTGTTAATGTGAGTATAAACTGATAGCACCTTTCTAAAGAGCAATATAGCAAAATGAATCAATAGCCCACCCTTTGTACTAAATTGACCCACTAATAAAACAAACAAGAAAACCTAGAAATAGACTCAAATACATATAATAATTTGGTGTATGATAAAGATAACATTTCAAGTTAATGGAGTGAAGATGAATTATCAGTGAACGTAGTTGGGACAACTGGGTAGCCATCTGATAAAATATTGAGTTTCTAGCTCGCTTCATGTGCCAAAATAAATTTCAGATGGATCAAATATACAAATGTGAAAGAGGAATCCATAAAAGTACTATGAGAAAACATGGGAACAATCATTAATAATCTCAGTGAACAAGGTTTTTCTACTAAGATGCCTTAAAATTTGTTTCTATAAATATATGATTTATTAGGTGATATAAGACAATAAAAATATTATTGTGTGAAATCCAGCCCATGTTTGTGATAACCGTGACTGATATTTCTGTAAACAGATTCATCTGCCAACTTGGATTTGCAAGTAAAAAAGTTTCGATGAGCTGCTTTGATTCCATCACGCATTTGGAAATGCCTTCCACAGAGAAACATGGCTGTAACATGGGCAGATTATGATCCAATGGTGAAAATCTGTATTTGACACTGGATTCAAAGAAACTTCTATTTTGCCTATATCCTGGCTTCTCTGCCTCTGAATATGTAGGGAAGAGTGAGGAGAAGCAGTCAACTGGGAAAAAAATTTCTTCTCAATTTTCTACCGTTTCTTATCTAAAACCACTGGGTTTTAAAATTTTCGGGGAGGGTAATACTGTAAATACTTTGTATATTATGAAACCTCAAGCAGCATCAGGGGAACATTCTATAACCAAATACATTGTTATTTCTGCAGCATACAAATGAATATTCACAGCCAGCGAGATGGATAAAACCACACATTCATCCAAGTCAAAAGTTTTACACTAAATGAGTTTTAGCAATGAATTTGTGAAAATGCTTTCAGTTCTGAGTATTATGGATAACAGAATGGGGGCTAAAATGTAAAGAGTAACTACAAATCAATAAAGAAAAAACAACGATCCATTAGAAAATGGGCAATGATATAAATAATTCACAGAAAAAGAAATACAAATGGCCCTCAGATGAATGAAAAAGGTTATCAACCAGTCCCATTACTAATAAAATAAATGCAAAATAAAACTACAAGATAAAATTTTTAAATATCAGATGGATAAACATCTGAAAGTTTGAGAGGATATTGGTGTTGAGAGTGTAAGCAAACATGCAGTCTTTTATGTTGCTAGTAGACACACATTGTGGTACAACTTCTAAGGAGATCTATTTAACAAAATCAACACAAATTTAATTAAGTATGCTATTTCACATCTAGGAGTTTATTCTAGATATATCCAATGATAGGTTAAATACATCATGTTATAATATACACACAACATACAGTACAGTATTAAGCAACACCTAAAAAGAATGTGATAGATCTTTATGTGCTGATATAAAACAATACCCAAGGTATGCTGTTAAGAAAGCAAACAACAACCAAAGAACACCAAGGTGGAGTATACACTGGGTTTACTAAGGTACAACTTGTAGAAAGGGAAAGGAAAATTTGATGAAATTGCCACTTTTATAGGTCAAAATGATAATGTACATTAAACAAAGTAACAGTGGTTGGCCCTGGGTAGGAAAACTGAGTGTTTGGGATACAGGAATATGACAGAGATTTTTCAGCACATATGTATTTTCATATATATCATATATATATATATATGCTTGAATTAAACAAATATTAGGTCTCATCCTATCTTCTTAATCTCTTTCATATTTTCATTTTTTATTCTCTGCTGCTTTAGGGGTAATATCTCTCTGAGCTATTTTCTAGTTCACTAATTCTCTTTTATTTTTATACAGAGAGATTTTTGTGAGATTTTATATATATGTATATTATATATGTAACAAATGTATATGTATATATGTATATTTTATATATGTATATTATATGTATATTTTTTATATATGTGTATTATATATGTATATTATACATATGTATACTTTATATATATGTATATTATGTATATGTATACTTTATATATATGTATATTATATATGTATACTTTATATGTATATTATATATATGTATACTTTATATATATGTATATTATATATGTATACTTTATATATATGTATATTATATATATGTATACTTTATATATATATGTATATGGAGAGAGCGAGAGGGAGGGAGTGAGAGAAAGAAGCCCTTTTGTATTTTGGCTTAGGTGCTATTGCTACAGAAATAAGAAAAAATAAAAGATTTATTCACATCAGGATTTAGAGGATCAATCTAAACATTCAACAGCAATAGTAATAGGTTAGTTAAATAAATAATGATATCTTTATGATGGACTAACATGCAGCCATCAGAAATCAAGTTGTAGAAGAATGTTTATACTCATGGAAAATAGTTTATGGTGTATTAACAATTTTAAAACATAGACTTTCTAGTTGCCATATTCATAAAAATAAAAAAGTTAAAATGATATATAACCATGTAAGTCAATGTACCTAGGAAAAGACAGGAAGTGTCTATATGAAAATATTCTTCTCACAATTATTCAGTGAGTTCTTATTGTGCATGAGGAATTCTTCAGGCTGCTAGGCATAGAAGTCTGAACAAAATACTTACAGTTCTGGTATTCATGGAGCATAGTTTAGCAGAAGACATGCAGAAACAAGAGAGAAAAAATAAAATTGTATGAGAAAGAATTTTAAGAATTACTCCAGACTGGGTGGTTAGAGAAGCTTCATTGAGGAGGTGACATTTAGGTTAGCCTAAATGGTCCTAGGACCTGAAGGATAAGGAGCTAGTCATGTGGAAAGAGGTAGATGAACATTCCAGGCAGGTGGAGCAGTGTCTGCAGAGATGGGAAAAAGTGTACTGTGTTCATGGCCATGAGAGAGGTCCAGTGAATGCAGAGCAAGGGAGAGAGGGAGAGAGCAGCACATGTGAAGATGGAAAAGGGAGGTCAGACGTAGCTCATACAGGAGCTTAGAGCTAAAACAAGGAATTAAGATTTGGTTATAAATGCAGTGTTGTTGAGAGTTCAGCTGTCATTATAACTGCACACTTTTTCCTCTGGCTGATTTTAAGAGCTTCTCACCATCTGTGGTATCCTAAAATTCACTATGAGTAATCTAAGAGTGAAGTTCTTTTTGTTTATATTGTTTGGATTTGTAAGGACTCTTAAATCTGCCTTTAAAGAGTTTCAAAAAAATTCTTAGTCGTTTTATCTTCAAATATCACCTCTGCCTCATTCTGTCTCTCCTCTCCATCTAAAACTTGAAATAAGCAAAAATCAGGTCTCATTCTATCTTCCTAGTCTCTTTCATATTTTCATTTTTTACTCTCTGCTGCTTTTTGGGTAATATCTAAGTTATTGTCTAGTTCACTAATTCTTTTTTATTAGCATGTCAGCTGTTAAACCCATTGAGTCTCTATTACTGTATTTTTCATTCCTGGAATTTCCATTTGTTTTTATTTCAAATATTCTAGGTTGCTTTTTATGGTTTTCTGTTCCATGAAGATATTTTTTAATATATTGTTTTTCTCTAAATATGGATTATAAAATACTTATGTTAATTTAATATAAAGTTTCTCTCAGACTGTTTTTGCTGTCTGTTGGTTATGCTGATTCTTCCTCATGATGCTTTATGCTTTGTATCTTGGTATTTTCTGCTGTGTTCTATTCATTATCTTTGGAAAATTATTTCTGAGACATCATTGAAGCATAGTATAACTTCCTTCAAAGATAATTTATGTAGGTTTTATTTTGTTTATGCCTATGTGTACTTCTAGAGTTTGGCCATGGCAAACCATATTCCCAGCTTTTTATTTTTTTATTTTTTTATTTTTATTTTTTTCTTTTTCTTTTTTTTTATTATACTTTAAGTTTTAGGGTACATGTGCACATTGTGCAGGTTAGTTACATATGTATACATGTGCCATGCTGGTGCGCTGCACCCACTAACTCGTCATCTAGCCTTAGGTATATCTCCCAATGCTATCCCTCCCCGCTCCCCCCACCCCACCACAGTCCCCAAAGTGTGATATTCCCCTTCATGTGTCCATGTGATCTCATTGTTCAATTCCCACCTATGAGTGAGAATATGCGGTGTTTGGTTTTTTGTTCTTGCAATAGTTTACTGAGAATGATGATTTCCAATTTCATCCATGTCCCTACAAAGGACATGAACTCATCATTTTTTATGGCTGCATAGTATTCCATGGTGTATATGTGCCACATTTTCTTAATCCAGTCTATCATTGTTGGACATTTGGGTTGGTTCCAAGTCTTTGCTATTGTGAATAATGCCGCAATAAACATACGTGTGCATGTGTCTTTATAGCAGCATGATTTATAGTCATTTGGGTATATACCCAGTAATGGGATGGCTGGGTCAAATGGTATTTCTAGTTCTAGATCCCTGAGGAATCGCCATACTGACTTCCACAATGGTTGAACTAGTTTACAGTCCCACCAACAGTGTAAAAGTGTTCCTATTTCTCCACATCCTCTCCAGCACCTGTTGTTTCCTGACTTTTTAATGATTGCCATTCTAACTGGTGTGAGATGATATCTCATAGTGGTTTTGATTTGCATTTCTCTGATGGCCAGTGATGATGAGCATTTTTTCATGTGTTTTTTGGCTGCATAAATGTCTTCTTTTGAGAAGTGTCTGTTCATGTCCTTTGCCCACTTTTTGATGGGGTTGTTTGTTTTTTTCTTGTAAATTTGTTTGAGTTCATTGTAGATTCTGGATATTAGCCCTTTGTCAGATGAGTAGGTTGTGAAAATTTTCTCCCATGTTGTAGGTTGCCTGTTCACTCTGATGGTAGTTTCTTTTGCTGTGCAGAAGCTCTTTAGTTTAATTAGATCCCATTTGTCAATTTTGTCTTTTGTTGCCATTGCTTTTGGTGTTTTGGACATGAAGTCCTTGCCCATGCCTATGTCCTGAATGGTAATGCCTAGGTTTTCTTCTAGGGTTTTTATGGTTTTAGGTCTAACGTTTAAATCTTTAATCCATCTTGAATTGATTTTTGTATAAGGTGTAAGGAAGGGATCCAGTTTCAGCTTTCTACATATGGCTAGCCAGTTTTCCCAGCACCATTTATTAAATAGGGAATCCTTTCCCCATTGCTTGTTTTTCTCAGGTTTGTCAAAGATCAGATAGTTGTAGGTATGCGGCGTTATTTCTGAGGGCTCTGTTCTGTTCCATTGATCTATATCTCTGTTTTGGTACCAGTACCATGCTGTTTTGGTTACTGTAGCCTTGTAGTATAGTTTGAAGTCAGGTAGTGTGACGCCTCCAGCTTTGTTCTTTTGGCTTAGGATTGACTTGGCGATGCGGGCTCTTTTTTGGTTCCATATGAGCTTTAAAGTAGTTTTTTCCAATTCTGTGAAGAAAGTCATTGGTAGCTTGATGGGGATGGCATTGAATCTGTAAATTACCTTGGGCAGTATGGCCATTTTCATGATATTGATTCTTCCTACCCATGAGCATGGAATGTTCTTCCATTTGTTTGTATCCTCTTTTATTTCCTTGAGCAGTGGTTTGTAGTTCTCCTTGAAGAGGTCCTTCACATCCCTTGTAAGTTGGATTCCTAGGTATTTTATTCTCTTTGAAGCAATTGTGAATGGGAGTTCACTCATGATTTGGCTCTCTGTCTGTTGTTGGTGTATAAGAATGCTTGTGATTTTTGTACATTGATTTTGTATCCTGAGACTTTGCTGAAGTTGCTTATCAGCTTAAGGAGATTTTGGGCTGAGACGATGGGGTTTTCTAGATAAACAATCATGTCGTCTGCAAACAGGGACAATTTGACTTCCTCTTTTCCTAATTGAATACCCTTTATTTCCTTCTCCTGCCTGATTGCCCTGGCCAGAACTTCCAACACTCTGATGAATAGGAGTGGTGAGAGAGGGCATCCCTGTTTTGTGCCAGTTTTCAAAGGGAATGCTTCCAGTTTTTGCCCATTCAGTATGATATTGGCTGTGGGTCTGTCATAGACAGCTCTTATTATTTTGAAATACGTCCCATCAATACCTAATTTATTGAGAGTTTTTAGCATGAAGGTTGTTGAATTTTGTCAAAGGCTTTTTCTGCATCTATTGAGATAATCATGTGGTTTTTGTCTTTGGCTCTGTTTATATGCTGGATTACATTTATTGATTTGCATATATTGAACCAGCCTTGCATCCCAGGGATGAAGCCCACTTGATCATGGTGGATAAGCTTTTTGATGTGCTGCTGGATTCGGTTTGCCAGTATTTTATTGAGGATTTTTGCATCAATGTTCATCAAGGATATTGGTCTAAAATTCTGTTTTTTGGTTGTGTCTCTGCCTGGCTTTGGTATCAGAATGATGCTGGCCTCATAAAATGAGTTAGGGAGGGTTCCCTCTTTTTCTATTGATTGGAATAGTTTCAGAAGGAATGGTACCAGTTCCTCCTTGTACCTCTGGTAGAATTCGGCTGTGAATCCATCTGGTCCTGGACTCTTTTTGGTTGGTAAACTATTGATTATTGCCCCAATTTCAGCTCCTGTTATTGGTCTATTCAGAGATTCAACTTCTTCCTGGTTTAGTCTTGGGAGAGACCCATCAGTGTGCTGTATTCAGGAAACCCATCTCATGTGCAGAGACACACATAGGCTCAAAATAAAAGGATGGAGGAAGATCCATTTCCTTGGTAGATCTTCCTTGGGAGAGTGTATGTGTCGAGGAATGCATCCATTTCTTCTAGATTTTCTAGTTTATTTGCGTAGAGGTGTTTGTAGTATTCTCTGATGGTAGTTTGTATTTCTGTGGGATTGGTGGTGATATCCCCTTTATCATTTTTTATTGTGTCTATTTGATTCTTCTCTCTTTTTTTCTTTATTAGTCTTGCTAGCGGTCTATCAATTTTGTTGATCCTTTCAAAAAACCAGCTCCTGGATTCATTGATTTTTTGAAGGGTTTTTTGTGTCTCTATTTCCTTCAGTTCTGCTCTGATTTTAGTTATTTCTTAAAGAAAAGAATTTTCAACCCAGAATTTCATATCCAGCCAAACTAAGCTTCATAAGTGAAGGAGAAATAAAATACTTTACAGACAAGCAAATGCTGAGAGATTTTGTCACCACCAGGCCTGCCCTAAAAGAGCTCCTGAAGGAAGCGCTAAACATGGAAAGGAACAACCGGTACCAGCCGCTGCAAAATCATGCCAAAATGTAAAGACCATTGAGACTAGGAAGAAACTGCATCAACTAACGAGCAAAATCACCAGCTAACATCATAATGACAGGATCAAATTCACACATAACAATATTAACTTTAAATGTAAATGGACTAAATGCTCCAATTAAAAGACACAGACTGGCAAGTTGGATAAAGAGTCAAGACCCATCAGTGTGCTGTATTCAGGAAACCCATCTCACAGGCAGAGACACACATAGGCTCAAAATAAAAGGATGGAGGAAGATCTACCAAGCAAATGGAAAACAAAAAAAGACAGGGGTTGCAATCCTAGTCTCTGATAAAACAGACTTTAAACCAACAAAGATCAAAAGAGACAAAGAAGGCCATTACATAATGGTAAAGGGATCAATTCAACAAGAGGAGCTAACTATCCTAAATATATATGCACCCAATACAGGAGCACCCAGATTCATAAAGCAAGTCCTGAGTGACCTACAAAGAGACTTAGACTCCCACACATTAATAATGGGAGACTTTAACACCCCACTGTCAACATTAGACAGATCAACGAGACAGAAAGTCAACAAGGATACCCAGGAATTGAACTCAGCTCTGCACCAAGCGGACCTAATAGACATCTACAGAACTCTCCACCCCAAATCAACAGAATATACATTTTTTTCAGCAACACACCACACCTATTCCAAAATTGACCACACAGTTGGAAGTAAAGCTCTCCTCAGCAAATGTAAAAGAACAGAAATTATAACAAACTATCTCTCAGACCACAGTGCAATCAAACTAGAACTCAGGATTAAGAATCTCACTCAAAGCCGCTCAACTACATGGAAACTGAACAACCTGCTCCTGAATGACTACTGGGTAGATAACGAAATGAAGGCAGAAATAAAGATGTTCTTTGAAACCAACGAGAACAAAGACACAACATACCAGAATCTCTGGGACGCATTCAAAGCAGTGTGTAGAGGGAAATTTATAGCACTAAATGCCCACAAGAGAAAGCAGGAAAGATCCAAAATTGACACCCTAACATCACAATTAAAAGAACTAGAAAAGCAAGAGCAAACATTCAAAAGCTAGCAGAAGGCAAGAAATAACTAAAATCCCAGCTTTTTAATGTCCCTTTCAGTTCATGAGAATTTAGCCCACAAATTTACTAGGGGACCATTTTGTACTTACTTCTAGAAGAGAGCTTATTTTTTTCTCTCACAGATCCGCTCAGAGCTGGGGAAATCTTCCTTTAAATCCCTGGGGTGGGGTGGCTACACCTGCCTTTTGGTGTCCCAGCTTTTTGTGGGGGAAGTGTCCTATTTCATGCCCCACTTTAGAAAGGTTTAGGGATTTGATTATTGTCTTCATTGTTTGATGAGGTTATAATCAGTTCACCCAGTTCAGCAAATACCACTGGGGCAAAATACACCATTTGATGCTCAGGGTTCTTAATTTCCAATAGATTTTGACATAATAGTTCTTTGCCATAAGATTGGCCCTTTGATGCCTTTAAGAATCTTTTAAAAAAGTTATTCATTATACTTAGTTGTTTTCAACATGAGGATCATCCAAACAATGTAGCCTGCCTTATCATCAGAAAAAGAAGTTGATTTTAAGTACAGCTGGAAACCACTGAAGGTATTACACAGAAGAATGATTTTATCCAATTTACTTTTTAAAAATTATGATATGGAGAATGGAGTGGAGGAGGCAAGAGTGAAATCGGTAGGCTTAATGAAAGAGTATTGAGTAATCTAGGCGAGCAGGTTGGTTTGAGCTGGGTTGTGGCAGTGAAGAGGGAGCAAAATAGGTAGGTTTAGTTATATTTTGTAGATTAGAATAGAAAGGACTTGTGGATAATTGGATGTTAGATAAGGAGATGGAGTCATTCACAATAACTCCCAGTTTTTGTGTTAAACAACCATTTGAATGATGGTGCCATTGAGAGGCTGCCATGATATGAGGATAGAGCAGATGGTGTGGGTTTGATTCAGGGTTGTTTGTGTGTGTGTGCACACTTATGTTAAGTGTTTATGTATATGTAGAAATAAAATTCAGTTATAAGCTTGTAATGCTTAAGATTCATATGAGATATCCAAGTATCACCATCAATAGTGATTATTTGTGGCTGATGAGATTAGGGGGAATTTTCTATTTTTCCACATTTTGACAGATAAACATATATTTTATTTGTTTTTAAGGAAAAAAATGTTGTTTTAAAATAGAGGAAGCCCCTGTATACTACAGAAATTATAATTCCTTTTGAAAACTTGAAATTGATCATCTTTATATTAACATTCCCATCTGTTTCCACTTCTGTATATTGTTTGTGTGTATCCACCATACTGTAAATTACTTTAGTGTCTGTCAGAGACCATGTCTGATTTATTTCTTATCACTTTTCTCTAGTATCTACCACATTGCAGTGCACATGGTAGATGCTTAATAAATGCTGAGTAAATGAAAGCTTTTACAGATTAAAGATACTCCATAGCTAGTTTTTCATTGAATTATGGATTAGACTGCCCATAAGGATGTTGCAATCACAAACCAACATATTTTTCCATTCAGAGTACCCAAAACTATACCAGCAGAACCTACTTTTTCACGTTAAACCCAGCAAAACCAAGGTGGAGGCTGAACTTTGGAGACTCACTCACATCCCTTCCACTTGAGTCCTAGTTGGGCTCTCTTTTCCCAAAGGCAGCAACAAACTGAGCACTGCAGGAACACCTAACCAGCCCAGGCAGGCTTCAGTGGCACTAACCTTAATGCATTAGCTTGCCTACAGCTTTGCAAAAGCACAGATGGTATGAGAAACCTCTCGCTGCTATGGACCCCCAGACATACCACGGGCCTCCCTTCTACCATAATAAGCTTCCTCACTCTCCCACAACAGCAGACTGTATAATGATGACATTTCACTCAGCAAACCCTGGAAGAGCATGGGGTTTGTTTCTTCTTGTTTTATTGTTGTAACTACTGCATAAGTATAAACCTTCTTAGAAATCCTCAGAGTGTAAAGCCTGAGACAGAGCAATCTCTCTGGAGCCAGCAGGCTCCTCACTCATCAATTATGCACATGCTGGTGTCATTCTCAGGGCTGGACTATGGAAAAGCCAAATAGCATAGACAGGTATTTAAAAGTCAAATTCTCCTAGACTCTCGATGGGGTCGAAAGCAAGATGTACAATGCAAGCCAGAAAGTGACAAAAATGCTCTGGTTTCCATAACTCTCTTCACCTCTCCTAGAGTTTCCCTCTCTAGCTATAACCCCACCAGTGTAAAGATTGGGAGATTTTTCAGTGTTCCTGCCAAGCAATGCCTAGTGCCCATCCTGCTTCAATGCTCTTGTTCTGGCAGCTTCCCAGAGGGCCTGTGCCAAAGTCACAGGCTGTCTGGAGAGAACACCCAGCTGGCCACCCTGAGGAACACCACCACAGAGACGCTGAGTCAGGCCCAGCCAAGCAACAGCAGCTGTTGCAATGAGACTTTGGGGAGTGGAGGCCGCCTAGTGCTCTGTGTTAGCAAGGCACTGAACAGCATCTGCAAACCGCAAAAAGCCAATGCATAATGCAGAAGTGCATGCTCCACTTTCTACCTCTTTCTTCATTGTTCTCCCAGGAAATGTAAAATAGATAGCTTGGCCATGGTTTCTGCCTACAGTCATGTCCTTAAATACTCCTGTCTATGGCATTATTTTCCTATACCCAGGCATCTTTGGAGAGTCAAGGCAATGCATACTACAATGGAGCTTAAGCATGATAGCAGGAAAAAGAGTGGTTGGTTTTCAAGTAATTGGTTCTTCAGGCCTCATTTTCTATATTCTGAGATCCCTGAACAAAAGGCACTAGAGGTAATGGTGAGGCTGAGTAAAGAGAGGAGGTTCTGGTGCTGCTGGAGCTCTGGGTCTGCCATACCTTGACCTAGGCACTAGGCACCAAAACCCTAGCCTCCACTCCTTTGCTGCTCCCCTTAGACTTCTATCCAAAGCTCCCAGAGCTCAATTGAAAGCAGCAGGCAAAAAGTCAAATACTTCATTAAAAGCAGCAAGAGACTCTATTGTAAACCTGCAGCTTTTGCCCATCAAAGATGAGACACTGGGATCCAAATCGGTTCTGGTTTCAATCAGAGATCAGATACTGAAGAGATAGCTTGTGGTGTGTATCTTTTCAATGTGCTGCAGAAAGCCCTTCTGTTTCTCCTGTTTTTACCTTATTTTTATACCCTATAGAGACCCTCAAGAACTGCTGCTCATAATACATACATACACACACACACACACACACCCACCCTCATTATGCTAAGCTAGGGAGAAGCCGAGAAAACACTTCAAAAGGTAAGCAACGGTTTGAGTTTCAGGTTTATTGAATTCCCGGAAATGCTGTCTCTCCTCCTGAGAAAGGTTAGTGTTTGGAAACAACTTTAATCTGGCTAAAGAAAAGGGAAAGAGGGAGGAAAAGACAGGGAGAGAGAGCGCTGGCTGAGGGAAGAGATGGAGAGAAAGAGAGAGGGAATTGTTAATTTCAATTGATTTTCTGATAAGGTTTCATATCCTGAAGTGTGCTTCAAATCTGAGAAGTGACATCTGCTGAGATCGCCCGTCAGTGTCTGAATTCTCCTGAATGTAATTAGATCTGAGACAAGATAGAAGACTCAGTACGGTGGCCCTTAGGGAGGAAATGGTCTTTGAAAAGAATTATGTTAATCAGACTAGCCTTCTTCTTGCATCTGTTCTGCTGTTATTCTGGGTAAAATTAATAGGTCTAAGGAAGGATCTGATCATAATGACAATCTGGTCTTCACAGCAGGTGGTTTTATAAAGGAGTTGAACTGTGCCTTGTTGAGAACACTTAAAGTAATTAGTTACAGGGCTACTCACTTTCTTTCCTTTTTAATAATAATAATGGTTATTAATGTTTACAAATTAAAGAGTCTTACTCTAGATGAAAGGAATGCTGAAACGGAGACTCGGGAGTAGACGCCTGTACCTTTATGCCTCCTGCTGGGGTTGAAGATCCTACAGCAAACCCCCCTTTTTTGTGGATTGTACTCCCTTTTTCACCTCCCCCCAAACCCATCCCTTCCCTCTTCGCTCCCCGGAGCACCGCTAGAAACAAAGTGCTTAGAGCTTACAGTGGGGAGGAGTCAGCAGAGCTCAGGGCAGAGGCTGTGAAGTAGGTGCTCAGTAAATATTTGCTGGGAGGATGGAAGAAAGAGATGTAGAAAGCAAGAAAGACTAGAAGTAAAAAAGAAAAGAAGAAGAAGAAAAAGGAAAATAACAAAAGGAGGAAGAAAGACTGGAAGTTAAAAGGAAAAAAAAGAAGGAAGAGAGAGAAAAAGGAAGAAAGGAAAGAAGGAAGAGGAAGAAAGGAAAAGCATTCTTATTGCCTTACTAGAAGGTGTAACTTCAAAGGAGGGGCAAGGGTTGATGTTATAATTTGTGTTCAGTTCTCTTCTCTGTAAGTCTATAAACCAGGGTGGGCAAACTGACAGCCAGTGGGCTAAGTTCTGCCCACCCCTTGTTTTGGTAAATAAAGGGGGATTTTTGGCCTATAGGTTTACATATTGTCTATAGCTGTTTTCACACCTACACCTGCATAGCCTGTATGGCTGTCCCAAGCCCAAAAATTTACATGTGGCCTTTCACAGAAAAAGTTTGCTGATCTCTGTTATCATCTCTTGAGATAATTTGATGTTAGGATACCCTCAGTGGGACTGACCTTTCAGAATAGAACTGCATGATGTTCAGAGACATGTAGTCTCTCTTAGGTGTGTAGGCAGTGGGGTAGGGCGAGGAAGGAGGGACGAAAGAGGGTGAATTGTTTTTTGTTTTGTTTTCTTTTCTTTTCTTTTTGAGATGGAATCTCACTTTGTCACCCAGGCAGGAGTGCAGTGGCATGATCTCGGCTCACTGCAACCTCCACCTCCTGGGATCAAGCAATTCTTGTGCCTCAGCCTCCAGATTAGCTGGGATTACAGGTGCACGTCACCGTGCCAGGCTAATTTTTGTATTTTTGGTAGAGACGGGATTTCACCATGTTGGCTAGGCTGGTCTCGAACTCGTGACCTCAGGTGATCCACCCACCTCAGCCTCCCAAAGTGCTGGGATTACAGGTGTGAGCCACCACACCCGGCTGGAGGGTGAACTGTTAAACTTCTGTCTTCTCCGTCTGAGAACACGTCCCAAGAGGTCGAGATGCCGTGTGTCTGGCCCATGTCCACAGGGCTGAAGGGGGCTGCAGAGGGGGCAAGATTGAAAACTGAAGACCTACTTTGTCTCCTAACAAATTGTCACCACTCAATTTAATGTGTATGTACAACTGACAATGCAGAGTGATAAAAGAGTGACATAAAGAGAAGACTTAGGTCCAAGATCTTCCTCATACTGACTCTGTCATCCTAGCCAAACCATTCAACATAGGTCCAGTCTTCTGAGCTTATCTTCTGTCTTGTGAAATGGAGAGGAAAGTTATATGACTTTATAGCTTTAATGTGTTAGATAAGCAAAGTGTTTCAAATACATTGAAAGCAAAATAGTTTTAAGCAAACAGTTATTACATAATAGTGATAATAGTAATTTTGTAATAATATGATGGACCTGGATAAGCCACTGTTTGTGTGCTGTGAAAGGGCAGACTATGGTCTCCTGAGATCTGGCTCTAACAGAAGATCCTATGTCTAACAGGCATTTTTGATAAAGCTGAGTGTGCTGAGGCATCTTGAAACTATAAGACAATGAACCCTAAATCCAGTGGCATAAAACTATGAGCATTAATTTCTTGCTCACACATCTGACAGGCAGCTGGAGTTTAGTCGATCTAGAACCGGCTCAGCTGCGCTTAGCTACAAGTTGCAGATCTGGTTCAATGAGGATGTTTGTCTCATGCTTTTTGGACCAGCAATTTCCCAAAGCATGCTCTTTTCACAGTGATAGTCAGGAACATATGAACCCAAGCCTCAGCTTGCATCACATCTGTTAACATCCCTTTGGCCTCAGCAAGAAATAAGAAAGCATGTTCCTCTCACCATGCAGCCAAAGCAAGTCAAATGGCCAAGCCCAACCCCATTGGGTTGGGAAGCGGATTCCTCCGTGGAAGTCAGTCAGTGGGAATGAGGATTTGCTGAAAAATAATCTACTATAGAAGACAAAGCACTAACTAGGTAGTGCCTAGCATACTCTTGAGCCACTGGACCCAGTTATTTAAACGTGCTGCCATTTTGGCACAGGTTAGTGGATCATCGCTGGAGGTGGGACTGTAGATCCACTTGCCAATTTGGTGAACAGCTAACCCTTGGCCTCGCATTTGTGCTTTTTACATCTGTGAACTGTGGACTGTCCGGCAGAAAAAAAAACTGCACAATTTCTCCAATAACTCAAATTCATTGATCAAATTTTATTTAAAAATCTGCATGATTTAAGAAAAAAATTAATTTCTTACGAAAACATGGTTGTAATAAAGGCGCAGAAGGATTGAAGATAATGGTAACAAGGAGGCAGAGGGAACCAGGACCAAAATCAGATTTCAGCAAGAGCTGAGGTCACCTTAAATAAGAATGACAGCCATGGGCAGGGGGTCCTAATTAATTAATTACACCTTAATTGAAAAAAACTGCCTTTGTTCTTGTATTGTCCTCACTGTCCTCTAGAGCTGTGGGAATGCTATGGCTTCTGGGGAAGGGAAGGGAAGAAAAGGGGTAAAGCCAGCTCTTTGTGTTTCTTTCTCTGTCTTTTTCTTTCTCTTCCTCCTGTTCCACAGGAGGTAAGGGTAAGGTTACCATGGATCAACAGCTTCATAAATATGCAGAAGAAAGACAAATCAACTTGAAATCCAAAAAAATAATTAAAATATAAATAGACTTGTTTGTTTCAAGGATTTGCAATGAATGCTTGACTCAGTCTGAAGATTAATCAGTGATGGGTAATTATACTTTCGCACACACACACACATCCATGCACGCAAAAAGACAACCCTGGTCCCCTTTAAACAACGTGAATACAAAAACAGTGTGAGTTTTCTGGTTCATGAGGTGAAGTCACCTGAAGCTCCTTGCTGAGTTGGAGAGTTTCTTCATATCTGCTGCTGAGCCACCAGCACATGAAGGGGTCATGGGTGGAGCATCGCTGTTATTTACAAGTAGCCTTCCTTCTCCCTGCTTCCCTCCCTCCCTCTCTTCTTTCCTTCCTTTCTCTTTCCCTTCATTATTGTTTTCTGCATTTTCTCCCTGGAATTTGACTTTTTCCCTGCCAAAGGAGATAAGCAATCTATTGGTCCACAGACATTTATGAAGTTTAAATAACTGCGCCAAGCTCTACAATAGACAATAAGGTGAGGAAACCCAAACTCTGTCCTGTAGGAACTAGGTATACAAAATTTTTCTCAATTGTGGGTAATTTTGGCCCTCTAGGAGACATTTTAAAGGGTCTGGAGACATTTTTGATTGCTATGGCTTGGGGTAGGGTGGGTGCTATCAGAATTCAGTGGGCAGAAGCCAGGGAGACAGCCAAACATCCTAGAATACACAGGAAAGCCCCCAAACACAGAATTATCAGATCATAAATCCCAGTAGTGCTGAGGTTGAGAAACCCTGGTTTAGAAGGACAACGAAAATACAAACACGTTAAAGGCGAGTTACTTCCAGGCTGTGACAAATAAGGGCCCACATGTTCTATGATACTTGGCTTCGGGCAAACTGTAGGTTTTGTTTCTATCTCTGGTCTCTGGCTTTTTCCAGCTCTGCAGGCTCCCAGCTTTGCTGTCACCTTTAAGAACATGGAATTGTTGATCATGGTTGTAGTATTAGGAATAAAGCCCCTCTGCCATAATGCACCAATGCACCATTCCTTGAACCCTTCCAGTGGCTCAGTATTCAGCCATCTATCCATCCATCCATGCGTGCATGCATCCTTTTATCCAGCCAGCAGTATTCATGTGGCACTACTAGAGTTATTCAAACTCTACTAGGTACATCATTCTCTCAGACAAGACTTATTGGGAAAAAAATCCATGTTCAACATGTGAATTGGAAACAACCATGGCTGAGCACTCCATGAAAGTGGTTTTGCCTGATACCCATGGGCAATGTCCCTGTTTCCTCCTCCGATTAATGCCTCCAATTCCCCATCTGTTCAATGGGAGTATGACTCCCACCCATTGCATTGTTCCTCAGGATATGTACCCAGGTAATCAGACTGGTCCACTGCTGGAGGAAGGAGAAAGGAATGAAAGCACGGTAGCATCCTGCCTCTGCCCCACACTAGTTTTGTAGCCTTGGGTATGTTTCTCAAACTGTCTGTGCCTTAGTTTCCTCATTTGTACAATGAGAATAATAATGGCACATTACTAAAAGAGTCATTTGTACAATGTGAATAATAATGGCACATTACTAACAGTGAGGATTGAGTCAATATATGAAAAGCGCTTAGAACAATGCCTAGCACGAGGTAAGAACTCAAAAACTATTAACCATCATTATCAATTATCATCAGTACTGAGAGAGTAGTCACTAGTTTGGAGATCATGAAAAATTTTACTAAGTGTCAGAGGCCTGGAGAAAAGCAGTGAAACCTTATATTTAGCAGTGAGACCCCTAAGGAGCACCTTCTTTTACCACAAACTGTTAAAATAGCATTTTTCAACCTCAGCACCCTTGAGATGTAGGGCCCAATAATTCTGCATTGTTGGGGGGACTGTGCTGTGCATTGTAGAATGTTTAGTAGCATCCCCGACATTTACCCCACTAGATGCAATAGCATCCTCCCTCCCAGTTGCAACAACTAATGTCTCCAGACATTGCCAAGTGTCCCCTGGGGGACAAAATCCCCCTGGCTGATAATCAATGTCTTAAAAATTATGATTAAAAAATTAATGACAGTAATAATAATCGTGTGAGGAATCACCCCCTTATTAATGGCAATTCCCTTTTGATTGGGTACCAAGGTAATTTACATATGCTGTGTGTAAACATAGATGTTTTGAAAATACTTTCATTTTGCCAGATTTAGACTCCTTCCCATACTGTAGTAGGGTCGATCCCTCTGAGACAGTATGCTTCCAGTCCAACGTAGTTACCATGAGGTGAATGGATAACAAATGCTCAAAAGAATAAGTTCCTTGTCAAGCAGAGATAACTGAGAATCTTGAGATTAATTCATATATTCCACCCAATTATGATGTTAATATAAACATGACTTCAGAAAAATAACAATATAAATATGTATTAATCAGTAATCACGCACATGTCTCTATCAGACTTCCAGTCACACAGATCTTGACTCGGGGCCTCCTGGTAGTTATCACTGAAGTGAATTTAAGCAGGTTTCTTATCCTTTCTAATCTTCCATGAGCTCTTCTATAAAATGGGGCTAGTAATTGCACCCACCTTATAACGATTAAGTGAGAGAATTCATGTGAAGAGCTTAGCACAGTATAAGGCACATAGGAAATAGTAAGTATTAGCTATAGTTGTTGCTAAAATGAGAAAAATGGTAAGTCAAAATTTTTAAAATAAGAATAACGTGGACACAGATTGGTGCCCTTTTCTATTTTCAACTGGTTTCAGGTGCTATTTCACAAAATTTGGGGCTCCTAATTGTACTGGGTTGAATAGTGTCTCCCCAACATGCATGTCCACACAGAACCTCAGAATGTGACCTTCCTCAGAAATAGAGTTTTTGCAGATGTAATTAGTTAAAATGAGGTCATACTGCATGAGGGTGGGCACTGCATCTAGTGACTGGTTCCTTCTTTGGAGTCATGTGAAGCAACAGACATGTGGGAGAGGGCCATGTGAAGAGGGAGGGCATGTGAAGAGCTGGAGTGTTGCAGCTACAAGCCAAAGGACAGCAAGGATTGCTGGTGGCCACCAAAGAGAGAAGGAAGGGTTCTTTTTCTGGAGCCTGCATAGGGAGCATGGCCCTGCCAACACCTTGATCTCAGACTTCTGGCCTCCCAAACTGTGAGATAATAAATTTCTGTTACTGTAAGCCATGCAGTTTGTGGACTTTGTTGCAATAGCCCTGGGAAACAAATACACCAGCCTACTCTGTTTCTCAGGCTCTGCTTGAGTGGGTGCTGCTGTTTCTTGACTTGGCAAAAGTAGGTTCTCCCACAGGTGGTTTTAACCATCTGCTTATTTCAATCAGCGCCAGCATCACTTTTGATTTTTTTGTTCTGTTAATGAACTTAAGAACACAGTCACTCCAAGCAAGCTCTGATATTCCTTCCTGAGCAGAGTTTTGTTGACTCACAGACTCTTGTCCTATCCTCCCCATTCCACCATATTTCCTTATTTCGAACAACCCCAGAGGAAAGCATAGAAGTCATGTTCTCCTCACCTTCCAATCACAATCAAAGTTTAACTTAGTTACACTTGGCAACCCTCCTACTGATACATGTCTCATTTAATTACCTTCTGCTCATCTTCATTCTGATCCATGGGTCCTCTCCACTGAATTGTCCATTTATTCACCCCAAAGCTTGCACCATTTACAAAGACTCACACCTCTGGCAGAAATCACTGTTGACATCAATAGCTCTATAAATAGATGCTGCCATTTTCCCACTGGACCTAAAGTAACATAAAGCATTCATAGACTCCTGGGCTTGGGAGGGACCAGAAAGATCCATGTCTTCCTGCCACTCTCCACCCTCTGCTTCTTCCTGTTCAATGCACGATTTTTCTCTACAACATTCTTATCAAGTAGACATTCAGTCATTGCTTTAAAATCTCCAGTGATGGGAAATTCACTTCTTACAACTGTCCATTTTATCTTAGTCATTTCTAGTGTTAGGAAAGTCTTTACGCTGATATAAAATCTGCCTGTCATCCTATCCACTGATCCTGGTTTTGCCCTTAAAGCCCAAACAAAATAATACTCATCTCTCTTCTTAGGCTTTCATTTCTAATAATAGTGATTTCAAATTCACCACCCCGCCCCCCACCTCCTGAATAGTTTATCATTTTTTTACTCCAGCTGGAGATATCTTTACTCTTTCAGTCATTCAATCACTACATTTAAAGTCCCTAAACATTTAAAGTTACTCTCTGTTAAACACATCACAAGTTATGTATATTTTTATAGTATGATCCTAAAAGCATACGCAGCATTCCTAGTAATTTTAGAAGGGACAGAGTAGACTGGATTATACCAAGCCATTTTTAAAATACATAGTTTTCATCTTGTTTCTTCATCAAAGAATAAGAAGCTTAACAATAAAAACACATGCAATCCTAGTGTAGACATGAAAGAGCTAATAAAGAAAAAATGCATTAAGATATTCAAGGAAAGGGCTGGAAAATATTAATTGAGAGTAAACTGGACTTTGGACAAATATGAAAAAGGAAGCAAAATGAGGATTTTGTTTTTAGCTCAAATCTGTGGTTGGGTCTATGTTCTAGTTATTCTTGTTGTTCCACAAACCACCCCAAACTTAGTGGTGTAAAACAATAACATTTCATTATAACAGCTTTTGTGAGTCAGGAATTTGGGCAGGGCCAATGGAGATGTCTCTGCTCCACCATGTCTTGGTCCTCAGCTGGGAGGACTCCAATGCTGGAGTGACCAAAATCCCCAGGAGCAGGAATCCGGAGGACTCATCACTCACACATCCATCACTCACACGTCCATGACTGGCTTAAAGGCTGGGCTCCGCCAGCACTGTCAACTGAAACACCTACATATGGCTTTTCCAAGTGGTTGGGTTTATTACAGAATGGCGTCTGGGTTTCAAGAGGGAGGATCTTAAAAGTGAGCTTTCTAAGAGAGTCAGGTAGATGCTGTATGACCTTTTCTGACCTCACCTAAAAAGTTACGAAGCATCACTTCCACCACATTCTCTTGGTTACCTCTTGATGGGAATGCTTTGAGATTACCTTGTAGAAGATCATGTGTGATGGGAAATTATTGGTGCAGCCAACTTTGGAAAATATAATCTGGCATTGTCTGGAAAAGTAAAAGTCATCAGTGTCAAATGAGATTACTAAGCAGAAATAACCCAGAACTGAGGAAATCCTTGTGGAGGACACCTTCCAAGCAGGACAACACTACAACCTTATATTCATCTGCATTGTATTTGACCTTGTTCTCTATATACAGCTTATACATAGAGAATTTTCACATTGGCATGGTTTCTTGCCCTCTAATGAGTAGGAAATGTGTGAGGTTACTGGTATCTTATGTGATAGGCTAAGGCTAGGCATCTCCACAGAAATCTCAAAGTGGACATAATTGAACATTTCTTAAATCCTGTAGTGCAGGTGCACATAAGAGAGATAGCTTCAGTGTTGTTTAATCAAGAGCATCAAGTTCTAGATCATGGTTATTAGGTCTAGGAGACATGGCTTTCTTAGCAAAATATTTGGCATTCATTGTTTGAGGGTGCTGTTCTGTCTGTGGATAACGAAGGCAGTGAGTCCACAGCCCTGATTCCTTCAACTTGGAGCACATTTGGCTGCAGTGCGCTGCCGAGTCAACTGTACTTTAGGTACGTATTATTGACAATCAGAGGTACAATGGAGAGCCTTACACATTCACCTTTCTGCTTATCTTGTTTTTATCCATTGCAATACTTTGTTGTCAATCCAAATAAAAACAACCTTGAATTGAGTTCAAGGCATCATTCTAGCCTATTCTTGAACTTAGACTAGAACTTGTGGTCTAGACAACACAGCTCTGGGGAGGAAGTCTAGAAAGAATTGGGAAACAAGGTCTATGGTCCCAAAGCTGTAAACAGTAAGAGCTGAGTACATTCATCTCCCCTTTCACCCTTGGGTGGTAGCAAGCAAAAGTAATAATCAGCAAAAACCATGTAGTGCCTGGACAAAGTACACTTGACTTTTCAAAAATAATATTCCATCAGAGAGCCATGACCATTCCCATCAGGATGTCCTGGTTATGGTAGTTACTGCTCATGCCAGCCATTTGACAATTACCATACATTGTCATCTATCACTATTTTTCAGCTCATATTTATTTGACCGATGATCAATGGCCTTAAACCCAAAGGAAGACTGTTGTAGGTACGATTATCTCTCTGCAATATTTTGTACCTTGAATGTACGATTTAGTAACCTAACTTCCCAATGGTGCTATTCGTTTGTTTTCTAGATTTTATTCATAATTAAAATTCCAAGCTTTGATCATTCTTTTCCTTCCATAATGAATGCATTCCATTTCCACTCTCCCAATCTGAATGCTTTGACTGATTTTTCAAGACTAGTTCCAATTCCGTTTTCCCTAAAGCCTTTCCCAAACTGTTCTGTGCACATCTACCTCACATTCATTTCCTTCTTCTGCAAACTCCTCCTATCATGCTTGCCATCTGTCTCCCTCACTTTGACGTTTTTATCACATTCTGCCTTCTTTTCTTACTTAACTGTTCCTTGCGTGTTTGTGTTGATCTTTCTGTAGTTAAGTAAGGTTCAGAGTTCCTGGGAAGACAGGGACTATTTTGTTGTTGTCGTTGTTTTCTTCACAGTCTATGTACAAAATAAATATCTGTTAAACACACAAATAAACTCAGTTGTTAGGAGTAGGGAGGCATCTGCTAAGTGAATCGTGCTGTTTCTCTTGTCCAGTCCCTTTTCTGACATACAAGAGGCCTTTATGAAATGTGTGGCTGGTACAGGGGCTGCATTCAGAAGAATGGAATACAGCAAACTAATGGGGAGACTAAATCCTTGACCTGAGCCTTCCAGGAATCACACTTTCACACTCTGAATATACACCAACACACCTGTCCTCTTGAAACAACTACAAAAATACATCCTGAGCTGTGTTGCAGCTCACTTCTTCTAAGGATTGTATCAGAGGTATCTGTCATCCACGAGATCTTTTCAAGAACCAGGCTAGCAGATGAGGGCTTGGATGATCTGGTTTACATTCCGTAAGGCAAAGAAGTCCCACGATCAGCCGTCAGAGATACAGAAGCCAAGAATGATAAGCCCAGAAACCCAAAGAACCAGCCTCCTAAGTTTATTCCCTGTGTTGTCCCTGCCTCCACCTGGCTCTCTCCCAAGCATGACTTCACTAGCCAATGACTAATACCAGGGGGACCCAATGCAAAATTCAGGAGAGGGCCTGGAAAATGTAGTGCCAGGTGGAAGTTTTGAGGACAGAAACCATTGTGTTAAGTTGAACTAAAGAGAGGCCTCAGCTGGTGTGGTCTCCTCAACGGGGTGTCTCTGCTTGGAGTCCTTTCTAGTGCCTTTCCTACTCAAGGGCCTCAGTGAGTATTCCTCATCCAGGGAAGGGGATGGCAAACTTTTTCTATAAAGGGTCAGACAGTAAATATTTTAGGCTTTGCAGGTGTTATTAGCCAGGGTTCTCCAGAGAGGGGGAAACAATAGGATATATGAGAAGGGGCTTATTAGGGAAATTGGCTCACACGATTGATCACAGTGGCAGAGAAGATCACAGAGGCACAGAAGTCCCACAGTCAGCCATTGTCAAGCTGGAGAACCACAGATGCCAGTAGTGCATCGCAGTCTGAAACCAGAAGCCTCAGAATGAGGAAAGCTGATGGTGCGGCCCCCAGTCCAAAGCCAAAGGCTCAAGGGCCCCTGGGAGACACTAGTGCAAGTCCCTGAATCAAAAAGCTGAAGATCCTGAAGTCTGAGGTCCAAGGGCAGGAGAAAAAAGGCATCCTGATCAGGAAGAGAGAGAGAGAGACAGAGACAGAGAGACAGAGAAAGAGACAGAGAGAGAGAGAAGAGAGAGAAAGAAGAGAGAGAAGATTAGAGAAGAGAGGAGAAAAGAGGAGAAGAGAAGAGAAGAGAAGAGGGAAGGGAAGGGAAGAGGAGAGGGGAAGGGGAAGGGGAGAGAATCCTTGCTTTTCTACTTGTTTGTTTCAGCTGGGCCCCAGCTGTTTGGGTGATGCCTGCTCATATTGAGGGCAGGTTTTACTCTCAGTCTGCTGATTTACACACCAATTCCCTCTAGAAACACCCGCACAGACACACCAAGAAACAATGCTTTCACCAGCCATCTAGACTTCTCTCAATCCAGTCAAGGTGACACCTAAAATTAACCGTCACAGGGGCTATTTTGTCCTCATTGCAACTGTTTATCTCTGCCATTGTAGCACAAAAACAGCCAAAGATACTGAGCACATCTGTATTTCAATAAAACTTTACTTATAAAAATAGGTAGAGGACTGCATTTGGCCTGTGGCCCATAGTTTGTTTACCCCAGATCTGGGGAAATCTCTATGTGTCTCAGCCTTGTTCCATTTTTGTGGCCACATCTCAACTCTTACAGCCCAGGTCATTTAGAATTGCATCTCTGCCTCCCTCGCTTCCTGCCCCACCTATGTTCTACGTATCTATTTGCAGTCTCTGTTTTCCCCATGAAAATTTCATGAGTTGTTCCAACCTATTCAACTCAAGTGAATTTTCTGTAGCCCTACGGCCTTTATAGTTAGTATCCTAGAGTTTAGAATATACTTGTTTCAGAAGTATTCATTTCCTCTTCCTAACAATAGTGGGAGGTCCTTGAAGGAAGAGAACATGTTTTATATTGATATGTATTTCTTATACCTTCCCTATTACAGCTTGGCAAATAGTAAATGTTTAATAAACACTTGCTAGTTGATTTATTGATACGTGTCTACAATAGTGTGTATTTGTTCCTTACTCTGTGGTGTAGGTTGAATAATGGCTCCCAAGATGTCCATATCCTAATCCCTGGAACCTGTGGATGTTGTTTCATATGGTGATGGGGACTTTGCCAATATGATGAAGTTAAGGATCTTGAGATGGGAGATTACCTTGGGTGATCTGGGTGGGCCTCAGGTAACCACAAGGGTTCTCATAAGAGTGAAGCAGGAGGAGTCAGAGTCAGAGAGATGATAGACACAGAAACAGAGAAAGAGATTTGAAGGTGTTCTACTATTGGCTTTGAAGATGGAGGAAGAAGGGCATGCACCAAGGGATGTAGCCTGCCCATGGAAGCTGGGAAGGGCAAAGAAAGGCAAGTTTTCTCCTGGAACGTCCATAAAACTCCACATTGCTGACACCTTGACATTAGCCCAGTGAATCGTATTTCAGAGTTCTGGCCCCCAGAATTCTAAGAGAAGATAGTTGTGTTGTGTTAAGCTGTTAAGTTTGTGGTAATTTGTTACAGCAGCAATAGAAACCTAATACCCTCCATGATAGGAAAACATTAAATGATTAAAAACACCGACAGACATTTTTTGTGCCCATGTCTGGATGCCATATGTTTTTGAGCATTTATCCTCCACTGAAGAGGGAAACCTGAAGCTAGTGGTTTAAAAAAGACAATAAAAGGGTTTACTTGTTTATAGGAAGGCACTTCCTGGTAACATTCTGTGTATAAGCTCTTCTTCAAGGTGCAGAAGAAAGAGCAGTGGTCCTGGCAATGTGGATTAAGATCCAACTTGGCTACTTACTATGTGACCTTGGACAAGTCACTTAGCCTCTTTGGTAGTACAGTCTGACAGCTGGAAGGGTTGTAGGAAGTCTGTCCAGCCCCACTTAATTGGTCCCAGTGAGGCAAATCTAGCCTCTCTGTTCATCTGGACTTAATAAGACATTTACTATAAGCTTGCAATAAAGCTACTCAATAAGAAACCCAAGGGGCAGCTCTGTCATACAGATTGCTGAGGAATTCAGGGGCTGCAGAGCTGGTGAGCAGCTGTAAGACTCTTTCTGCAAAGGAAAAGTTACAATTACTCCTCAGTGGCCCCTCTGATTAAAAAAAAAATTGCTACCAGATACAGGCCCAACAGCGAGGTGATTATTTCCAGAAGGATGGGTGAGAGTGCATTTTTTTTTTTTGTGAGCTGTTCTCCTAGATTAATCATAGAGGTCCTAATGGTGCATACCAGGCTGCTGTTATCATTATTATTGTTAATATAACAATAATAACAATTTGAATTATGTATTATCATATTATTTATTATTATCATATTATTGTTATGTTAACAATAATAATGGCGGCAGTTTTATAAGAATAATCATTATTTTTTTAACTTGGAAAAATTCAATATTAACTCTTTAGAGCAGAATAGACCGTAATGGCCAAGTATATCACCTTAACTTTGCAGACACTCTACTGGGCTTCCCAAAGCAGTCCTTCCAAACCATTGCCACTCTCTTCTGTCCCTTACTGTCTTTGCCTCCAAAGAGAAGTTATCAGCAATGACTGCCTCACCCTCCTTCCTCTGTACTTCAAACTCTCTACCTTCATGCATCTTCTACTCTTCTCTCCTTTCTTGGAGAACAGAATGTTCTACTACCTGTCCAAAGAAAGCCCTTCTCCTGGGCTCCAGCTGTTTTACTCCACCAGTTCTTTCCACTTTCCCTCATATTGTCAAATACTCCTCACCTCTGCATCTTTCCCTTTAGACTGTTAACATGCTCAAGTCCCCCATATGCTAATAAGTGAAAACAAACAAAAGCACTTTCCTTGAACCCAGGTACCTCCTTGAATTATTAACTGCATCATTTATTCCCAGCTATTCTAAGTGCTATTTCCTCTCATCACCACCCAGCCAGCCATGAACATCTTTCTTTCTGGCTCCCATTACAAATAATTAATTCAAATTACTCCCTACGTAACTGAACTTTTCTTAATTGACATCTTCAAAGGTTCTTCTTAGTTCCGACTTTCTTTGACCTCTCTGCAGTGTATAATTGGCCACCACCTTTTGCAACTATCACTTCCCTTAGTTGGCATTACATTGCTTGATCACTTAATTTCTTCTTTTTAAAGTGGAGTCTTGCTCTGCTGCCCAGGCTGGAGTGCAGTGGCACAATCTCGGCTCACTGCAACCTTTGCTTCCCGGGTTCAAGCAATTCTCCTGCCTCAGCCTCCCGAGCAGCTGGGATTACAGGCCTGCGCCACCAGGCCTGGCTAATTTTTTGTATTTTTAGTAGAGATGGGGTTTTACCATGTTGGCCAGGCTGGTCTTGAGCTCCTGACCTCAGGTGATCTGCCCATCTCGGCCTCCCAGACTGCTGGGATTACAGGAGTGAGATACTGCGCCTGGCCCACTTATTTTTTTTCACTGAATTTTTAAAGCATTACGTCTTTAAAGGAACTCATCATATTATTTTTTATATTTTAGTTAATGTTCTTAACTTCCAGAAAAATGGTGTGTATGGTTTTTTTGATGTTGTTATTGTCACATGTTTTTAAAATGAAGTTCCAATACCATAAACAGTAGAATTACATGAGTTCCTGGCAAAAGAATGAAGCTTCCTGGGTGCCACTCTAGGCCTCCTAAATCACAATCCCTGGAGTTGATGGGTAAGAGACCCAGAAACACTTCTCTTTATGTATCCCCCACAAAGGCTCCCAGGAAACCTTAGTTTCATACCATGCCTGAGCCAGTTCCACAGGGGCAGGATGTACGAAATAGCTTTGGTGTCCCTCTAGGCCTTCTGGCCTAGTGCAGCTGGAAATTGTCATGAGTGATAAGAGAATTATTTCTCTTGGCATATACCATGGGTCTAGTTGAATTTTTTCTGCATTTAGAACCTTCCAGATTTGAGACAAAGACTGCTAGGTACATCTGGCTCACTGGGCTGCCTTCTCTGCAGCAGCCGTCTTTTTCCAAATACCTATCCTACATTGGTGAAGAGATTTCTGCTTAGTCTTGGTTTGATACATCTTAACACACATTATACAGAATTCCAGCATGCCTCCTAATAGAGCTTGCCTGAATTATGATAGTAATTTGGGTAAACACCTTATCACCACTCTCTGACTGTGAAGTTCTTAAGGGTAGACTAAACTAATTTCCAGGGGTTTGGCATATCCATTGTATTGCCTTATTTCATCCAGACAGATGAGGTCTGAGGTCTTTTGCCTCTCTCTCCCCATTCTAAAAAGTTCAGCTCCCTTTTCTCCTATCTATAACCTACACATTTTTCAACTCTTACTTTTTCCATAAAGCTCTTCCCAAGAAGTTTTAATGGTTATTGATCACTCCTCTTCTAAACTGCCCAGAGAACTTACAGTCTATTCCAAAAATGATCTTCAATTATATTCATTCTACTATATAAGGCAGTATGGCATAGTAGTTAAGCTTATGAGCTCTGGATCCAAGCAAACCAGATTCTGAAATTCAACTTCAACACTAAATAACAGTCTGAACTTAGCTCTGGGATTCAGTTCAACACCTATAAAATAGAAATCATATAATATATACCTCATGGTGTTTTTACGAGAGTTCAATGAAATAATGCATATAAAGCCCACAGCACAATGCTCAGGATATATTCAATGCTCAGGATATACTCAATAAATGCTAGCTTTCTAGAGCCATCGTGTAGAAGTCAGATTAGGCTAAGTTATGCTATGGTAACAAGTAAGCTCAGACATTACATCTTACAAAAGCACAGGGTTCTTTCTCACTTTCACGACACGTCTTTCCTAGCACAGTTAGGAGTCAACTTCACGTTGCTGTACTGCAGAAACTAGGCTGACAAAGGAGCTGTTACTGTAACATTGCCAGTCATCACAGTAAAGGGAAAAGAGGCTATGGTGAAGCAAGTACGGGCTCCTAGAGTTTCTGCCTGGAAGTGACACACATCACTTTCCCTTACCTTTCATTGGCCAAAGTCACAAGGCAAAGTCTGACTTCAATGGAGGAAGAAAAGAATAATTCTCCCTCAGGAAGGGGAGGGAAAGAAATAGTTATATGTCTTTCATTTATGTTCATTTTCCAATGTCAGTTATATGACTGACATATCTTTTGTACTCCTCAGAACCTAGCACATAGTAGGAAGTGAATACCTATTTTATTGATGGATAGTAGGTGTTCATCATGTCTCTACATTTTGAATTGAGTTGAGTGATTGAAGGAGAAATTCCTCAGTGATATATAGCAAGTGTCTAAAAATGTCAACTGATGAATTGACAGCAAAGGATCATAGATCCCTCTTTCCTTAAAACAAATGAAGCCATCTACCTGGCACATAGGCTTCACTTGAACATCTTCCAAGTCCGTATTTGCCTTAATATTTTCTTTTACAGTAATTTTTTACTTGATTTTCTACAAAATGTATGATGTTTCCACCATCTTTCCATTTAGATCCACAAATCCAGCACAAATGAAACTCTTTATTTCCTCTGGGTGCTGGCCAGCAATTAGGGCACAATGCCTTCTAGATATTTCAGGGATAAACATGTGGACTGGGCATCTGGGCACCCAGTAGATACAGCTTCTTGCTCCTGAAAATATGATTCCTTAAATAAATGTCAAAGGAGGTGTTGATAGTCCAAAGACACAAGTCTTTAAAGAAAATGAAACCTAATCCCCCAGGAAATTTTGAGTCTCTAATTATTCATTATTATCGATTATGTCTCCCTGGTTTTCTCCCTAACCTTGAGTACATTTCTTTCAAATCACTCTCAATCCTGAAACTTAGAGTCAAAATTCCTTCCTGGGGCATATTTATGGCTCCAGTGCTTCTGTGACTCTGTGACTGCACCAGATATTAATGTCCCTGGAGTCTTTCTTATGCCAACAGCAGATTAAGCCTCTATTCGGAGAATCTTTTGCTTCTCAAGAGTTTTCCTTCAGTCAGCAGTGCTCAGACATCTCACACAACCTAACTACCAAGTTTTTCCTGTCTCAGCACTAGAAAGAAATTTCCAGCGGGAAAAAGCTATCTCCTTTCAAGTCCCCTACTCATAATTTACCTTCTCCGTTTTCCATAGGGCAGAATCCCAAATGGGAATGAAAGTGCTCAAGTCACTTAATGCTACTGGTTTGGAGATGGGGTAGGGGGTGGGCAGGAGGCACATCAAAGAGCTTCCTGAAGTAAAAGGATGCCAACCTATTTACGAACTCACTCTTTCCTTCCTTTCTTCTTAGCGTTCTTCTTTCATTCTTATCAATATTTTCACTGAATTATGTGTAAGCCAAAATTTGAATTGAATCCCTTTAGCAACTAGCTCTTTTACAAGCTGCTTTTGATACAGACTGTCTGCTTTTGAAAGCTACATGCCTCTTTCCAATGCAAGCCTGTAGCAAAATATCTCACTATTTAAATGTACTTATAACTTACTTTCCATTACAAGTCAAGAGAAGTAAAATGAAGAATTTTCCACTTTGTTTTTTTACTATAATAGCTCCAGAGGTTAACATATTGCATGACACATATAAGGTGTCCAGTAAATAATAACAGGATGAAAGCCCGACATTCACTCCGCCTATTCCTGCATGGTGGTAAGCAGATACTGAATTCACACAAACTTCCTGAGTTCAGAACCAAGTTCCACACCTACTAGTTCTGTGATGTAACATTTTTTTCTGCCTTAGTTTTCTTACTTGTGAAATGGGGGAAAATACTACATGGCTCAATAAAAGTTCAGCTGCAGAAAGCATAAAACGTTCCAGGTATTTTAAGCGGAAAAGGATTGAACACAGGGAATCAGGTGCTTACAGAACTGTGGGATAATAGGAGGAGCAGGCTCTAGGCTCAGCCATTACAAACAAATTTTAAAGTACCACCACTGTACTGACCCACTAAGATAACTTTTGCATCTGACAGTGAGAAAGCTGGGGAAACAGGAGGTCACTGCCCAAATTTTTGAATTCAGGATCCCATCACCTTAGATGTAATCCAAGAATGAGAAAACCACTTGGAATTGCTGGCTCCAAGAACACCTGAAATGCAGCAGTCTGAAAGCCATCACCACAGCTGCCAACTCCAGGGTCCAACTGTTAGACCACCTGGATCCGTCCATTAGAAAAATGGGCTCACTTACCACTCTTTGTCTCCCCACTTAATTCAGTAAGGAGTTCAAGTTTCAACTCCTGATTGGATGAACCAAAATCACATTGACTAAAGCATCCCTGTAAAGCATTCTGGGAAGTCTAGTTTTCAGCTAGCTGCCGTAGTATTAGAAGTAATTCTAGAAGGGGTACAATGACCATTGATCAAGCCAGGCTGTAGTATGCCCACAGGATGGAGTGAAATTGTTTATGAAAAGTGCCTTGGCATAGTGCCTGGCATCTCCATAAATGTTAGTGGTTATTGTTTACCTAAGGAGGTCTATCCCATTAGCTTGGGTGAGGCATCCATACACATTTTGTAAGCACAACAGGCATAGAGAAACACATTTAACCAAGCAGTCCCATAAAATTCAACTCTGTTATTTTTGGTACTGGACTTTGCCAAAGCCCATGCAGCCATTTCCATGTCCCACATTCCTGCTTTCTTCAGATGACTGGAGATGAGGGCAAAACCTCCTTCCAGTCTCCTGGATAAACACTGCAACACTTTTGCAGAGGGCTACCCCACAGGACCTTCAGTTTGGCCAATTGCTTCAGGCTATAATTATCTATGGAATTCCCTCGCATGGCTCTGTCCTTTGTGCTTTTGGGGGAGTATACATAGGTGTGGGTCTTTCTCTTTAGTGGGGGATGCTCATGTCAATGATCATGTTCTCCTGTCTCCTAAATCATCTGTCCTTTCCCCTTCTGAGGTCAGTTCCAGTTTCCTTCCCTTCCTTTTTCCCTTCTTTAAGCAAATCCTCTGAGCACATTTCTTTCTTGTCAGAGAAGTCATTCCTCAATATTTTGGGTGAACCTTCTACATACCAGTTCCTATATTAGATCCTGTAGATCAACGGTATTGAAGCCCTCAAGGAACTTACCTTTTACATAGAAAGACCCATGTGATGCTCTAAGAACTCAAAATAGAGGGATCTACTTCATATTTGGCTGGGGTCATGAAATATATCTCAGAGTATAAAAATATCAACTGAGGTTTGAGTGGAAAAGGATGAGTAGGAGTTAGCCAAGTCAAGGGAGTGCAGGGGATTAAAAGGGTATTCCATAGAAAGAAAGATGTATACACAAAGATCCTTTCTTTCCCCAATAGATTAGTGGTCAAAAGATAGATTTTTGAGACAAGGGAGTCAAGTTTCTGTTGTTCCACTTATTAGTTACATAGCAATCCCATCTGGCCAGTGTCTGCAGTTGAATGCAGTATTGGTGAGATTGTCAAGCCAGGAGCCCTGACTTGCCGTGGCTAAGTTGTGAGCAGATAAAACAATCCAGACCAATCAGATACTGTACCTGGAATTTGAATCTTGGGTGGATTGAAAGAAAGACTAAAAAGGCACAAGTCCATTTATCACAATGGTAATAGGCTCTAAATCATCCATTATTTTTTGATACTTAGTTTCTGTCCTTTCTGAGGTGGTATTTTTAGGTTATTTTCTCAATTCAGTGAGCTATCCCACACTTCCTGATAACTTTCATTTTTGCCTGAGTTTGCCTCTGTGGCTTGCAACTTAGAAATCTTATGGGACAGAGGAGGGAGATCATGGGCCTTTCTAGGAATTTCCAGACATACTTCTATGGGCCATGGTATGGGAATTTGAGACAATCTTAGCTGGATTTGGGGGGAGCAGAATGATGAATAAATTAACATCTGTTAATACATTTATGTCTTAGAAAAAAAGCCTGGTGGGAGATACACTAACATAGACACTTTGCATGGTGGGATTACAAGTGATTTTTATTTTATTCATTATGTCTTTTGATATATTCCAGAATTTCTATAATAAATCGCAATGGGAAAAATACTAATTAGGACATGGTAAGAGCCAGACATCATGGCTCATGCCTGTAATCGCAGCTACTCAGGAGGCTGAGGCAGAACATCACTTGAGGCCATGAGTTCAAGGCCAGCCTGAGGCCTGAGAAACACAGCGAGATCCTCTCTCTTAAAAAAAAGATTTTAAAAATTAGCTGGCCACAGTGATGCATGCCTATAGTCTCAGCTACACAGGAGGCTGAGACAGGGAGGGCTAAGGCTTCAGCCCAGGAGTTTGAGGCTGCAGTGAGCTATGATTGCGCCACTGCACTGTAGCCTGGGGGATACAGTAAGACCCTGCCTCCAAAAAAACAAAACAAAACAAACCATGGTAAAATACATAACTACCTCCCAAGACTGCTGTGAGAGCCAAATTATATAACATGTGTGAAAACCTCTGAGAAATATATGGGGTGATTATCGATACATCCTTCTATGTTCACAGTGGGTGCTATTTTCAAAGTTCATCCTGGGCAAGCAAGCCCACCTAGAGACAGCCTTGCTGATTAGGCAGAGATGGCTGGGATGCTTTCTCCATTCTCCTACCACGCTCTGCAAGTGATCCTCAGCACTGGTGCCTCTTCGGCAGCATAGTTGCTTCCTAGGGGGCTGACACAGAGCTAACAGGTAGAAGCTTCTGTAGCACTGAGGAACTGATGCTACCTCTGGGAGTTGCACCACAGTATTCCTACTGATTCTTGAAAGAGACACATGGAAGCTTGGAGAAGCCTCCCAGAGCCACTCACAGCCAACAGAGGCTTCCCTGGACTCCTGCACACCAGCCTCCAGCACCCAGTATGACACAGCTGGGACAATTCTCTGTATCACAGGGCCAGGCTCTTTGGGTCAGCATTGGCCACAAGGTGAGCACTTGGAGCCCTCACAGTGAGTCGTCAAGGCTTGGCAACACACAGAGAAGGTCCTCTACTCTGGTGAGGTCCTAGGAACAGTTGCCACCTACCCTAAGCCCTGATAAGGATCTGGGGAGGCCGTCAGTTTTGACAGGGTGAAGCTCCCTCTGCAATGGAAACCAGTGTGAGACTCTGGTAACTTTCCACCCACCTTTTGAAGTATGGACATCCTTGAGTACTCTGGGCAAAATTATCCAAGATGGCTACGGCTAATGTGCAGGACTTATCAGCAACCAATTATTCCTAAGGACTATTCAGAGACCTTCCACTGATAAGTAGGTGGCTCAGCTCAAGTTCAAATCCATCTCTTTTATCTAATACTTCCTTAGACCTTGAAGAAAAATTGTCATCTTACTTGATTTTCGTGCTACTTTGTGCATACTGTATTTAAAGCATTTATCATACTCTGTAAATATTATATATATTTTTATAATATTTTATAATAATTATATATTATACATGTTATATATTGTGTTATATATTATACTAATTACATATTATAAATATATACTATACATAAATATTGTATATTATAATTATATATTATACATAAATATATAATTATATATAAACATACATTATAATTACACATTATACAAAAATATGCATTATAATTATCTATTATACATAAATATTATATAATAATCATATATTATACATAAATATATGATAATCATATATTATATATAAATATATATATTTACAGTGTGATAAATGCTTTAAATACAGCATTTTAATTGTGATAAATGTTTTATTGTGATAATGCTTTATATATACATTTAGAGACAGGGTCTTGCTATGTTGCTCAGGCTGGTCTTGAACTCCTGGCCTCAATATATAAATATATATATATAAATCTCTCTATATATATACTGCCTATATATTTATATACGTTGCCTATATATACACATATACACATATAAATATATACACATACACATATACATACATATATACATATATTTATTAAAAATATATATATATATCATCTCCTTATCTTTACCCAGAAGGCTATAAACTCCTAGGGACAAGGAATAAACATTGTCCACCTGTCATAGTCTCTGGCAAGTAATGGCCTTAGTCAGTGCCTAAGAAGTAAATTATTTCTTCACATCTATTCATTCAACAAATATGTATGAAATATCTACTCTGGGCCAGGCACTGTACTGACCATGGAGGACACAGGGTGGATGAGAAAAACCAGCCTCCATGGAGCTTACCTTCTAGCAGGAGACAGAGGAGCACAAATATATTGTCATATAATGTCAGATGTCAGGGAATGCCCCAAAGATACATAGTGCAGAGTGGGAGGAAGGAAGCTCTGTTTTAGATGTGAGTGGCCAGGAGATGGTCACATTCACACAGAGGCCTACGTGAAGTGCGGGAATGAGCTGCTCTGAGATGGGGACTAAGGGCATTGCTGGCAGAGGGGAAACAAGAATGAAGGCCCGTCCTACGCAGGGAGCAGTCCTGATGTATCTCAGGACCAGAATGTATCTTTAGGCAGCTGGAAGGAGAATAGGAGAGTGAGAGGAGGTGAGATTAAGGGGACAGATGGTGCAGGGTCTAGCCTGCTATGAGAGGAAGCTGGATTCTATTCTGAGGGAGAAGACAAGCCACTGAAGTCTTCAAGTAGGGGAATGATGTGATCTACTTTGTTTTAATTCTGCCACATGAGAATTAATTCAATAGGATCTAGAGGGGAAACAGTGAGAGTGGTTAGGAAGTGCTTCCTAGACCAAAAAGATGTTGATGGCTTATGACTTGGGTGGTCACGCCTTGAACTGCAGAGATAGGAAATGTAGTCAGGTCTAGGATACAGTTGACTGGCTGTTTTCAAGCTGCGAGAACTAGGCGGGCTCTTAGCTAGAAAGGAGGTTAGTGCTGAAACTAACAATGTTCACTTCCCAGCAATATTATGGAAATCTGGGCCAGGCATGACATATACAGGATCACAGCAGACAGACTGGTGGGAGCAGAGCAGACAGACCTGTGGGCAGGCCCTGGGTATCTGGCTGTTGCCTGGAGAGAGGTGGGGAGGGAAGAAGAGGGAAGCTAGAGGGCACCATGAGAACTTAGCCCAGGGTCCACACTGCCCCACCTCACATTCTCCCTAAAGCCCCTCACCAGGTGGTACGGGGGCTGGATTCTGGCAACAAAAAGTGCTGAGACCTTCACCATGGCCCCAGCAGCTGCTGTTTCTGCCGGTGACCCTATCCGTAGGCTGAGGACAAGAGAAAAGGAAATCATAGCAGGAATAAGACCCCACCACCACTCCCCAGCCAGGTCTTGTTCTCCAGCCTGCTGATAGAGGCAGGAATGCAGAGGTACATCCTTGGGGACACAGGATACCTTCTGTCATCTCCTGAGCTCTCTACAAGCAGCTGGCTCTACAGTTTTCCTGTGGGCCCTGGCCCCGTGCTGGCCACCAAACTTCAGAGCTGAGCACTTCTCTCTGAACCAAGGCCCTACAGCTCCTGGGTGTCACTTTTATTTACTCGCTGTTACCTATGCTGCCAGGGGAATGGCCACTAAAGTGCTCACATAAGTATCTGGGGAGATTTATTCCACTTCCATCTTAGTGCTCATTAAAAAGCATGTAAAAAAGGATGCTGGGAGGTGATCCAGAGCTGATTGAGCCAACAGAGTGCAGAACACTGGCACAGAAACTGCCCGGGGGGGATTTATGACCACCCAACCAAGGCCAGATGGCTCTGCCCAGCAGTCAGGGTCCTCGGAAATCTGGACGCATGTCCTCAGCACCTTCCCACACCCACCCTGCCTTATGACACCTCCTTTACCAAAACCTTTTTCTCCCAACCAGCCATTGTCTCCACATTCTAACTCCCACGCCACCCTGCACCTTTTCAGCTGAAGTGTCCGCAGCTCCCCCAAATCTTCTTGCAACCTGCACATTACTCCTGCTGTTAGCAAGGTCTCTCCCTAGTCTGGCTCGTGTAAAACGCCCTGTGGTAGGAAGAATTACGGCCACCCAGAGATGTCCACACCCTACTCTCTGTAACCTGTGAATATGTTACCTTTCTTGGCAAATGGGACTTTGTGGGTGATTAATAAAGACGTTGAGATGGGGAGGTCATCCCAGTTTATCAAGGTGGGCCCAATGTAATCACAATCTCCTAAGAGAGCCAGAGAGTGGGTCAGAACAATGAGCTGGGGCCGGGCACGGTGGCTCATTCCTGTAATCCCAGCAGTTTGGGAGGCCAAGGCAGGAGGATTGCTTGAGCTCAAGAGTTCAAGACCAGCCTGGACAACAGAGTGAGAGACCCCTGTCTCTACAAAAAATTTTTAAAAATAGCCAGGCATGGTGGTGTGTGCCTGTAGTCACAGCTACTTGGGAGGCTGAGGTGGGAGGATCCCTTGAGCCCAGGAGCCATGATCATATCACTCCAGCAGGACTCTAGCCTGGGTGACAGAGTGAGACCCTTTTTCAAAAAAAAAAAAATAATAATAAATAAGAGAGAGAACCAGAGGTTGGAATGATGTGTTCGAAGCTGGGGCAAGGGGCCATGAGCTAAGGGATGCAGGCAGCTTCTAGACCCTGGGGAAGGCAAGGAAACAAGTTCATCCCTGAAGCCTCCAGAAGGAATGCAGCTGCACCAACACCTTGATTTTAGACTTCTGACTTCTGAGAATGTAAGGAAAGAGATGTGAATTGCTCTAAGCCACTAAGTCCATGGTCATTTGCTGTAACAGCCATAGGATACTAATGTGTTCTCTCTTTTCTGAGTGTGCTTCTGCTACTCATTTTGCTACTTCATCACATTCTGCCTCATGTGGTTCTGCAGACTGAGCCCTTGTCTCCTCAACTGGCCTGGATGCCCCAGGAGTCCAGGGAACACAACTTGCAAAGTGTTAGCACATCATCAAGGCTTAGCACAGCACGTAAGAAGCATTCGGCAGATACCTGGAGACGGGACCCGATCAAATGGGAAGAAGTGCCAGGTAAGAACGGGAGACTTCAAGCCGCCTACAGATGCACACATTGCACCTTCCTCCCTGCCTGGCTTGCGGAACATGTACTTACGGTTGAACATTTTGTTAGGGCTTCCGTGGTCCAGGCACAGTGCCAGGTCTTAGGTATATGATGGAAAGCTGGACAGGTGGTGCCCCTCTTACAGGAAGCAGACAGGCTAGTGGGAAAGACAAAGAGACAATATTAATGAACTGTGCTGTGGTGAGCTATGGAAGCACCTGGAAGAGGCAACTAAATTGGTCTATGGGGTCATGGAGGGCTCCTCGGAGGCAGTGACTTTTACAAAGAGATCAGAAGAATAGATAAGAGTTAGGTAAAGAGAGCTAAGAGGATGATGAGATGGGCACAGAAGAAATAATGTGCAAGACAACACAGACGAAAATTTGTAGACACTCATATTCACAGCAGCATTTTTCACAATAGCCAAAAAGTAGAAGCAACCCATCTCCATTGACAGATGAATGAAGAAAATGTGGTATAATGGATTATTATTATTATTATTATTATTATTATTGAGATAGAGTGTTGCTTAGTCACCCAGGCTGGATTGCAGTGGCGCGATCTTGGCTCACTGTAACCTCTGCCTCCTGGGTTCAAGTGATTCTTCTGCCTCAGCATCCCAAATAGCTGTGATTACAGGCACGCACCACCAACACCCAGCTAGTTTTTGTATCTTTAGTAGAGACGGGGTTTCACTAGCCAGGCTGGTCTCGAACTCCTGACCTCAGGTGATCCACCTGCCTCTGCCTCCCATAGTGCTGGGATTACAGGAGTGAGCCACCATGCCCGGCAATATAATGGAATACTATTCAGCCTTAAAAGGGAAGGAAGCTCTGCTTTATGCTACAATAGGAATAAACCCTGAGGACATTGTGTTCAGTGAAATAAGGCAGACACAAAAGAACAAATACCACATGATTCTCCTTATATGAGAATAGTCAAATTTATAGGAATTTATAGAAAGTAGAGTGGTGGTTGCCAGGAGTTGGGGAAAGGGAGGAATGAGGAGTTAGTGTTTAATGTGTCTAAAATTTCAGTTTGGTGTGATGAAAAATTTCTGAGGATGGATGATGATGATAGTTGCACAACAAAAATGAATGTACTCAATACCACTGAAATAGGCTCTTAGAATAGATAAAATGGTAAATTTTATTATATATATATGTTGCCATAATTTAAAAAAATAATTAATATTTCAAAAGGACATATAATCAAAGGAAGAGGCTGTCACCTATGGACACAAATAACTGTAATCATCCTTAAGCATCTTCCACCTATAAAGATAAATAAGACCTGCTTCCTGTCTTGGAAGCCTGGTAGCTTAGGAGGGAGAAATCACATTAGAAAAAGGCAACTTCAGCTTGGAAGGCCGCAATTCAACCATTGTAAGAGTCTTACTTGTATCCACCAAGGCCTCAGTCTTCCTTACTTCTGGTGTCTCTATAGAAGTACCCCCCAGCTGGGCGCGGTGGCTCACACCTGTAATCCCAGCACTTTGGGGTGCCGAGGCGGGTAGATCACCTGAGGTCAGGAGTTCAAGACCAGCCTGGCCAACATGTTAAAACCCCGTCTCTACTAAAAATACAAAAATTAGCCAGATGTGCTTGCATGCGCCTGTAGTCCCAGCTACTCGGAAGGCTGAGACAGGAGAATCGCTTGAACATGGGAGGGGGAGGCTGCAGTGAGCTGAAATCAAGCCACTGCACTCCAACCTGGGTGAGACAGAGTGAGACTCTGTCTCAAAAAATAAATAAATAAAAGAAGTACCCCCAAAGAGCTGGGGCGCATCACACACAAGCCATGCTGGTGACTGTTGATCTGTGTGGTCTTGCCCTTACTGCTCGGTAGATCTCTGGAATTTGGATGCCTCCAGCAGTATTAGACAGTAAAGCCCATGCAGCAAATTGCCGGCTTGCACACAGCTCTGGGTGGCCCTAGGGCAGTTGCACTCTCTTCAGTGGTGCAGTTATCAATTTCTATAATGTCTCTGACTGCTGAACTCCACTGATCACCTCTCTCTATAACTGGTGGGAAAATCAACACTCTTATGGCCCAGCCCCTTCAGAGGGGGCCCAGAGCAGAGGGGCTGGGACACGTAATCACTCAGGAGTCCTGTCTCCTCCTTACTCTCACAGGAGGCACAGCTTCACTAGAGGAGGTGGAAGGTGAGAAGATGCAGATGGCTTTCAGTGCAGCCTCACTCTGTTCCAGGGTCCTTGTCCTCTCCACACTTCAGACCCTGGGGTTGCACCTAGCTTACTCTGGCAGACTCATTACTCACTTATGGAGATTTCTTTCTATAAGTTTCCATTTTTTTCTTCTTTCTGTGGGGACCCCCTCCCCATTCAGTCCATCAGATGTATCTATGAAATTCTGAATTCCAAATAAAGGTTCAGATTATTTCCCATGGAGCCTCTGGGCCCCAGAGAAATCATAGGATGTTGCCTGACACCTGTAACAGGGTCCCTGAACATTTCGTGACAGAGTGATTTTCTCTGCCCAGAGCACAGAGAAGATCTCTAGGGGAGTGTTGCTTAACTTCAAAGTTGTCATATTCTAGTCTCAGCCAAGCCATCCTTTTACACCAATCTGTACTACAATCTTATAAGTGTTTTCCTAGCACTTTTGAATTACATGGTACAGGGGAACAGAGGCGGGAGAGATTGATTCTGTCTAGGGGAGGTTGTTCAAGAGAAAGGAGTAGGGACAGGGTGATACCAACACTCCTTGACATCAATTGAACAGTATGCATGACACCACAGAGCCCTGCTGTCATGCACCTCATTATTGTACACACTCATACGCTCTGCAGGCAAAACCCTTCCTGAATACAATGAGGGCATGCCACCAGAAGGAGACAGCATGGGCTGGTGGGAGAGTGTTGGAAGTGGAGCCAGAGGACCTGGATCACTTCCGGACACCACCCAGTTCCTTCATCCTCTCAGCACTCGGATGTGACTCTCTCCAGGAGAACACATCCCCACTAATATCTTCACTGCCTTCCTTTCAAGACCACCATGACTCAGAGGAAACACTTTCAGTGAAAATGCTTCCAAAATTTTCTAATGCTTTTACAAATATGAAATAAAAATAAAAGGAATAACAAAACAATAACAGAATATTCATTATAAAAAAGAATAATGATGAAAAGCTCAGCATAGATGAGTGGGCCTATGACATGGCTGATTACCGTCTTTCAGTCAGCACATTGTGGATATTTGTCAGGTTCAGAGAAGCCTGAGTTTTGCAGAAGAAGGTCTGAAATCCATATATTAAATGCCCATTTGGATGGTGGGTCAGGAAGAGCAAAGGATGTGTCTCACACATAGCTGTCAGGTGTCCTGAGTGACATGAACATCAACTCATTGCCCCATAACTTGAAAACTGCCTACCTTACAAAAGTAAGGTGAAAAAAAAAAAAACACCAAATATATAGAAAATATATATAGAAAAACCCCACCAAAATACATAGAAGGCCAGTTCTAAATCCTAACACTGGGCTTCTAGAACAGGGCTCTAGATAGAATATACAGAAGGCCAGTTCTAAATCCTAACACTGGGCTTCCAGAACAGGGTTCCTCTAAGAGCAAGGACATGCTCCCCCATCCCCTACCCCTCACCCCCAACACACAGGCTTGAATCCCTCCTCTCTAGTTTCATCCCCAGATGTCCTGTCCAGGAGAGACTGCCCCCACTCACTGCACTGTAATGCAGAAATCAAAGGAGGCTACTGGGAGGGAAGGAGACTCACACCGTACTCAGCTAAGTGAGAGAGTTGTTAACAGGGAGGTCGGGAAGGTCAGGTAAGCTGAGCAGGCCCCGCGTTGCCATGGAATTTGTTGAATTAGACACGGAACAAGGAGATGCTGGTAAGATGAGGTGACCCTGGCTGCCTGAGTTACACACTCTCCCTGCCAAAGGTGCACATATAGAGCTCTGCTAGAAAATCACCTGGCCTGGACTTCTATTTTCGCTTATGGGGATTTGGGTTCTGGGGCTGGGGACAGGTGGGCTGTCCTACGTCCAGGGGGAGGAGGGAGAAGATCCAGATGGAGAGCCTAGCCCAAGTTCCTATACAGCATCTGGGTGGAAATGGGGAAATCATGGCAAGTGGGTTGAAACTAAGAGTCAGGAGCAGGCTAGGGCCTGTGTGAACAGAAGCAAGACTGGGGAGGTGTGGACAACTGGTGAGGGATGCACTGCAAGCTGTGCCTCTGCTGACTGTCGGCTGCAAAGTGTGGGGCTGGGTAGGGGTGGCTTAGGGTGCAAAGTCCAAGTATCAGGGCCCTTCTGCACCCTTGAAACCACTTACATACATTTTTAGTTTTCTCTTTTGCACCACTCCTACCCCAACCTCCTCATAGAAGATTTCCCTTGCAGCTGATCTAGTGAGTTTTCACAATTAGCACCCATTTCTCAGATCTGCTTGGCAAATGGGCCTATAGTTGGATGTGGAACTCATCCTCTGGAAGATAAATCAGTTCCTATATGGGTGCAACCTCATGCTTTATCACCTTCCTTCAACATGCAATCCCACAGGCAGGCTTTTCATGTAAGTAGCTGGAAGTGTTAGTACCCGAATACTTGCCCAGGTTTTCATGGAAGAAGAAGAACGACTAAGCTGCCTCTAGAAAAAATTTGGGTTGATAAAAGCCCATAATGACACTTGATTCAAGGCATGTATTGTGTTTTATTATTGCTGATATTAAAGCACAATAAGCAATATTCTAGTTAATTTATCATTGGCCTTTACCTTATACTTTTGCAATATTTGCAACTTTTCCCTCCAGTCCCCAGAGAAGAATAGCAAGTATTTTACTTTATTAAGCACTTGTGGACAAGATTCAGAAGTATAGCACATAGCATTTAGTAACTTCCCAGTGTTAGGATTTAGAACTGGCCTTCTATATATTTTGGTGGTTTTTTTTTTTTTCATGTTACTTTTGTAAGGTAGGCAGTTTTTCTGGTCTAGGCATTTATTCCTTTTCCAAAAATCCAATTTATTCATCCAGTTGCTTTTTGAGCATATGTGATACACCAAGTGCTCTTCTAAGTACTGAAATTACAGTAAAACTAAAACCATCCAAAATCCTTGTCCTCATTTAGTATTCAGTCTACTGGGGAGGCTGACAATAAACAGGGTAAATAAGTAAAAGGCAAATAATTAAAATATATAGTGTTAGGTGGTGGTAAGTTATTTAGAAAAAAATAAAGGAGGGAGTGGGGTTATAAAACTTCAAGGGTGGGAAATAAAATTTGAGATCTTGGTCTGAAAAAAAAAACAAAACTTTACTAAAAAAGCAACATTTGAATGAAGACCTAAAAGGAAGTGAAGGAGCTGGCCATGTGGTTGCCTGGAAAGAGAACATTCTACATAGAGAAGCAAGTGCAAAGGCCCTGAAGCAGGAATGTGCTTGGAATATTTAAGAAACAGCAAGGAAATCAGTGTGGCTGGAGCAGAATTAATAAGCAGAGAGCAGAAGGAGACAAGCTGGATCTGGCTGAGCTCTGTGGGTCAGTGTGAGGCTTTCACCCTGAGGTGTCTGGGAAGCATCAGAGGGTTTGAGCAGGATGGCTTTGACAGCTGTATTGAAAACAGAGCATAAGGGACCAAGAACAGAGTCAGAGAAAATAATGAGGAGGCTATTGCAATAATTCAGGAGAGAGGTAATGGTGGCTGGGACCAAGGGAGTGAACATGGGGGTGAAAAAAAATGGTTAAGTTCTGGATATAGTTTGAAAATAGGACTGAGAGGCCTTTTTGGCAACTGAGATACGGTAAGTGGGAGAAAGGGGAGAGTCAAAGACAGCACCAAGTCTTTGAGCCAGAACAACTGGAAGAATGGCATTGCCATAAATTGAGATGCAGGACAGCCTGGTTGGGAGGGAAGATTGGAAGCTTGTGTTTGGACAGGTTGGTTTTGTGAAGCCTGTTATAGATCCAGTAGGTCAAGGAGGCATAGATGAATATGTGGATCTGGAACAGAGGAGGAAAAATGCATGGGGATGCATTGAAAGCCACAAGACTAGATGGAATCTCCCACGCTATGTGCATGTAGGTAGAAAAGAGAAGAACTCCAAAGACTGAGCTCTAATGCACTCCAACATTTAGAGGTTGGGTAGATCAAGAAGAATCAATGAAAGTGACTTTAGACAAAGCCACCTGAAAGTTTAAAAGAAAACTAGTGAATATGGTGCCCTGGAAGCCAAGTGAGGAAAGTGTTCAAGGAGTGATTGACTGGGTCAAGTGTCACTGTTTATAGATCAAATAGTAGGTGGAGCAAGAAATTGCCATTATGTTTAAGGGGATCATTAGAGGTTTGATGGAGTGGTAGGAGAAAAAAAATCTCCTCACTGGAGTGGGTTAAACAGAGAATGGGGGAAAGAAATTGTGGTAAGTGAGGACAGACAACTTTTCAGAGTTTTGCCTTAAGGGAAAGAGAGAAATGAAGAGGACTGCAAGAGAAGTGGGATCTAGGAGGATTTTTTTTGTTAATATTGGATAAATTATGACATATATGAATGCTGATAAATGATCCAGAACAAAGGGGAAAGATGATACTTCAAGAGAAAGAAGGTGAGGAAGGGGGTTGCTGGAGAAATGATCAGCCAGGAGATGGGTTCCAATGCATGGAGGGAGCTATTGGCCTTGCTAGGGTCATGTGTAGCATGCTCCTTACTACACAAGGGGCAGAATTTATGCATTTATATGCAAACAATTTTTTACTCACAAGAGGGCTTTGGGACAGATAACTGTAAGCAATCTTTAGCCACTGAAAAACCACATGACTAGAATCCCATGGAAGAGGGGAGAGGGCAGCATTGATTAGAAAATATAGTGATGATGCAATTTGAAATCAGGAGACAGAAATAAGTCTAGGATATAAAGCCTTGTGGCTCTCTATTAATGTCTTCCTACTGCCTTGGTATGAGCCATGGAACCAAAGCATTTCCTTATGCTAGGTATTAATCTAGTGGCCTAATTTAAACTATAGACCCAAGAGATGGGTTGTGACCAAGTACACAGTACTTCTTGGTAGTCTTTCTCTAAATACTTGCTAAAGGGATGGATATAAGCATGCAAAGAAATAAATGAATGGCAATCTTGTTCTTTATGCTGACATCAAGCTACAGAGGTAAGCAATTGCTCAATATATTTTGTCTGCCTTAGAAAAATATTAAATGTAAAATGCACATATAAATATAAAATGTAAAACAGTTGAAGAATCACAGGCTTTGGAGTTGGACAGATATAAGTTTGACTCCCAGGTTTGCACCTCAATTAGATGCCTTCTTAAGCTATATGAGCCTCATCTATAAAATGGGACTGGCAGTACCTCCTAACTTACAGAGTTGTTACAAAAGTAAAATCAAACAAAAATATCACATAATATTCTAGTAAAGTTCCTGGTACATATTAGATGTTGAGTAAATGCTGGTTTTAAAACAACTCTGCTTAATGACCTTGTAAAATTCACTGACTTCTCTTCTGCAGCATTTAACAATTTTTAGTTTGAGTCAACCCATGAGAGGAGGCATTCCAGAAGATTCTCCCCCGCTGTGTAAAATATTGCTTCTTTCTTTGAAACATAAAACAACTCCTTCAATGCCTTCAGCCTCTTCCTCCCTCACTCCAATTTGGTGACTAGTTCTTAAATTTTGAGTGGTTTCTCTTTGTTTTTAGGTTTGGGCTTTTTTTTTTTTTTTTTTTTTTAAACTTATAAGGTGCTCTTTTCCCAATGGCTATGAGATAGAAACTTAGGGATCCTGTTTTCCTTCAAGCCAAGCTTTTCCCCTGAACACATTTATTGGAGACACTCCATGTAGGAGGAGTGAGATGCAAGGCACAGGGGTCTCTAACCACAGCCTACCCAGGCCAGCTTTGCTGCACCGAACAAAAGACAGCCACTAGGTCAGTGAGGGAGATTACTGTGTAGGGTTTCTTCACCCTCATCAAATTATGTGTGACTAGAGGATTTGTTTGACATCTCGGTTCAGATGAGGTCAAGAACACTCAGCAGGGGTTGTTGTGAACATTAAGGATGTTCTTACAGGATCCTGAAGAGGCTTGTAGTGAGAGATGTTTCTCAGCAACCCAGGGCCACCTACAAGGCCTGGTAAGTAATCTGAGAGGAAATAAGCTTCTTAGGATCAGGATTCCCCCATGTTTTCAACAGCCAAGAAAGGATGGTTTATCTATAAGGAAGCTTTGGTAGCTTTGGTGGAACAAGAATGTGAAAAAACAAACAAAAACAAAAACAAAAAAAAAACTTCAATGGAGATGAGGCAAAAATCTATGCCAAAAATACCCAATATCAAAGCACTCTAGCCAATAAAAACGGCAATTTTCAAGTTCACACAGGAAGCATTCCTTCCAGCAGCCCTGCCCTGCCCATCCTGTCACCTCCCACTATTACAAACATACCCATGAGCCCCCAACACCAGAAAACCACAAAAGGTTCCTCTCCTGAGACATTTATTAGGTTGATTGGTGCAAAAGTAACTGTGGGTTTTTGGCATTAAAAGTAATGGCAAAAACCGCAGTTACTTTTGCACCAACCTAATAGCTCTGCTCCATCTATGTGGACCATAATTTTTGCCTGGTATGAACATCTTTGTGGTCAGCATTCCCTAACTTTGATGCTTCCCAACCTTTTTTACACTGGTGTCACTGCTCTTGCAGCATTTTGAGAAGTCCCCAAGAAGCCACTTAAAGCTGAGGCCAGCTGCTCAGCTTCCTGATCACCCCAAGTGCTGATGGGATAAAATATCTCAAAGACCATCACAACCCATTTCAACAGAATGCCCCAGTCGGGAAGCTCTCCCTGGCTTCTTCTGTCTCTAAAAATTTCCACCTGAAGAATGTAGGTTTGGAGAACGGAGTGAAACTCTAGAAGAAACACACAGAGTCAGTGGGACAAAGGATTGAGGCCTAAGAGAAAGGGGATCCCCCCCTTTCTCTAACAACAGTGAAACCACAAACAATGTTTATAGAGTATTAATATGCATAGGCTTTAGGCTGATCATTTTACCTGGCTTATCCCAATTTTTGTAACAACTATACCCGGAAGGTACTGTCATTATCCCCATGATAGAAGGGAGGAAGCTGAAGCTTAGAAAGTTTAGGTAGGTAGCCAAAGTGATACAAATATCAAGTGATCTTGGTATTTGAAGCCCATAAGCTTATGTTCTTAACTAATTGACCTGTCTACTTTGTAAACAATAAGGGGAACATGTGGGGGTGGGAGTGGGGTGTGGTGTAGATGAATTCCTCTTGCTTGATCTAGGAACTGACTCAGTTCCAGCCCATCTATGGGGATGAGGACCTGGAGAAATCCATGCTGGGAGGAGTCTCACCCTCTACAGGTAACTTCTGCCTAGCTTTTGTCCTCTTTGAATTGAGGAACGCATCTAGCAATCTTCCCCTGAAGCTCATTTCGAAGAGTTTTGGCAGGCTACATAGTTCTGAGAAGGATGGAAATGCATGAGTGGTTAGTGACACTCATACTCAAAATGCAAGGTTGTATTTTCTTCTTAGTAAGTACAGAGAACACAAATCCAAGCACACCTCTTACAGGAAATCACAAACATCAGATGCCTCTGCCTTAGCCCCAGGTAGCTAAGCTCCATCCTCATCATTCTATCCTCTCTAGCAACCTTCCCATTTTCCATCCTTCAAAGTAGAACTACCAGAAACAGAGGAGCCTTATCTCCTGTCTCACTGAATGCCAGACTTCAAATGAATACTACTCAGCAAGGCTTGTTCTTTCCATCCTGAGTCAGAATTTTCAAGGAATTCACCAGGTTTTCTAATGAAAATTTTCTAACAAGGGCGCAGAGAATACTTTCTAACCAGCAGCACCTGACAAGGTCAGGCATTGGAAGTCACGCATTCTCCAGCTCTTTCCTGCGTTAGATACACAAATTCAGGACATAGGCCTGGCTTCAAGTGACAAACTCATAGTTTATCAGCCTCTTGTGGGTAGCAAAGACTGAAGGGCTGTGTGAATCAGACCAGTGCAATCTCCCCTGGCTGCTGCCTGAGCAGACTTAGAGGACAAGGCCAGATTGCAGTTCTTGTCTCCAAGAAAGACCCTTTTTATGATTCTAGCAACCATCCCAACCAGTGAAATTGTGTATGTAATAGAGAATATTATGACTCCTTGTTCTTCATCATCAGTCCATGAGGTACCTCTTGGTATTATTTCTGCTTATTCATCTTATGTAAGATTACATCAAGAGGTCTGAAGTCTTGCTATATGCTAATCACAGAGGCAGCCAATGCCCATTCCTACGAAGGACACAAGCACAGAGGCAACAGCAGGTAGTGAAATTGTGTGTGCATTCAAAGATTACTTACCTCCCTCCATTTGAGTGGGCACACAGACCATTTTAGGCTCTAGAGACCTCTGAAGATCACGCCCCAGTGCTGCTCTCGGGCAGTAGAGCATCCTGGGTTGTTTTTAAAGAGACTAGCAGCCGTCTCCCAATACTCAAGGATCACACAGCTTTGCTCCATCTCCTCTAAGGGCTGATCAAGAGGCTTAAACTGAAGCAGGAGGGATTTTAAGTTAGAACAGCTTTTGAGGAAGTCTTGTGAGACCTGACTTGGAAAGGGTGAAGAACTTCATCTTGTCCGGAGGCTTATAGGCATGTCCACTGACTGTCCTTTGGAAGACTTTGAAAGTATCTTACCTGGAGGAAGTTGTTGTATTGAAAGTCCAGAGAAGGAAAGCTCTGGACCGCCCGTCAGCTGTGGAGGCTAATGATAAATAAATACCAGGATGAAACCCTAATCAGTGTCAGAAATTTTGTGAGCTGAATTTCTTTGATAACAAGGAAGGGGCAGCCAGCTGGGGGCTCTGACTCCGAGAGCCCTCACTCTGGGCCCGTATTCCTTCAGCAGAAAGCACCAGAATGCAATTCCAGACTTTCCTATTCCTTTGTCACCTTCTTTTTCTCCTACCTTTTGCTGGCAAAGCTATTCCCTGGAGAACTCTGAAGCTAGCCAAGCTGGCAAACACCCCAGCCAGAAAGCAGAGCTGTAGAAGAGATCAGACACAGGTGATGTCATTTAGAGGACAGTCTGGGAATGTGGGCAAGGCCAGAGCGGGGTAGAAAATGGAATATATCTAGCTACACCAAAAAGGGGTAAGTTGCAATATGTCATGGTGGGTTTTTATGTGTCTGCAGAAAAAGACAAGTGAAATAACAGGTCAGAGGTGAGGCCAAAGTTCCTGTGTTCACAGAGATCAGGAATTGTCTGCAGCAACAAGGCAAGAATTTTCCTGAATCAGGTGAGAAATGTTGCCCCATCTATGCTCAGCCAGAATTCAGAAAGTAAATTTATGTTCTGCTAACAAGAATTGTATAAGGACTTTGGAGTAAGTCTGCCTTAGAAGGAAAATGTTTAGAATTCAGTTCATGTCCCACTCTTGATGAAATATTCCCTAGCCCTTCAGGCCTCCCTGGATCTCTCTAGGGGAAAAAAAGGAAGCTGGTTTTAGGGATTAGATCATAAACATAACTTCATTCTCATTCACTCACCACTCCCAATAGCCTAATAGCCTACAAGTCACTTCTATTCTCAGATCCCAACTCATAAACACACACACACACACACTCACACACATCCTACTTGTTGACGTGTCAACTACAGTTACACATAATATTCATGTAATGGTATTTTTGGTGTTATGACCCCTCTGGCAGTCTGATTAAACCCACAAATCCCCCAGAAAACTGTTTGAAATACATAAAGTTACAAAATAATTATATTAAAATTCAGTTTTCAAAATGTTTTAATTTTTATTTTTTATTATACTTTAAGTTTTAGGGTACATGTGCACAACGTGCAGGTTTGTTACATATGTATACATGCGCCATGTTGGTGTGCTGCACCCATTAACTCGTCATTTACATTAGGTATATCTCCTAATGCTATCCCTCCCCCCTCCCCCTACCCCATGACAGGCCTTGGTGTGTGATGTTCCCCTTCCTGCGTCCAGGTGTTCTCATTGTTTAGTTCCCACCTATGAATGAGAACCTGCGGTGTTTGGTTTTTTGTCCTCGCGACAGTTTGCTGAGAATGATGGTTTCCAGCTTCATCCATGTCCCTACAAAGGACATGAACTTATCCTTTTTTATGGCTGCATAGTATTCCATGGTGTATATGTGCCACATTTTCTTAATCCAATCTATCATCGATGGACATTTGGATTGGTTCCAAGTCTTTGCTGTTGTGAATAGTGCTGCAATAAACATACATGTGTATGTGTCTTTATAGCAGCATGATTTATAATCAAAATGTTTTTAAAAATAATTTAGTTTGGAAAAACATGTGCTTTCTTATTAAATCCTCAAATAATATCTAATGATGGATCTTATTAACATTGTCATGACTATAAATATTTTGACATATCTGCAAGACCCGTAAATAACATATCCATGATTTCTATTGATAATAAAAACGTAAACACTGTTAATACTACTATGTATTGTTAGCTACATTCATATTGGCAAAAATGTCACATTTTAGTTAGAAGTTAGTGAAAATAAAGATGGAATTTTTTTTCCTCGTTCAAGTTCATGGACTCTCTGAATTTCATCCCCTGACACCTTAAAGATCCACGGATTTTAGGTTAACAATTACCCTGACTTACCTAGCATATGTACTTACAGATTATATACACATTCATTCATTCTGTTTATAAACACTTATTCACCAACAATTCACACACAACTTTCTAAATCCCACCTCAAAAATACCCAACCAACATACTCACTAATATACACACACAAAACGCTCATATACACCTGTGTGCTGGTAAGTGTTTAGCAACCAGCTCTCCAGAAATAAAAGACCCTGATTTGTAGAGTTTGCTAACTTCCATAACATAAATACTCCTACAATGGCCAATTTCAAATTATTAACACAATGTCACTGAACATACAGTTGGGAAGAGATGAGCAGTAACACATCATTGCATAGTATTTCCACCATAGAGACACAACTGATGTAAAAAAAAAACCTCAAGACATGGATAAGAGTAAAATGTAAAAGGAAGGGGTGAATTTTAATTATTTATAACCTTTATTTTTATTAATTTATTTAGTTGTAAGTATATACAATTTAATTTTTAATAATGGCTGAGTTTAATCACCAGTTTACAAAACCCCTAAATTTAACAAACAGCTCTCACGGGCCAGGAAAAGCCAGCTCCAGCACGCCACTGCATGTGCCTTCATACTTATATACATATCAGACCCTCAGGTTATTTTCTACATATACATCCAGTCACCCTCATATTCACCAATGTCCCTGAACCCCTATTTATGAACATATGCTCCGCTAACACTTTCACTCATGCTCATCACCACAACACTTAAATCTGTCCTTTTTTTTTTTTTTTTTTTTTTTCTTTTTAGAGACAGGGCCTTAGTCTGTTTGCCCAAAGGTGGAGTGCAGTGATGCGATCACAGCTCATTGCCATCTCAAAGTCCTGTGCTCAAGCAATACTCCCCACTCAGCCTCCTGAGTAGCTAGGACTACAGGCGTACGCTACCATGCTTGGATAATTTCTTTTGTATTTTTTATTTTTTGTAAAGACCGGTCTCCCTATGTTGCCTAGGCTGGTCTCGAACTCCTAGGCTCAAGTGATCCTCCCACCTCGGCCTTCCAGCATTGGGATTACAGTCATAAGTCACTGTGCCTGGCCTCTGTCCATCTTTACACACAAGTCTTCCGTGTATACCCTTGACATATAACACACATTGCTGCACTATAAAAACATATTCACAAACTCACAATTCATAGACACCTTCAAACTCATATAACCCCAAACTTATAAACAAAATTAATACTGTAGTTATTACATTCTCATCCATACACACACCGCTCACATATAATCCCTACTCGCTAAAACACATGCACCAACACCCCATGCACATACATAGCAAAATTCTTCAAACATGCCCATGCATACATCAAATCATTCAAATGCACTCAAGCACTCATGTAACACTCAAGGTACATTCTGCATGCACATATTCAAATGCCTGCAATTTTTCTACACCCCCCAATAAACACACACACAACTAACCTCCATTCATGCATATACACATTTCTTCACCTATACACATATTATTCATATGAGCTCAATTATACAGATCCCCCAATGTCCACCTACACATACAACCCACATATTCTTACACCCACCTGCTCATCCCCCACATACCACACAAACACAGGAGACAAACCTGACACCTCCTCCAGAGGGAAGGCCACTCTTTGGCTCTGAGAGCACCTTAAGAGTGCAGAGACCAGGACTGGCTGGGTGACCTCAGATGGGTGCATTAGGGAAGAGCAAGGCGGCAACTTGGCCAGAGAGCTCATTTCCTCTGCAGAGTGCAATCTGTCATTGTCTTCTCTTTTGTCTTTTGATTTCTGATTCAGTGAACTTCAGGCCCGATTACATCTGTGCCAGTAAAAACAATGAGACATGCTGGGACGTGTGGGTGGGGTGGCAGAGAGAATCAAGAAAGTTGTTTGTCGGGTGCCACTGAAAACAAAGTTTGAGTCTAGCAACATTCCCACACTGATGGAAGAAAGAGGCCCACTGTCTCCCACAGGCTGGAGGTTTGGGTAAGCATATGTTGCCTCAGGAGTAAGAATGCATCAGGAGTGTCTGCCACTTTTTCAAATACCTGGACTGTGGGTCCTGAAAAGACACAAAGAAGAGAAGGGAGAGCAGTGTGTGCTGGAGTTTTAGGGGAGGGGCCCTCAGAGTGGCCTTGGCAGTGGCAGTAGCCTGCCATCCATATGAGCTGGGGGCAGTGGAGTCAGGAAGGCACATGGCCCTCTACTTAGAGTACCTGGCCCCACAGGAAGAACGCTGTCATGGGACAGGTCAGGAACTTACGCGTGAGAACTCATAAATGGCTGGTCACTAAGATGAGCCTGGAATCAGGGTCTCTGTTTTTTAGCAAGGGTTTTTTTTTACCCCAGAGCAGGGGGTCTATAGGTACTTGCTGCATTGAGCTGATAAAGGCATCATAAAGGTTAGAAAGGAGACCCCTTCCCAGGGAGTCCAGAGGGCACAGCAATCCTGACCAGGGCCTGACTCAACTGCTCATGGCCCTGAGGCAGGGGTTGGCCTTGCAGCCCTGACCCATCCCTGTGGGGTCCAGCATCAGTCCCTGGCTCCAACTGGGTTCGTTCATTCCTTTAGCAGGATGAACTGCCCTGTCAAATGACCTGCCCCTTCAGGGTGGGGTGACAGGAAGAAAGAGTTTGGCTTTGAGGATTGGCTGCACAGATTAGCTGAGTGACCATGGACAATCCCAAACCTTTCTGAGTCAGAGATGCCTCCACTAAACACGTAAGTATTCTAAATGGCCTTTAAGGTTTGTCTTAGTTTGGAGTACTGCTATATCAAAGACCATTGACTAAGGGGCTTAAACAACAAACACTTTTTTTTTTATCATAGTTCCGAAGGCTGGGAAGCACAAGATCAAAGCTCCAGCAGATTCTATCTGGTGAGAGCTTTCTTCCTGGTTTGAGGGTAGCTGCCTTCCTGCTGTGTCTTCACACGGCAGAGAGCAGAGAGAGAGGAAGCTCTCTGGTGTCTCTTCTTATAAGGGCACTAATTCCATTCACGAGAACTCCACTTTCATGACCTAATCACTGCCCAAAGTCCTACCTCCTAATATCATCACTATATATATATATCAGATTTCAGTCTGTAGATATTGGGGGATCACAAACATTCAGTCAATGGCAAGAATTCTTCTGAGGTTCTAGGACACATTACTGAGCAAGGAAGTAAAGTTAAAGAAGTTAAGAGCTACATTTTTTCATCTGTAAAATGGGAATAATAGGACCTATATGTCTTAAATTTATTGTAAAGATGAGATGAGATAATATAAGTGCCCAACATAGTGCCTGACCCAGTGTAAGCCTTATAAATAGTGGTTATTGTTGTCCCTTCAGAATTGAACGAAGCAGCGGATTAGGATGGGAGACATATAAAAGAAGTATGGAATATAGTCCCTGCCCTCATGTTGCATGCAAATCAAAATGAGCACAGGTCCTTGGGTATAGACATCTCTTTCCAGGCTATGCTAAAATCAGCTGGCTTTCAAATAATTTTGTACAAGGCACGCCGTGTGTAAAATATGAGAACCAATGCTTGCCTTTGGGCTTACAGTGTCACCCAAGAGGAGGACACAACCAAACTGATACCACTGAGTGGCTAAAGAAATAAGAATAGAGTTCAGAGGAGGGAGGGGGCCAGGAGGACTTGAGCCAAGCACTCAGGATGAGTAAAAACTAGACACACCGAGAAGAGAGCTCAGCGAACCACCTCCCGGGGACAGGTGGTAAGACTGTGGTCCCGCAACATGGAGAGGAGAACCTAGTCTAGCCTGGTTCATTTGTTCAATTGTTTATACAAGTCATTGACGAAGGTGAGTGCTTTTTGACAAGCGCCACTATTAAACACTCAGTGAGGGTGGGGTGTAAAAATGAAAATGACATAGCCTTTGTCCTCAGGGGCATCTGCTTGAAAAGAGAAGTCAGACTCATACACAAGTGCCCTGCAAGGTGGAGAAGCACTCACAGAGACAAGTATAAACTGATGATGTACTTTGGAGGGAGTCACTCTCTCTAACTTGTCCCAGTGGAGCAGGGAGCAGCGGGGGGTTTGGTCAGGGAATGGGAATGGAAATGATAACTCACAGTTATTAAGTGTTTTCTATGTGCCCTAAGCCATCTCTCCATATTACCTCCTTTAATATGCATACCTGGGTAGGTGCTATCATTATCTCCATTTTACAGTTGAAGAAAAATTTTCAACAAGAATGGGGAAAATTGGTTCCCATATCTGGAAAGTCTAAGGTTAAAGCTGGTACAGTGGGGCAGAGGTTTCAAACAACACCGTCAGGGGATTTTCCCTTTCCTTGTCTGCTTTTTCTCTCTACTGCTGCGCTGCAGAGAGCCAGTGTTCCTGCTGCCTCCCTGTGTGGCTCCAAGAGAGCACCCAGTCCCCTGCCCTGCTAATACCATTTGTGTGCCTGCCTAACCCGCAGCCAGGACTCACGTGGGTTGCACAGAGCCTGTTGAAGGCCCATTTGCTCAACACATAATGGGGATTAGAATTCATTAATGCACTACAAATTAAAGTATTAATAACGGCCACAGAGTTTAAATGAGAGCCAGGGAAGGGAATCCGGCAAGGGGCCGCCCCGCCCGCATCTCCCACCTAGCTACATTGTTCCGGCACGGGCAATCCTGCGCTCTTTAATATGCTGTGACAGCCGCTGAAGTGACCCCAGACAATAAACAGGGCCTCCTAGTTAAGTATTAATCTGTCAAAAGAATGACCTTCATCCACTAAAGAAGGGATGTTTTTAAAAACCTCGCAAGTGGAGGAAGGCTCATTTGCTCGCTCATTTAGCATATTAAAAGGGTATTATTGCTACAAACAAGAAATCTAAATGAGGCCTGGGCAGGAGCTGCGGATAACACTCCTGATTAAAGGTGCGGGGTAATGATGAACACAGGAGGCTGAATCCGTTATTGTTCACCAACATGGCAGGACCTGGTTGCTGGGACGATAAGAGCATTGAGCCCTGGCTGGGGCCAGGCTCTCTCCATCAGAGAGGAGTGGAACATGATGAGCCGTTGGGGGGGCACTGCCCACCTTCACCCTGGGACATGAGAGCTACAGGAGGGGTGTCTGAGGTGACATTCGAGGAAGGGAGCCCAGACAATTCAAACAATTCCCTAGAGTGACCACAGTCTCTGTTTGTGTCTCTCAACCTTTGACTTGTTTACTTCCAGCTTCTCACGTTTCTGTTGGTCAATTCTGTAGACAGCCGTCCTTTCCCAAGAACCCAGGAAGTTCTCCCAGGGGCCAGCTCATGCTTAGTCTCAGGAGAAAGAGTTTGGCAGGGAGAGAAAGGATAGACATGATTGGTTTCTTTTCTTCTGGGGATAATAGCAAGGTCCCAGATGTCAGAGGGGAGGCTAGGTTGAGAAATTAGGTGTCTCTAACCCGTGACAGTCTGTCTAGGGAGGGGGCTCTTGGCGAAGCCATGAGCAAAGAGAGAAGAGAAATATGATTGAGGGAAAGAAACAAAGAGATACAAACACAAAATTCCAATGCAACAAATATCTGCGGGAAAAGGAGCTCTGCCATGTGTCTGATTCCACAGTAGATTACATGGGAGGAGAGGTAACCAAGAGGTAGATCTTTCCCTAGGGACTTGCCCTGTATGCAGGGAGTCTGGGATGACTCATATGAAACCAAAAGGCATGAAATAAGGTTTGAAGAACAAGGAATATTTAATGATTGATAAGACGAAACAGTGGCAAAATTAGAGAATTTAAAAGGAGATTTGAATTATCCTAAGAGCTAATGGCACTTAAACATTTATCTCTGGACTGTTCGCTCCTTGAGGACAGTGACTTTGTTCGGTTCATCTCTATGTTCCCATTATCCAGAACAGTTCCTGACACACACAAGATGCTTGTGGTGGGGACAATGCTATTTGTTCTCCACACTGCTCCCTCTTCCTGGGATAAAACATAGAAATATTTCTCAGCCTTGGAGCTCGCTTGGAGCTAAATTGGAAGCATATGACTAAGTTTTCACAAATGGAAACATGAATAGATGTTTGGACCTTCTGGTCCAAGGTATGAAGGCATGGACCTCACCTATCTCTCTCTTCCCTTATTACAACAGCTTTGGCAAGTATGTAATGAGAGCAGACCATCACACCATAGAGGGAGCCTGGATCCCTGAGTCACTGGATGGAGGGTGATTCTGATTAACCTACATCAAAATTTTTAGTTTGTTACGTTGCATTACTGAGATTGAGAGCTTTACTTACTAAGGCAGTAAGAGTTATTTATCCTGATTAATAAATGCAATGTATAATAAATGTTTGTTGAAATAATAAATGAATACTCTCATTTAATCCTCACAATAACTTCAAGATAGCTATTTTGATTTGACAGACAAGGAAAGGGATTCAGAGTTAAGAAACAATAGAGCCAGAAGTTAAATTTATGTCTTCAAATTCCTTGCTCTTTTTACTGTACTTGGCTGCCTTTCAAGAATATAGTCAGATATATATTTTATGTGAAATTTTACCAAAAGGTACTCCAGGGAAATAGAGGTTAGGGACTTTCCAAATGAGAGGCTCCCCTGGTTACCATTGCTGTTGGAACAGGGTTGTCATCTTAGATGCAGGTAAGGCCTTCTGAATTTCAATATCACAGTGAAGAGCTCTGGCCAACTGTGTTCTCTCCTTGGCATAGGGGGTAGGATTTTTACTCCTCCATTTCCCAGCTCAGGAAAGAGAAGTCTCCTTCCTGGAAGCAAATGGTCAACATCAGGAGAGACAGACCCAGGCTGACTCTTGCATCTCACCTTCTAAAATAGACTTATCAACCACCCAACAGCTTCCACAGCTCTGGAACCTGGCCTGCCTGAATTCAGGAAGTACAAAAATAGCTGAAGGCAAATACTAACAGCTAACTCACTGAGAATCCCCTCTTCCACCCTGCCATTGTCACAAAGAAGGCAGAGAGTGAAGAGGCTCGGGCCTCTGCTCCAGGCCAAGAAGAGGGGTCAGTACAGAGGGAGGAAGGGAGGTAGCTGCTGGACTGGGAAAAGAAAAAAAAATACCTCTGAGAAAAACTAGTAGGAATCAGCCATAATCGATAAGATTAGTTATCATAGAGAAATCCAGGAGGGACTGGATTGTCCTCTGTCCTCATTCAGTGTCTCTCTCCCTAGCCCCCTGGGAGGGCTAGATGCTCAGTTCAGCTAGCAGAATAGACATTTATGGAGTTAAGACCAAGTGCCAAGCACAGTGCCAGGTGCTAGGACACAGCACTGTCTCCTAGTAATATGAGTAATGTGAGTACTATGTCCTAGTAGATATGAGTAAGAAGGGTCAGGGACAGGAACAGGGTGAGTGTCAGATGAAGCACCCTGTAATCCTGAGAAAATATGACCACTCCCCAGGGTTGCTGCTAAACCACAGGGTGCCCTGGTGCAAAATAGAAAACAGGACTCCTACAGGAGTATCCAGCTCAATCTGTAGTGGACGCAGTGTTGCTCAGTGGCTCCCCTAGTGGCCAAATTCCCCCAAAATGACTCTTCTATCTGTCTCCACTCTCCATCCTTCTCTTGAGTATCTCTTTTCTCTTGGGACCTGCAGTTCTGGGAAATGCAAATCCATGCAGCCCTAGACATTAGAGCTGGACAAATCCAGAGACTGTTGTCACACTAATTCCCCATTTTAAAGATGGAGAAGCTGAGACCCAGAGAAGGAGAAATGACCTGATAGAGGTCACATTTTCCCAGGAGGTCACATTTTCCTAGAAGAACCAAAGTGATGACTCATTTGTGCCCATTAACATTTAAGCCAGAAAATGTATTAAAGCCGTTGCATAAATTAGTCAATAGATGGGTTAGTAGAAGTGGGTTAAGGAGGAAAGGCAATGTCTGCTCCGACTGGACTGAGTTTAGAACATGACACTCCTGTCTCCTCCCAGATTTAAGCCTATGCTCCACACCATTTCCTTCTCTTGATTCCAATTGCCCTCGAATTTTCACTTTTCAAGCAACCTGGACTCCTTTATGCAAAGACTATAGGGAAATTGGAGCCTTCGAGAGCTCCCTTGGCTGAGAAATTAGTCAATAGAATTACCCTCTCTTACTGTATTTATCTCAACGAAAAGTCCTGCCAATAGGGCTGTCAATGACAGACAAGATGAGTGTGAAGTAGTTGCAAGCTAGGGTCTTAATTGTGTGAGCTTCCCTTAAGGGACATGACATTCATCTCTGGAGCAATAAGCCTGGGTCATCTCCACCCTGCCACTGTTGGCTCTGTTCCCTTGCTGTTCCACACTCACACAGCAGACAGCCAGGGTGACAGCTCTTACATAGCTATTCCCCGAGGGTTTCAGCCCAGTTCAATTGTCACCTCCAGGATGCTTTCCTTGATCCCCAGTCCAGTCCCCACACTCCCAAACGTGTGAACATCCCTCTTACAGTGCTCGCCACGTCACACTGCCACTCTGTGCCCATGCCTTTGTCCCCCATCAACTCTGAGAGTATGACTGGTAAGGCTAGACTAAGAGCTTCTGGATAGCCAGTATATCCAGGTATTGTACCTGGGACTTCACCTGCAACATCACAACACTGAAGGATAGGCCTTATGATCCCATCTTCGTTTGAAGAAACTGAGGGTTCAGAGGAGTTAACTTTTCACAGCTGGCAAGGGCAGAACTAGGTTGGAGCACTGGTCTGTCTGACTCTATCATCCATGTTCCTACACAGAGAGTAATCTAACTTTGCTACCCCAGGATATCCTACTTATAAGCATCCACAGTTTGAGATTGTCAACACCATTTGTGGCCTTAGTGAAAATATCCCCTAATTTTCTGGGATGCCCTAAACTCTCATATAACCTAGAATGGACTTGACTTTCTTTCTCAGTGACATCTACCTCTGCATATGGTCCCTCCTCTATCTTAAAAGCCCCACTCTCAGGTAAGCCACAGTATTGCTGCCTGGGCTGCCCCCAGCTGCTCAGCAGGATTGCACAGAGGACTTCTCTTAGATTCCAGGCCTTATTTCCTTAAAACTCTAGCCAATTTTACACAATGATGCCAAAGACAAGAACTGCCTTCAATAAACACCCAGGACAAAAATTCCTGCCATTATTTCTACAGATCAAATAGATGGTCTTACTTGCATGGCGCTAACAAGATCCCAGGCTTCAGCTTGCTGTTTCATATAATTTGCTGGTATCTTGATTTATCTACTTCTCTCTGATCACTTCATTAATTCATTTACACTTTCACATTTTTTAAAAAGGAATTAAGACTCATGCTAAGTTTGGAATCATCTAGAAACTAACTCTGCTCACACTTTCTTCAGGCACCGGGAAGTCTGACCCCTTCCCTATGGAATTGCAAAAGCCAAGGGAGACATGCACACATCTGAGAAAAGGGGTAGAGCAAAAAGGAACAGGGTGAGGGAGGGGAGGAGGACAGAAGCTGGATAGGAAAGAGAAGAACATATGGAGTGAAGCTGCAAGTTGGAGGAATCCCAAAGGAGTGGCTGGAACAGTGGTCAGAGTGGTGAAAGTAAGAGAAAGAAGGCTCCTTGATGTCCTTCTAGCACTGGAGAAATACAAAAATAACAGGAGGCTGCAACCACAGGAGGCGTGAAGTCATGAATTTTGCCTGATGAATTTCCCTTTTTCTGAGTTGGGAATTCTGCTCTGTCCTTGAAAACACCTTCAATTCAAGATTGGAGTGCCATGGAAAAAAGGAGTCTAGGAGAAGTGGAGACAGTCTCAGTCCATTTGGAAAGGAATGCCAAGAGGCTTTAAATATATGTGAGGATATTCAAGGAAAGATAAGAAGCTCAGGAAGAACTTGAGGACTGGAAATGATGCAATTGCAAAATATCTACATTTTGCTAACAGACAGGACTGTTCCAGATGCCAAAAAAGAAGCAGTCTGCACAGGTGATGGATTTTTCCCCTGGATATGGGAATCTGTGTCACAATTAACCTCTTGATGAGAGATTCCTCTCAATTAAGTTTTAGTTGACAGGTGGTAAAACTTGGACAACTGGCAAGGATTGACTGACAACTGGAGAAGATGAAGCCATTAATCCTTTCTCTGCCTCCTGGTTTATCTTCCTACCTCCTCTCCAAATACGCTTAGCCTCTGAATACTCATTTCCAGTGTCTCATTTACAAAACTTTCCCTGACCTCTTTCCCTCTTCACCCACCTTCCATTTGGGTTGAGACCTCTCCTCTCCTCCACACTATTGTAGCACACTGTGCACATTTGAAAATCAGCATTTAGCATATTGCATTGTAACTTCCCCTTCACCAGACTCTAAGTTCCTTACGGGTAGGAATTCTGGTTTACTCCTATGCTTTGCCTTATTTTTTAGCATTGACTATTATATGGTAGAGGTGAAATAAATATTTCTGAATGAATGGATAAATGAATGCTCACAGAACTTTGATTCTAATTCAATAGTTTTCCACCCTTGGCATTCTAATATGGGACTTTGAGGTGGCATAGGCATATTTAACGAAATTGAATTACCTGAGACAACACTAAACCAGACACCAAAAAACTATTTTGCAGTCATCACTATGATACAAACCCATCTCACTGTCTCTATAAAAGTGTCCAAAGCCATTGCACTGCTCACTGCTTGAGTAGAATTATTTGCTATTAAGACCCCTCTGTTCAGAGGGGCAGTGGTCTCACTTATTCTGGTTAACATGTGCCCCCTCTTTGGTGACAGCCTGACTTCACATTGCACCTCGTACCTGTTATTCACAGGAAGTCATGCCCCACTCTGCACTGTGTAAAAAACCTGTGCTGCTCAACATTGCATCTGCCAGGCATCACATTAATATTGAAAGAGACATTCATAAATCCCCCTTAGGGAATGAACCACCCATTTCACTGGTCCCCGGAGGATACACAGGCAAGGATGGGAAAAGTTGCCTTGTAATGGAGCAGGCAGAATTTCTCCAAAATTCGATGACAGTGTCCCTTGGGGCAAGAAAGGCAGCAACACTCTTGCTTGAATTCACTGAATTAACAAAAGGATAGGTTTTTTTTCCATAGAAACCTTGCAAATGACTTTTCTACTTTCTGGTGAAGAACAAAGGAAATTACAAGGCCATCATTAATTCCCCACTAATATCCTTCTCAGAACCAAGGGGTAATTCTTTCAGGGAAGAAGTTAAGATATTATGAAGATCTACATGCTTGCTCTATGGCTCTGAGCATTGGGAATGCTTTTTGCCTGGGTGGCCACTTCAGAGAGGATCTAGGGAGTCCAAGGAGATGGCAGCTAGGGAGACAGAAAGATGATGCTGGATATTTAGATCAGCTACACCTTACAGGGTAACAAGGTTTGAATATATGTCTCCAACAAATCTCATGTTGAAATGTGATCCCATGTTGGACGTGGGGCTTGTGGGAGGTGTTTAGGTCATGGGGGCAGACCCCTCATGGTTTGGTGCTGTCCTCGTGTTAGTGAGTGAGTTCTGTCATGCAGTCTGGTTGTTGTGAAGTGTGGCACCTTTGCCCTACTCTCTTTCTTTCTCTGCTCTCATCACGTGATGTGCAAGCTGCCACGTCACCTTCTGCCATGAGTAAAGGCTCCTTAAGGCCTCCCCAGAAGCAGATGCTGGTGCTATGCTTCCTTTACAGCCTGCAGAACCATGAGACAATTAAACTTATTTTCTTTATAAATTACCTAGTATCAGGTATTTCTTTACAGCAATGCAAGAATGGCCTAATATGCAGGGTAAAGATGAAAGGATTTTCAAGGTTTCCAGTCAGGCCACCCAAAACAGGAGAACAAAGGAGCATTAAGAAGAGGATCCCTAACTCAGAAAAAGCCATGGGTGTTAAATCCTGGTTGTAATGGCAGGCTACAGGGCAAGCTCCTGATCACTACTTCTGGGGCGCTGGCTGCATGATGAAACCCAACATCTGGGAACAGCCTACAGAAGACTACTTCAAGCAACTTACAGAGAGGAGGGAAGTCAGTATAGTGGAGCACAGTTCATGGGTAATCTGCAGCTGATTCCCCTAGGTGGCTATTAAAAAGGTAGATTCTAGACACCGCCATGCACAGCTACTAGAGAATCACTGAGGGTATGGTCTGCATTTAACTAGCTCCCCAGGAGATACTTGTGCACACTGAAATTTGAAAGCCCATGGTTTAGCATTTAAGAAGACACATTTTTTAGTAGGAAAGAGTGGGATTTTGATAGAAACTTACACCCACTGACTATGTGACTCTGGGAAGTTGCTTAATCCCTCTGCTCCCGAGTTTCCTGTCTGGACGCTAGAAATAACAACAATAATAATACCAATGTTTAGAGCGGTTGGGCAGAGGAGATAAAATAATGAATGTAAAGTGCTTAGCATAGTGCCTGACACATGGTAATAAGTGGTAACTGTTACATGCTAATTGTTATGGTCTTTGTGCCTGAACAAAATGAACGCACATAAAATAATTGCAGATAGTTAATAACCAGGTTACCTGATATGCCCAGAGTTATCATGAAGGAAAACATTTTCCCTTGAAATGTGACCCCTTAATTTTCATGAAGGAGGCATACTACATCTTTTGCTGTTTCCTCAATTAAGGTGGCTCAGTTGTTGCTATAACATTCATGTTTCTGGTTCAAGATTGGTTCCTTCAGAGCCTGACTAGCTGGAATTGAATGTCGGCACCCTCACTTACTTGCTGTGGAGGTCATAATAGCACCTCCCCCGACAATGCTATCGTATTGATTAAAGTATATAGCCCATGGAAATTGCTTAGTTCTGTATCTGGCACATAGTATGTGCTTATTAAAAAGTAACTCTTTGTAATGGTATAGGCCTTTCTAAGGAAACCAGCCATTCCCAGTGGGTCATGCACTCATATACTCACTGAGCAGATTCTGATTGCCTATTATGTGTCTAGGGCCATCCTTGCTGTAAGCTATGCAAAAAAGACTTTTGCTTTCCTTCTAGGAGTTCAGTTTTGGTAATGCTTAAAATAAGAAATGTCATGAAATTATTTATTGTACAGCAAATAGCAAATGAGTAACACGCAGTTAGCACTAGAAGTTATGGGGGAAGACAAAGCAAAGAAGGTTTCAAGAAGCGGGGAAAGACTTATCTGAATACAAGGAAGTGGTCTTGAATGGAGAGAACTGAAACACAGCCCAGTTGGAGAGGACAAATACAAATTATGAATATGTGCAAATGGCATATGTTAGAGGGCAGAGTAGGACAGTTATCTTCAAAAGTCACTGCATTGACACGGGGGGTGGAGCAAAATAGCCAAATAGAAGGCTCCACCAATCTTCCCAGGCCCTGCTCTAAGGACAGTGCTTTAACAACTGTCTATACCAAAAACAATAAAACAAACAAACAAAAATCTTTATAAGAACCAAAAATGAGGTGACCACACACAGCACCTGGTTTTAACTTCATATAGCTAAAAGAGGCACTGAAGAGGGTAGAAAAAAAATCTTGAATCCCTGATTCCACTCCTCCCCCATCCCCTAGCAGTGGCTGCATGGTGCGGAGAGAAAATCTGAGAACTTGGGAAAGGGTGAACGCAGCAACTGTGAAACATTGCATTGACCTTAGTGCTGCAATGAAAGCAAAACCAGGCTGAACTCAGCTGAAACCTGCCCACAGAGGGAGTATTTAAAACAGCCCTAGGTAGAGGGGAGTTTCCTATCCCAGCAGTTAAAATTTGAGTTCTGGCAAGCCTCACTACCATGGGCTAAAGTGCACTGGGACCCTAAATAAAGTTGAAATGAAGTCTAGGCCGCAAGAACTGCAACTCCTAGGCGAGTTCTAGTGCTGAACTGGGCTCAGTGCCAGTGGACTTGGGGAGTTCACAACATATTGAAAAATCAGATGAGGTAGACAAAGGGAGTGCTTTTGCCAGCCCTCCCCCCAAACCCAGGCTGCACAGCTCACAGCTCCAAAAGAGACTCCTTCCTTCTGCTTGAGAAGAGGAGAGGGAAGAGTAAAGAAGACATTGTCTTGCATCTTGGATACCAGCTCAGCCACAGTAAGACCACAGTAAGATAGGGCACTAGTCAGTCATGAGAGCCCCTTTCCAGGCTCCAGGTCCCAGATGATATTGCTAAACACACCCTGGGCCAGAAGGAAACCTGCTGCCTTAAACAGAAAGATGCAGTCCAAGCAGGACCCATCATTTGCTGACTAAAGAGCCCCTGGGCCCTGCATAATCAGCAGCAATACCCAGGGAGTATGCCATGGGCCTTGGGTGCAACTCTGAGATGTGCTGGATTCAGGTGAGATCCAGCACATTCCCAGATGTGGTGGCTAGGGAGATTTCTTCTGCTTGAGAAAATTGGACAGATAAGTAAAGGAGAATTTGTCTTGCACCTCGGGTACCAGCTCAGCCACAGGGTGGTAGAGCAGCAAGCAGGCTTGTGGGGACTCTTGTTCCAAGACTTGGCTCCTGGATAGCATTTTTTAGACTTCCTCTGGGCCAAAGGGGAGCCCAGTGTCATGAAGGGTGAGTCCCAGGTCAGGCAGCATTCACTACAAGCTGACTTAAGGACTCTTGGACCTTAGAGGAACATTGGAGGTAGCCTGGCAGTACTCCCTGTGGGCCTGTGGGGGTGGTAACCACAGGGTGAGGCTCCTCTGCCTATGGAAAGGGAGGGAAGAGTGGGAAGGACTGCATATTATGGTTTGAGTGCCAGCTCAGCTGCAGTATAATAGAACAACAGGTAGACCTCTAAGGTTTTTGACTCAAATCTCTGGCTTCTGGTACATCTAGACCTGCCTGGGGCCTGGGGGAACTTGCCAACCTGAAGCAAAGAAGACAAGCCTGGCTGGCTTTGCATCTGCTGATTGTAGAGTCCCCAGGACCTTAAGTGAACAAAGGAGGTTGATAGACAGTGGTTTAAGTGGGCCTTGGGCAAGACCCAGTGTTGTCTTGGCTTCAGGTCTGATCCAGTAAATCTCGGTGGTGGTGGCCACAGGGGCACTTGTACCACCCAATTCCCAGCTCCAGGTGGCTGAGAGGGAGAAGGAAAGAGAGGGAGAAGGAGAGAGAGAGAGAGAGAGAGAGAGAGAGAGAGAGAGAGAGAGAGAGAGAGAGAGAGACTCTGTTTGCTTGGGAGAAAGTAAGGGAAGAAAACAAGAGCATCTGCCTGGTAATCTACAGAATTCTTCTGGATCTTATCTAAGACCACCAAGGCAGTACCTCTATGAGTCTGCAAGAACCACACCATTACTGTGCATGGAATGACCCCTAATGAAGATACAGTTTAAATCAAAACACCCAAGTCCTTTTAGTCCTTTTGAATACTTGGAAACCCTTCCCAAGAAGGATAGGTAAAAACAAATCCAGACTGCAAAGACTACAATAAATACCTAGCTGTTTAATGTCCAGACACAGAATAATGTCCATAAACATCAAGGTCATCCAGGAAAACATGACCTCATCAAATGAACTAAATAAGGCACTTGGGACCAATCTTGGAGAAACAGAGATATGTGACCTTTCAGATAGAAAATTCAAAAAAGCTGTGTTGAGGAAACTCAAAGTAGTTAAAGATAACACAGAGAAAAATATTCAAAATTCTATAAGATAAACTTAACAAAGAGGTTGAAATTATTTAAAAGAATCAAGCAGAAATTCTGGAGTTGAAAAATGCAACTGACATACTGAAGAATGCATTAGAGTCTACTAATAGCAGAATTGATCAAGTAGAAGAAAGAATCAGTGAGTTTGAAGACAGGCTATTTGTAAATACACAGTCAGAGGAGACAAAACAAAAAAGAATGAACAAGAATAAAGCATGTCTACAATATTTAGAAAATTCCCTCAAAAAGGCAAATCTAAGAGTTATTGGCATTAAAGAGGTGGTAGAAAAAGAGATAGGAGTTAAAAATTAATTTAAAGGGATAATAACAGAGAACTTTCTAAACCTAGTGAATGAAATGAATATCCAAGTACGAAAGGTTATAGAACACCAAGCAGACATAACTCAAATAAGACTATCTCAAGGCATTTAATAATCAAGCTCCCAAAGGTCAAGGATAAAGAAAGGATACTAAAAGCTGCAAAAGAAAAGAAACAAATAACATACCTTGGAGCTTTGATACATCTGACGGCAGACAGCAGACTTTTCAGTGGAAACCTTACAGGTAAGAGAGAGTGCCCTGACATATTTGAAGTGTTGAAGGAAAAATATTTTTACCTTAGAACAGTATATCCAGCAAAAGTTTCCTTCAGACATGAAAGAGAAATAAAGACTTTCCCAGACAAACAAAAGCTGAGGGCTTTCATCAACACAAGACCTGTCCTACAAGAAACACCTTCAATCAGAAAGAAAAGGACGTTAATTAGCAATAAGAAATCATCTGAAGGTATAAAACTCACTGGTCATAGTAAATGCACATAAAAACACAGAGTATTATAACATGGTAACTGTGGTAAATAAATTGCTATTATCTTAAATAGAAAGACTAAATGATGAACAAATCAAAAATAATAACAACTTATCAAGATATAAACCCTACATATAATTGAATATAATACATAAACCGTATCATGCAATAAGATACAAATTAAAATGACAAAAAGTTAAAAAGCAGGAGGACAAAGTTAAGATGTGAGATTATCTTTTTTGTTTGTTTGTTTATGCAACAGTATTAAGTTGTTATTAGCTTAAAATAATGGTTATAAGATAGTATTTGCAAGCCTCGTGGTAACCTCAAATCAAAAACCACCAGAGCCAGGTGTGGTGGCTCATGCCTGTAATCCTAGCAGCTTGGGAGGCCAAGGAAGGTGGATACCTTGACACCAGGAGTTCAAGACCAGCCTGGGCAACATAAACAGACCCTGTCCCTATTTTAAAAAAGTACAGTGAATATACAAAAAATAGAAAGCAAGAAATTAAAGCACACCACAAGAGGAAATTACCTTCGCTAAAAGAAAGACAGGAAGGAAGGAAAGGAGAAGACCACAAAACAACCAGAGAACAAATAAAATGGCAGGAGTAAGTCTTTACTTACCAATAATATTGAATGTAAATAGACTAAACTCTCCAATCAAGAGATATAGAGTGGCTTAATGGGTTTTAAAAAAATAAGATCCAGTGATCTGTTGCCTACAAGAAACACATTTCATCTATAAAGACACATATAGACTGAAAATAAAGGGATGGAAAAAGATATTCCATGCCAATGGAAACCAAAATAGAGCAGGAGTCACTGCACTTATATCAGACAAAATAGGAGTCAAGATAAAAACAATAAGAAGAGACAAAGAAGGTCACTATATAATGATAAAGGGGTCAGTTCAACAAGAGGATATAATAGTTTTAAATATATATGCACCCAACACTGGAGCACCCAGATATATAAAGTAAATATTATTAAAGCTAAAGAGAAAAATAGGTACCAATACAATAATAGTTCATTTTCAAGGATAGCCCATATGTTAGGTCACAAAACAAGTCTTAAAAGATTCAAAAAAATGAGATAATATCAAGCATCTTCTCTGGTCACAAAAAAATAAAACTAGAAATCAGTTACCAAAATTTTTGAAACTATATAAGTGCACGGAAATTAAACAATATGCTTCTGAATGACCAGTGGGTCAATGAAGAAACTAGGAAGGAAGTGGAAAAACTTTGTGAAACAAATAATCATGGATACACAACATACCAAAATACCAAAACCTATGGGATACAGCAAATGCAGTACTAGAGGGATATTTATAGCTGTAAGTGCCTACATCAAAAAATAAAAATAATAACTTAAAATTAAACAACCTAATGATGCATCTCAAAGAACTAGAAAAGCAAGGTCAAACCAAACCCCAAATTAGTAGAGGAAAATAAATAATAAAGATTAGAGCATAAATAAATAAAATTGACATGAAGAAAACAATACAGAAGATCAATGAAACAAAAAGTTGTTTTTTTGAAAAGTAAAGCAAAATTGATGAACCTTGAGCCACACTAACAAAAAAAAAGAGAGAGCGAGAGAGAGAGAAGACTCAAGCAAATAAAATCAGAGATGAAAAAGGAGACATTGCAACTGAAACCACGGAAATGCACAGTATCATTAGCGGCTACTAGGATCAACTATTTGCCAGTAAACTGGAAAATCTGGAAGAAGCAGATAAATTCCCAGACGCTACACAACCTACCAAGATTGAAACTTGAGGAAATCCAAAACCTGAACTGACCGATAACAAGTAGCAAGATTGAAGCTGTAATAAAAACTTTCCCAGGAAAGAAAAGCTCAGTACCTGATGGCTTCACTTCTGAATTCTACCAAACATTTAAAGAACTCATACCAATTCTACTCAAATTATTCCAAAAAATACAGGAGGAGAGAATACTTCCAAACTCATTCTATGAGGCTAGTATTACCCTGATACCAAAACAAGGCAAAGACACATAAAAAAAAAAAAACAAAAACTACAGGCCAATGTTACTGATGAATATTGATGCAAAAATCCTCAACAAAATACCAGCAAACCAAATTTAACAACACATTAGAAAGATCATTCATCATGACCAAGAGGAATTTATCACAGGGATAAAGAATGCTTCAATTAATCAACTGAAAATCAATTACTGTGATACACCATATCAACAGAAAGAAGGAGAAAAGCCATATGATTATTTTAATTGATGCTGAAAAAGCATTTAAAATTCAACATCCCTTAATGATAAAAACTCTCAAAAAACTATAGAGAACATTCTTCAACATACTAAAAGCCATATACAGCAGACCCAAAGCTAGTATCGTACTGAATGGGGAAAACACTGAAAGCCTTTCCTCTAAGATCAGGAACATGACAAGGATGCCCACCCATTTTTACCACTGTTATTTAATATTGTACTGGAAGTCCTAGCTAGAGCAGTCAAAGAAGAGAAAGAAAAAAAGGGCATCCAAATTGGAGAGGAAGAAGTCAAACTATCCCTGTTTGCAGATGATATGACTTTATATTTGGAAAAACCTAAACACTCCATCAAATAACTATTAGGACTGATAAATTCAGTAAAGTTTTAGAATACAAAATCAACGTACAAAAATCAGTAGCATTTCTATATGCCAACAGCACACAATCTGAAAAAGATATCAAGAAAGTAATCCCACTTAAAATGGCTACAAATAAAATAAAATACCTAGGAATTAACTAAAGAAATGACAGATCTATACAATGCAAACTGTTAAACATGGAGGCAAGAAATTAAATAAGACACAAAAAATGGAAAGATATTCCATGTTCATGGATTGGAAGAATCAGTATTGTTAAAATGTCCATACTACCCAAAGCAATCTACAGATTTAATGCAATACTTATCAAAATACCAATCACATTGTTCACAGAAATAGAAAAAACAATCCTAAAATTTATATGATACCACAAAAGGCTCAGAATAATCAAAGTTATCCTAAGCAAAGAGAACAAAACTGGAGGAATCACATTACTCCAGTACTCCACATTACTCACATTGACTTCAAATTATACTACAAAACTATAATAAACAAAATGGTATGGTACTGGCAACAGACACATACGTCATTGGAACAGAATAGAGAACCCAGAGATAAATCCATATATCTACAGTGAACTCATTTATTTTATTTTATTTTATTATTATTATACTTTAAGTTTTAGGGTACATGTGCACAAAGTGCAGGTTTGTTACATATGTGTACATGTGCCATGTTGGTGTGCTGCACACATTAACTCATCATTTAGCATTAGTTATATCTCCTAATGCTATCCCTCCCCCCTCCCCCAACCCCACAGTAGTCCCCGGTGTGTGATGTTCCCCTTCCTGTGTCCATGTGTTCTCATTGAGTGAACTCATTTTTGACGCAGATGCCAAAAACATGCCTTGAGGAAAGGACCATTTCTTCAATAAATGGTGCTAGGAACACTTTATATCTGTATACAAACAAATAAAACTGGACCCTTATTTCTTGCCATACATAAAAATAAAATAAAAATGGATTAAAAACTTAAATCTAAGACCTCAGACTATGAAATTACAAAAAGTAATTGAGGAAACTCTCTAGGACAATGGACTGGGCAAAGATTTCTTGAGTAATACCCCACAAGCACAAATGACCAAAGTAAAAATGTACAAACGGCATCACATCACATTAAAAAGCTTCTGCACAGCAAAGGAAACAATCAACAAAGTAAAGAGGCAATGCACAGAATGGGAGAAAATATTAGCAAACTATTCATCTAATGAGAGGTTCATAATCAGAGTATATAAGACACTCAAACAACTCTATTGGAAAAAAAAATCTAGTAATCAGATTTAAAAATGGGCAAAAGATCTGAATAAACGTTTTTCAAAATAAGACATATAAATGAAAAATAGGTATAAGAAAAAGTGCTTAACGTCATAATCATCAGAGAAATGCAAATCACAGCTACAATGAGATATCATCTCACCCCAGTTAAAGTGGCTTTTATCCAAAAGTCAGGCAATAACAAGTACTGGCAAGGATATGGAGAAAAGGGAATCCTTGTTAACTGTTGGTGGGAATGTGAATTAATACAATCACTATAGAGACCAGTTTGGAGGTTTCTTAAAAAATGAAAAATACAGCTACCATACAATCTAGCAATCCCACTCCTAGATATATACCCAAAAGAAAGGAAATCAGTATAGTGAAAAGCACTCCCATGTTTACTGCAGCACTATTCACAATAGCCAAGATTTGAAATCAACCTAAGTGTCCATCAACAGATAAATGGATAAAGAAAATATGGCATATATACACAATGGAGTACTACTCAGTCATAAAAAAGAATGAGCTCCTGTGATTTACAACCACATGGATGGAACTGGAGATCATTATGTTAAGTGAAATAAGCCAGACACAGAAAAACAAACTTTACAAGTTCTCACTTCTTTGTGAGTTAAAAATTAAAATAATTGAACTCATAGAGAGTAGAAGGCTGGCTACCACAGGCTGGGAAGGGTGGGGGTGGGGGCGGGGCCAAGTGGGGAGGGTTAATGGGTACCAAAAGTAGTTTGAAATAATGAATAAGACCTAGAATTTACTAGCACAATAGCATGACTATAGTCAAAAATAATCTAACTGTACATTTACAAATAACTGAACAAATATAATTGGATTGTTTGTAACTCAAAGGATAGATGCTTGAGTTAAGGGATACTCCATTTACCCTGATGTGATTATTACATATTACATCCTTGTATCAAAATATCTCATGTAACTTATAAATATATACACTTTCTATGAACCTACAAAAATTAAAAATAAAAAAAATGTCACTACATTGTAATCCAAAAGCTGGCTCCAAGCCCCCAGGAAGAGGAAGCAGTTATCAATTCTCTGAAAGGGTAGAGGTGCACACAGTATACTGGCCTCAAAAAGACTGCCCTCAGGTAGCAATTTCAAATCTGGAAGAACAGCTCAGATGAAGTCAGACATGTCCTGCACACATATATCCTTTCCTTTACATTTTGTCCCCATGCTTTGACTTTATTTGGCATTTTAGGGAGGGGGAGAAAAAAGTTAATTGAGAATGAAGAATCTGTCATTACACTGCACCTGCCACAGAGACCCTGCATCTGTTACCTCTCATCTCCCCAGCCCCTTCCAACCTAAAGCCGGAACCTTGAACTCATTCACCACTCTATAGTAAAGATGCTAACTCCAAAAGGATCAGAAGGACAGGAGTAACAGAGAACTAAAAGAAATGGAAGAAGAGAGAGAAGGAAAGAGAGACAGTGCTGAGAAACTGAAAGACAAGTAAGAAGAAAACAATGAATGTATGTTTTATCTACATATGTAATTGCTTTGGAGCAATTGCAAATGACAAAATGGATTTAAATGAGATGGTTGGCCCTACCACTATCCAGGCTTCTCCCCTTTTTCCTCACCTGTTGTAACTGTAAACACTGCCTTGGGTCTCCTGGAAAGATGCTCATGAATACTTATGCATTTTTTATCCATGAAGCCAGTCACTTATTTATTCATTTGTAAGTAGTTACTGAGAGCCTCCTATGTTCCAGGATCTGTTCATGTACTAGGAACATAAAAATCAACAAGATAAATACAGTTTCTATCCTTTTTAAAATCACCCAATGGGTACTTTTGAATTGAATGCTTTAGCTTACACTCTGCTGAATATTGAAGATAATACAAAATAATTTTGAGACATAATCCATGTCCTCAGGAAACTTGCAATAATAACAATGCCCATGAATTAATCACCTCCTCTGTGAACAATTTCAGCTCTCAGTGATCTTTCCTTCCTTTGTACTTTTGTCTGTCTACTTTTGGCAGACTCAGCACACACTACCTTGTATTGTTGCTTATGTGCTTATTTTTATATTTATTTTATCCTCCAGAAGGCCTATATGAGTTTGTTTAGGCTGTTTAGCAAACTACTGCAAAATTCACTGGCTTAAAATAGTAACTTGATTTAGTTCATAATTCTGTGAGTCGGCAATTTGGGCTGGGCTCAGCTGGGTTAGTTTTCTGGTCTTGGTTGGGTTCATTCACATATCCGTAGTCAGATACTGGTCTGCTAGACAGCTCTGCTTCTGGGGGTTAGATGGATGTTGGCTAGGACATAATGGGTGACTGGACAACATGGTCTTTCACCTGGAAGTTTGGTCCAGGCTTGTTCAGTTGGCAATGTGGCAGAGTTCCTAGAGAATGAATGGAAATGTTCACACTTCCCTGAAGTCTAGGCTCTGAACTGGCACATTATTTCTACTGAATTCTATCAGCCAAAGCAACACAGGGCCAACTCAAAATCAGGGGAAGAAAAATGGATTCCATTTCTTGATGGGAGTAGCTGCAATGAAACACTGCAAAGGGCATGGATACAGGAAGGAATGTACTGAAGCCACCATATTCTCAATCTACCACATGGTCTGTAAGGCTTTTTAAGAGAGAGATACTATTTACACATTTTTATATTCTTAGAGACATATAGCTGTCCCATACTGGTGTTATAGGAGAAAAAGCCAGTGTAGGGAAGTAGGGAATACCTCTCTGAGGAGAGACATTTAAAGTGAGATTGAAAGGATAAATAGTGGTTAGCTAAGGGGAGATCATTATGGTCAAAGAGAAATGTATGTAGAAACTCCAAAGTTGGAAAGATCCTAGGATATTCCAGAAAGAGAAGCAATGAGTAATAAGGGAGAGGGGTGGGGTTGGGGGTAAAGGGGAGGAGATGGTTCTTCAGGCCTAGGCAGGCATCACAATTGAGGACCTTGTAAACCTTGATAAGAAATTTTGACATTATCCTAAGAGCAATGGAAAGTCATTAAAGAGTTTTAAGCAGGAGAGATAAATGATGAGTCTTGTGTTTCTAAAAGATCACTTTGACTGCAGTATGGAAAATGGATCAAAAGTGATGAGAGTGGAAGTGGGCATAATAAAGTCCTATTTTAAATTTGCAAATACCTCCGGCAAGATGAAAGGGTTGTCTGCTACTCATGTTTTAGGGAGTGTTGAAGGACAGAGATTCCTTTTCTTTGTAACTCAGAGCTGCACAGATGGAAGACCTGTTTAGGAAAAGGTAAAAAGAGAATTTTCTGGGGAGTGGGCTCAGCTTTCCAGCAATGTGCAAACCCCCACCAATATTTTAGCTAGAAAGGACAATAGAAAGTTCATTGATTAAGATTTTTTTTTACCTTTCTATTAGCAGAACTAATCATTTGCCTTTAAGTAAGACATTTCATTTTTATTAAAGTAATAGCCATGATAAGTAAAAAGAAATTAATTGCTAGAAGGACATTCAAATCTAACAGTATTTCATTTCCTGCCAGGACTGAGGTTAAACTAACTCTTACCTCTGCTGACATCTAATAATGGTCACCATTTATTGAGCTCCTACTATGTGGCAGGCAATTTACATAGCTTATCTCCTGTGGTGCTTACAACAATTTCCTACAGTAGACACAATCATCCCAACTTACAGATGAGATTAGAGAAAGCATATCCCTGTCTAAACTGACAGTTACAAATAGGACAGAGCTGGGATGTGACACAGGCTTTTCTGATTCCAGCACCATATTAGCTATTGGTCATTCCCTAAGCCTCACAATATGCCAGGTCTGGGGTTAAGTGCTTGGCTTGCTTTATCTTGTTTCACCCTCCCAAGGGCCCTTTGAGAGAGGTGTTGTTATCAACCCTACTCTAAAGATAAAGAAAATTAAGGTCAGAAAGTTCACAGAACTTGCCCAAGGACATACCACCAGGTCTAATGCCCGAAGCTGGTTTTGTTGTTGTTGTTGTTGTTGTTGTTGTTGTTGTTGTTGTTTCTGAGACTGAGTGTCGGAGTCTCACTCTGTCGCCCAGGCTGGAGTGCAGTGGTGCAATCTCGGCTCACTGAAACCTCTGCCTCCCAGATTCTAGCGATTCTCCTGCCTCAGCCTCCTGAGTAGCTGGGATTAGACATGTGACACCATGCCCAGCTAATTTTTGTATTTTTAGTAGAGAAGGGGTTTCACCATGTTGGTCAGGCTGGTCTCACCATAACACACAACCTCCCTTGTTCATCCAGTTATCCCATGCTGTCATGAAAACTTTAGGTTTTTCTTAAACAAAGGTCCCCTTATCCTTTTTAATCACATTTAGACAAAGCTGTGAATAACAGATGTTGTTAGTCCTCCCACATCTCCCTCCTCCTTGCCTGTGTCAACTGTGAGCTCCTGGATGGCAGGGTCTATATCTTAAACCACTCTCTATCCCTGCCACCACCCCACCAACACCTAGCAGTTTTGATCCAAGCCCAGAATTTTACTCGACCTGTGCTGGTTCTTTCCAGCAGGGGGACCATCTTTAGCCTCACACATGCGGAAACACAAGCTGAGCTTTCAGAGCAAGTCCTACCAACATGCTGGCCAGGCAGGCAGCCCACCAGCTCCTTCTACACAGGGATGGATCAGTCCCAGTCTCAGAACAATGGCCGGTCAGTCCACACACTCTACCTCTTGCAGCTGTGAGGTGCCTTGGGAAGCTGGGAGCTGCACTTGGATGTCACTGCTCCACTAGGTCGTCAGTCACCAGCATGTGAGAGGCTGGGCTCTGGCTCCTCAGGCGACAATATCAGGAGGAATAATGAGCTGCTTTGGAGGAGGCAAGAGCTTTCTGATTAATCGACATATGAGGCTGTCACAGTGACAGATGGACCCAAAGGCCCCTTCCCCATTACACTGCACCAGTGACCTTGACTCTCCCCTACCCTAGGTCTTCCTTTCCCTTGAAACTGATTTGGGATGGCAGGGCAGTCTGAGGGAGGAGTAGAAGACCATCCAACTGAAGTGAGAAGGAAGAAGCCATGATGTTGTTGTGGGATGTTATTTGGGTATTAGCTTTACGACTCACATTGAGAAGCCCTTTGGACCCACTTTATTTACCAGTATTGTGAGAAGGTTAGAGATTTTTACTCTCTAGAAATGTAGTTCCCATCATCTGTAAACTACCCCTTAATGTAGGTGTGTTGAAGAGAACCCTGAGCTTGCAGTCAGAAGACTTGGATTAAAACCAAGCTCTTCCCCTACTTGCTGTTTAACTTTGATTAAGTTATTTGACCTCTCCAAGCTTCAGTTTTCTTATGTACGAAGTGAAAATAATAAATGCATATCTCATGAGGCTTTATGAGCATTAAAGGAGCCAACACGGATGATGTAATCTTATACCTAGAAAACCCTAAAGACTCTTACATTTGAAAAATGACTTCAGTAAAGTTTCAGGATGCAAAATCAACATACAAAAATCAGTAGCATTTCTATACACCAATAATGATCAAGCTGAGAACCAAATCAAGAACCCAATCTAGTTTACAATTGCTACAAAAAATAAAATAAAATACCTAGGAATAGATTTAACCAAGGAGGTGAAAGATCTCTCCAAGGAGAATGAAAAAGCACTAATGAAAGAAATTGGAGATGACACTAACAAATAGAAAACTCTCTCATGCTCATGGATTAGAACAATCAACATCCTTAAAATGGCCATATTGCCAAAAGCAATTTACAGATTAAATGCAATTTCTATCAAATTACCAATGCCATTTTTCACAGAATTAGAAAAAACAAACCAGAATTCATATGGAACCAAAAAACAAAAGAGCCTGAATAGCCAAAGCAATCCTAAGCAAAAAGAACAAAGCTGGAGACATCACATTACCTGACTTCAAATTATATTACAAGGCCATAGTAATCAAAATTGCATGGTACTGGTAGAAAAATAGACACATAGGTCAGTGAAGCAGAATAGAGAACCCAGATATGAAGCCACATACCTACAACCGACTGATCTTCATTAAAGACAACCAAAATATACAGCAGGGAAAGGCCATCCTATCTGATAAGCAGTGCTGAGAAAACTGGATAGCCACATGCAGAAGAATGAAACTGGACCTATATCTCTCACTATACACAAAACTTAATTCAAGATGGAATAAAGGCTTAAATGTAAGACCAGAAACTATAAAAATCTGATAAGAAAACCTAGAAAAAACTCTTCTGGACATCGGCCTAGGCAAAGAATTTATTGCTAAGACCTGAAAAGCAAATGCAACAGAAACAAAAATAGACAAATGGGACTTAATTAAACTAAAAAGCCTCTGCAAAGCAAAAGAAACCATCAATAGAGTAAACAACCTACAGAATGGGAGAAAATATTTGGAAACTATGCATGTGACAAAGGGCTAATATCCAGAATCTACAAGGAACTCAAACAATTCAACAAGAAAAGACATTAAAAAGTGGGCAAAGGACATAATCAGACATTTTTTGAAAGAAGATATACAAGTGGCCAACAGACATATGAAAAATATGCTCGACATCACTAATCATCAGGAAATGCAAATCAAAGCCACAGTGACATACCATCTTACCCTAGTCAGAATGGCTGCTATTATAAAATCAAGAAACAACAGATGTTGGTGAAAGGGGAATGCTTATACACTGTTGGTGGGAATGTAAATTAGTACAACCTCTATGAAGAAGAGTATGAAGATTTCTCAAAGAGCTAAAAATAGAACTACCATTCAATCCAGCAACCCCACTACTAAGTAACTATCCAATGGAAAATAGATCATTATATAAAAAAGACACCAGTACTTGTAAGTTTATTGCACCACTATTCACAATAGCAAAGTCATGGACTCAACGTAAGTATCCATCAATGGGTGACTGGAAAAAGATAATGTGGTACTTACATATATACTATGGAATACTACTCAGCCATAAAAAAATTTGTCTTTTGTAGCCACATGGATGGAACTGGAGGCCATTATCTTAAGTGAAATAACTCCAAAACAGAAAGTCAAATGTTCACACTTGTAAGTGGGAGCTTATCAGTGTGTACACACGGACATACAAGTGGAATAACAGACATTGGAGACTCCAAAGGGGTGGTAAGGGATGAAAAATGACCTAGTGGGTGCAATGTATACTTTTTGGGTGATGATTAAACTAAAAGCCCAGACTTCATCAGTATGCAACATATCCATGTAACAAAAATTCACTTGTACCCCTTAAATCTATAAAAATAAAAAAAGGAGCAAGCATATATATGAAGCACCCCACATAAAATCTGGTACAGGTTTTCTGCAAGTATTTATTGACATAGTTATGGGTTTTCAATTAAGTATTGCCAGTGAATGAGATATTTTTGCTCTGAAAGACACTGTACATACATAAATTCTTGGTATGGATATTAGTGTAAGTATTGGTATCAGTATTAGTACTGGTATTGGTATGAGTAAGGATATAAGTATTAACGTCATCTCTAAGATATCTTTCAATCTTTAAAGATAAAGATTACTGGACAGAGAGATTGGTTTTTACCAAGCAGCTGGTCTAAAAGTCTGCAAGACGCTGGGGAGGCTATCTCAACTCTTCTACGTCACCAAGGCTAAGCAGAAGACTATGGACCTCTATTCAGTCTAGAATCGGAAGAGACTGACAAAGGATCTTGGGGGAACAAGGAAATGAGGACAAGACAAAGAAGTCAAGTAAGACCAGAGGAGACTATTTGTGGGCAGAGAGAGGCAGGTGTCTGCTGCGTGTGCCAAGGATGTTGTTGCCTCCCAAACTGGACCTGTGCACATAGCAGAGCGTAGCTGGCAGTGGCAGTGGTGGAGGTAAGGGAAGCCTCTGGAGAAAAGATGTGGAGGAGAAGAAGAGAAGGAAGAAGAGCATGCAAAAAGCTGACGCAGAGAAGAATGAGAGAAGCATACGAAGAAGAAGGAGGAAGTCTGTCTTGTCCTTTCCCTTTTTGAAAACCTACCAAGAATCCCCATCACTTGCAAGAGATAAGCCAAGCTCCTCTGCCCAGGCACAAGCCCTATAGAATCAGGTGGCATCAATTCTTGCCCCATCTCCACACATCTGTGCTTCAACCACACTGGCTTTAATGATTTGCTTCCTTTCCTGTCTCCTGTATGAGATGAAGCTCCTCAGCCATGGGGTCTGGTTTTGTTCATCTCTGCACCTGAGCTGTAGGCCTGGACACACGTGGTGTTCCATCATTCCTTATAGAAAGACAGGAGGGTAAGAGTAAGGGAGTGAGGAGAAGGGATGAAGACGAGAAGGAAATGGAGACCAGGAGGGAAGAAAGAGAAAGGGGAATAGAAGGCATAAGAGAAGAAGAGGATGTCACTGGGGAACAGAGGAGGAAGGAAGAAAAAAATGATAGAGTATAAGGCCAGAAGAACAAAAGGGAAGAGAGAGTAGGTAAAGAAAGCCAAGTGGATGGCTGACAGAGGACACAAAAAAGGGTTTCAGAGAATCTCTGGGAATTATCTCAGCATCCAGCACCTTGTTCCTGGGGCAGGCTTCTTCTGATCTTGCTCCTCACAAGGCATGGGGTTAGGTCCACACTGGGCCTACCTACATCTGGTGCATCTGTGGGTTGGCATGGCTCCATGGCACAGAGAAAGCATGGCTATTTTACAGCTCAAACACCGCAGGTCCCATTGCAGGCTTATTTGTATAGACAGTTGTCACTTACAACATAAAGGATGGCCCTGTTCCTTCTTCTCAGTCATCATCTCCTCCAGCTAGATCTGCTTGGGTAGATACCACTGGATAACTACTGGCTGGAGCCTTTGTGAAGTGGACTCAAGACCAAGCTGGATTCAATTGGACCCAACTAGTCTTTCTCTTCCCTGGGTCTAACCTAACCCCACTAGCTCTCCGAAAGCATCTGCCTCTCACCCAGTTTTAACCAGATACTGTGCAGCTGTACTTATGTGGCAGTCCAGGCACACCTGCCCCCAGGCAAGGTCATGAGTACATTGCAACAGGAGTTTCCCAGCAAGTGCTCTAGGGGCAGGTACTCCCTGGGCTCTCTCTGTTCTTTGAAGAAGGCTAGGTGTCTTCCCTATGCAGTGTCTACTCCATGCTGAGCAATGAGGGGCTGGCTTCTCTGAGTATGGGTATTACATGGATCTACACCACTTGAGATGAAAGTAAATATCATTAGGGAAGGAAGAACAAAGATTCTCTCACCTTCATCTCTCTGCTTCCCAAGGGAGGCTCTGGGGGGCTTGGACTAAAATAAGTGGCTCTTCAGTTAATTCTAAGGCCACTTAATTTGCATGATTCAGTCCTAGTGCTTTGCATCTTCTCCCTGGTGCCCTCTCTTTGCCAGCCTTCACCTTCATACATATATTACCAGACCCCAGTGTTCCTCTTTCTTTTCTATTTTTTTAAGATGGAGAAAACATATGCATTCATGGGGGCTGGGAAAGGGAGGATAGTCCCCTTAAGCAGTTGTCCTTAATGACTCCCCAGAAATCATCATACCTAGGCTGGAAAGGTTCTAGGGAGAGGAAGAAGTGAATAAAATATGTGATGAGGGCAGCAAAAACTTAGAAGTTCTCAAGATTTCTCAGTCTTTCTGGAACACAAATAAGGACTGTTGTTTTATTTGTTGTTTGTTTGTTTGTTTGTTTGTTTTGGAGCAGGAGTAATGAGAGCTGTTGGGGAGGGGAAATGGAGAATTTAAACCCACAGGGTTCTTTTTAGTCCAGAGCCCAAACCTTCATTGTCTACCCCAACCTTCTCTTCATTGGAAGTATAACGAGCTGGCTTGAGTTTCAACTCCCTTGCTTCTGCTTCTAAGCACTGAAGTGGCCAATCAGTGGGTGTGAAGAAGAAGAGGAGGAAAAAACTCTTGAATAACCCCTAATCCAGAGAAAACATGACTCCTAATGAAAATGGAAATTTACTATTATTTCAGTAGCTCTATAGAGTGAACCTGGTTGATTAGCTGTTTACTGATAGCTTTTAAGAAAGGGAATATCCTTTTAAATGAAAATGTTGGCTTGCTCAGTGATGTAGGGTAGCCATGGTAACTCCTTAGTCTTGAAATGCCAAAGTTCTCCTTAAATCTGCCCTTATTCCTATCTCTTTCTTTGAGGCTCCATCCAGAGACTACACTCCTCTGCTCATTTATCCACTTGTTGATTATCTACTGAGTAGATACTTGGGAGGAATAGGAGGCAATGGGAAACCTGGGAAAGTTTTGTAACATTCCCTGTCTGTCTGAAAGCATGTTGTGCAGGGACATGAAAATCATGAAATGAGACTGGAAAGCCAGTTGGATGCACGTAACAAAGGTATTTCTGAGGCTGGCTAAGGAGTTCAGACGCTATGATATAGACAACGAGGAGTCTCAGGGAGATGGTACCATCAGATTTGCTAACTAGGAGGTCATTCTTAGCTCAGTATGCAAGGTGAACTGGAAGTGGTTGATAAGACCAGAAGCAGAAAGATCAGTCAAGAGGCTGTGGGAAATGTACAAGGAGAGAGAGGATGAGGACCTGCCAAGGGCAGAGGCAGACACAGAGGAATGCAGCAAGAGGCATTGGTATTTGACACACATGACTTAAGAGACTTGGCCAAGCAGACTAAAACCCAACAAAACAATATACAACTCCCTGCCCCCAAAGCTGTATTTTATTCAGCTATTGTTAATAACTGATTTGATTTGATCCATTCCGTTTTACAACCCCTGTCTCCTGCAATTGTCTGGCCCTGGTAACAATTTTATTGGAGCATAAGAGGCACATTATAAATACATTTTATATTGCACATTGTATTTTAAGCAAATTCGAGACATCTCTGATTAGGTGCCTTTCCAACGATAGCCTTGTTCAGACAGATAATTGCGTGCTGATTTTTATTTTATTTCATTTTATTATTTTTTTCAGCTTTGTTCTCTCCCCCTTGGCAAAGCTGCAATCTTGCATACACACGTCAGTGGATAAAAACCCTTGAAAATAACTCTTCAGAAGAAATCTAATTTACTTTTTAATCTGGCTCGGAAATTTGCCAGAAAAATTTCCACCGACAAGCACTGCCATTTATTACCACTTATCACACACCCGGGCTGTGCTCTCGCTTCTGATGGGGCTAATGTAACAGAGGAGGAATCTTCTGATACATTATTTATTTGATACAATCCCACCCAGATAAGATCTATGGGCAGGAGAGGACGAAGTTTGACCTTATCCTTCGTCTAAGGGAAAGTAAAGGATCTTCCCTTTTGCTTGTTCAAGGAACAAATTCACCTCTCTCCTGCCCTTGTAAGGGCTCAGCTTTCCTGAGAGCCCGGGGCCTGTCACCCCACAGAGATCATGCTTTGACTTTGTTTTCATCCCCTGGGATCTACACCACCCACACCTGTATGCTTGTGTTTGAACTTGAAATGATTTTCAAGAATTTCATGCATATTCCGATTGGCTTCTTAGGGACAGAGACCAGAGTGGCATTTAGAAACAGGCCTACCCAAGCTTAATGTGAGGTGGCCCCATGTCGAGAAACAAATATGCTATAGCTGGCTTGTGACCTTGGGCCAGTAATTTAACCTCTCCAGGGTCCTCAACTGTAATTTGTAGGAGGGAATCTCTACAACTTTATCCAGCTTTTGTGGTCCATGGAGGCAGCAAGGCTTTAAGGAGAACAGAGGACTCGGGTCAGAAGACCTTGTGCTAGAATTCTGGCTTTGCAGCTTCCTGGATGAATGATTTTTCTGTAAGTTGACATCTCTGAGCCCTTACTTGATGATGTGTCCACTGGGGATAATAACTCTTCCCCTGCTGACCTCAGAGTTATTACGATGATAACGAATATGGAAGCTTTGCAAACAGTGAAATATATAAATGTATAATTAATTGTGAATCAATTCATTAATTAGTGAAAACACATTATGAGATATTTGCAGAACCCACTCAAAGGGAAAATGGAAGTCAGGCTGGGAGGAGTCAATGGAGCTTCTTACATGCCTGTCTCCAACCTCAACTGACAGATTCCCTAGGCCATCCCCAAGCAAAAGGAGTCCCCCTGCTCTCTGCTGCTCAGCAAAGGGTCTGAAAGCTCCTGACAGACATCCCCAGAGTCCCCCCAGAGCTCCCAGGACCCTCAGAACTGGGATTCTACCTATACCCCTTCCCTTAATTCCTTTGAAATAATGAAGGAAAAAGGTATTTGAACACTGAACAGGGTTGAAATCTTGGGTTGGCTGTGAACACACTGAAATCTATGTGAATTTTTTTCACTTTCCTGGGCCTTTTCCTTCATCTACAAAATGAAGCAAGTAGCCCACACCTCATGGGGTTGTGATGAGTCAATGGCGTAACCTCACCTGTCCGTCATTGGCCTATTAAGTTCCAGGAGAGGTCCTGGTTCTTATTTATGCTTGCACCCTTAGTGCCTAGCACAAGGTCTGCCACACAGGAAGGATTCAACCACTGCCTGTTAAATGGATGAATGGATGAATGAACAAATGAATGAATGAATGAATTACTGCAATATACAGTGGTCGGGGTCATGAAATGAAGAAAATATGCACAATATTCTTGACCTGGAAGAATAGAATCTGGAGTCCTAAATCCATTTTGAAATTTTTACCTCCTCCTAAATCTCGCCTTCTACTTCTCCAGTCTTCTCCCACTCTTGCTCCCCTTTCCCATCCTCTTGACTTCCAGAATGTTCCACCCCCAACCGCCCCCTTTTTCTCTCCTCAGGAATGAGTCTTCTCAGCCAGTGGGTTGGCAGTGAGCTGCCCATAAAACTTTTTCCCTGTCTCCCTGCTTTTTATGTTCTCTTCTCAGAGCTATGCCTCCTGCGGGAAGAGTAAATATAGAAAAATGACAACATGTACATTAATGCTCGTTAGAATGTCATCATTATACTCTGCAAAGTGTCTGCCGAGGGGGTCCCTAAAGGACACTTAGAAATGAAGCAGCTGCTCTAGATTTGTTCCAGCTCACATCTCGAAGAAATGACATTGAGATAAATGCAGGCTGGAGGGATAGGACTGAGCCGGCCCTCTTTGGAGAAGGGGAAGATGGTGAAGAGAGAACTCACACATTCCGCAAAGCACTCAGAACAGCAAGTGCAATGGACATACAGAGCGTGAGCACATACAGGGAGCAGGAGCGGGCTCTGTGATGCAGGCTGGTTTGCTTAAACCCAGAGGCTCACTGTCTAGGTAGGGAAATGGTAGGCTAAGGGAATGCGCACCTCAATCTTAGCATGACCAGCCTCTGAAAGGATCACCCATCTCTTCATCAAAAGTGACAATCAAGCTATACTATGGAAAGAGAAAAGCATTATTCTACTTACTTTATTACTAGCAGTAACTGGGAAGAGTTCGCTGAGGGAAGGGGAGGCAATGTGAAAACAAAGTTTTGAATCTACCCCTAAGGGAATGAATAAACACTACCAACTAATATCCTTCTCTATTCTGCTCATCCACTCAAGACACTCTGAGATCAATAAGACTCCCCTCACTCCCACTGCCCCCCACACACTCTTGTCAACAACTAGTAAGTAGTGAGTAGCTGTCCCGGCACTCCAGGCCTAGCCAAGTACTTTAGTTTTCTTTATCTCACCATCCTGAAAAAGCAGGTGTCAAGGGTTGTGAGGCCCCCCAGAGATCTTATTTTAATGAAATTTTTGTTTTTGTCATACAGAAAGAAAACTGAGCCCAAGCTATAAATTACTATTCTAAGTCCAATAAATTCATACCATTAGTGCCATCAACTATGGTTTTTCATGGCCCTTTAAATTTGCACAGAGCTTTCCCGTTTATTACTATATTGGATTCTCATTCCTATTCTCTGAAATAATTAGGGTAAGTCCTATTATCCCTATTTTATAGCTGAGGAAACCAAGGAACACAATTTTCAATTATATATACATGCAAATATATAGCTAGGGTATTAATAGTATACCCTGCATCTTGGTGAGAATACCTTCAAAAGAGACACACGCACAAATAGACGTCAACACTTATACAGAAGGCACAAGATCCTAGGCTCCAACAAATTCAGTAAGCCCCAGTTAACTCAACCTGCCATGAAAAAGACATGTCAGAGACGTAGAACTGCTCTTCCTGCCTGATCGGGGCACAGCAACCCCCATGGAACAAGAAAGGATAAGGTAAGCCCAGCAACTTCTGGAGCCTGCCATACTCAACTCAGGTTACTGGTCTCTACTTAATCTACCAGCCAAGGAAGGATCACAGTAAGAGAGAATTATGCAGGAACCATGTTTTAGAAAATGAATGTGCTGACTCTGTTCTCCCACTCCCCAGCTGTGACCAGTCTTCAGTCTCTCTGAGCATCAACTTCCTCATCTGTAAAATGGGAGACTATATCCTGCCACTTACAAAGTTCCTGAGACTGCTGGTTGCTATTCAGGCCTGGATTTAGCACACTCAGAGAACAGAACTCACTGAAATGCTAACCATTGCTTTCTAAATAAATGGACCCAACTGTGTTTGTACATGCATATTGCCTGTCACCCCCATCCCTCCTCTTTCTCCAGGACTCAGAAGGCTGGAGCTAAAGGTGAATGATCTTTAGACTCCACTGCCTTTTCCTACTATAGCCAATCACTGGTTTGCATGACTCCTTGTTGTAACTGATTGAATGCCTCTATGTACCAGAGAGGATGCAAAGTTGTAGTATTCTGATCTCTGCCCCAGAGGTCTTATGGTCTCATGAGATGGTCAAGTCACCTAAATTCCCTAAGCATCAGCCTTCTTATATATAAAGTGTGGATAGTAGTAATGCCTTCCTTCCAGGGTTGTTGTGAGAATTAGATGAAATTAGGTGTGTAAAGTCCTTGGTACAATGCCTACACACAGTACAGTCTCATTATTCTTATTATTAATTGCAACAAATATTATAGAAGGGACATTTATACTAGAGCTATGGATAAGATGTGCTATGGGAGATCCAAAGACAGAATGGAGCTATATCTGTACTCTGTGGTCTGTTACTAGAGAAAATAGGTGAGAAAAAGAAACGAAACATATGACTTTACATCATGAGAAGACACTCTCTTTACTCTTACTGGATATGGCCAGTAGGTGAGAAGGAATCCTCTTTGGCCATCATCAACCCCTCAAACACACAACACCAGTTACTGTAAGTGGAGAAAGGTAGCATGGGCTCCACATGCACAGAACAATCTGCTTGAGAAGGCTGTGTAAGTGGAGAGGAAGAAGGAAGGCTCTCTGGGTGCAGTTAACTGCCTCTGAGAAGGAACATTGTCATTTTGCAGGGATTTGCCAAACTGGAGGGGGAGTACCGGTAGTGGGAAGAGCAGGATATGGGGCCAGAAATGTAGATTTGGGTTTTGGGGTTTTGTTTGTTTGTTTGTTTGTTTCAAAATTCTGCTTGTGATTATATAACCTTGGGAAAAGAGGAAAAGAAGACAAGAGTCAAATTTTAATCACAGTAAAGACTTTGATAACTACAGTCTTCAGACCAGAAATGATTTTAACTTCTGGTGTTATTAAAATAAATTACATTAAACAATAAGTTAGCCCTGTTTCTAATATGTTATATGAACAAGTAATGAGAAGTAAGCTCCAATTTTGAGCTAATAGTCATAAAGCAGATGGAATCTGAAAAACATGTTTCAAGTTGATACAAGAAGAAATGAAAAACATTACATGGCTAAACTGATCATAGCATGGGGATGCCCCTTTGCACATCCTGCCTGGTCATAGGATGGCTCAGGGTGAATGCCACTTCTCTGCTTCTCCCCTAACAGCCGCATCTGTTGCAGTCACATCTGTACCAAGAAAGGACACCCAGACAGAGTATCCTGCCTTGAGACCAAGAGTAGAAAATTAGAGGGAAAGAGCCGTTCTGCCTCACTGTCCTTTTTTGATCAATACACCTTGTTAAATAAGTCTATTTGGAGAGCTTAGTGTTGAGCACCTACTTCTGTGGGTAAGAAAGAATCAAGATATATTATTGCCTCAACCTTTTTTTTTCTTTCTCTAGCTGCCTCAGCTGGTTGTCTGGATTAGCCCAGGACAGATCACAGAGGGTACTGATGCCGGCTGATTAGCTTGGACACATAGAGGAATTCAAAGAACAGAGACTAGGGTTACAGGAAGGTATTCAGAAGGTAGGGGTGGTGGAAGTGGACTCAAGAGGACAGGAGCTGCTCTTTTGCAGCAAAAGCTTTTTTTGTGCCAGAACTAAAGGGCACAGGTGTCAACAGGAGCCCCTTCCTTTAAATCCTTCCCTGGCTTTAATTCAGCCAGATGGAGCTGGCTTCTAATTCAGCCAATGTTTACTGAGTATCACCATGTGCAGCATGCAGAGATGAGTAAGACGTGGCCATGGCCTTCACAATCAAACTGGGGAAGTGGATGTGTAAACAGCAAAGTATCACACAATAAGGAAAATACCATTCAAAGGTGTGTACAAAGGATAAGTAAGTCTGCTTGGAGCAGTGAGGAAGAGGAAATGGTACTTAAGGTGATTCTTGAAATAATTAATAATTAATAGGAGTTTGTAAAATGGAGAGGTGTTTCTAGATTCGCTGTGCACCTCTCTCCCTCAGCATATGCAGGTACTCACTGTCCTTCTGTTGGAGAAGTTATATTTGGGATAAGAATCCAGTGCTTTCCCTTCTCTTGAGACTTTTTAAAGGCTCCTCCTGCCATGTGTCTATAATGCAAAAGACTAGGACAATGACTAAAATTTCTGGAGGGAGAAGAGCCACTCCTCACTCACTTTTACCAATTAGGTGTGGCCTCTTTGAGTGAAAGGAGGACTCTTCCTCTTTTTGCCATCTAAATTCTTACTTTTCTATTTTACTCTGAGGTTTACATAATTATGTCTCTTTTATGTGCTTGGAAGGAAGTTGCTGTTTGAATTGATCCTTCTCTGGGAGCCCCCATATGGATGGCTTTCTCTCTCTTTCTTTCTATGGTGTTAGTACCAGGAATTCTACGAAAAATTTCTTCATCCTCCTTTGTGCAGCTATTGCTTCCCATCATTCTTTTGTTCATCCAACACATATTTATTGAACACCATCCATATGCCTGGTCTGGGAGCTAGGAATACAACAGTGAAAAAACAAAATAAGTCCTTGCTCTTATAAACTTTACAGTCTGGTGGAAGAGATAGACCATAAATCATTAAACAAGTAAATATATTAACATATTGTCAGGCAGTCATAACTAAGTTCTTATGAAGAAAAACAGCAAAAAATGATATCCAGAATGTTGGGCAGGGGATTATGAGGTTACAAGTGTCTCTCTGAGGAAGTGACATTAGAGCAGAGAAGAGAATGAAGTAAGAGGAGAGGGGAAGGTTAATGGCTACTGGGAAGATGTTCCAGGAAACAAAGATGGAAAGTGGGAATATTCTTAGTATAGCTGATGAACAGACAGGAAGAGTGTGTGGCTGGAGTGAAGTGAGTAAAAGGAAGAGTGGTCATTAATAAAATCACCAGGACAGGGTAATTTAAGGTCCTGTAAGCTGTGTAAAGATCTAGGGTTCTATTCTACTTAAGAGAGATGCCTTTGGAGTGTCAAGGAGGGACATGCTACAGCGTATATCCTGAAGCTTCACGCTGGCTGCTCTATTCAGAATAGATGGGAGTGCGACAAGACAGGAGACTCATTAGGGCCTGGTATAGTAAGTTGAGCAACTACTGATGGCTTGAACTTGAGAGAGGGTAGGGAAGGTGTTGACAAGTGGTCATGGAAGATATTTTGATGGAAGAGCCACTCAGGCTTATTTAAAAAATTGGATGTAGAGAATAGAAGCATCATAATCTGTTTTGTGTTGCTACTGCAGAATACCACAGACTGGGTAATTTATAAAAAAAAATAAAGAAATTTATTTCTCAGAGTTCTGGAGGCTAGGAAGTCTAAGATCAAGGTGTTGGCATCTTGTGAGGGCTTTCTTGATGCCGCATCTTGTATGGAAGTTGTGAGAATAAGAGAGGTTGACAGGAAGGGGGCTGGACTTAGCCTTTTATCAGGAATCCACTCCCACAATAGTGACATTACTCATGAGTGTGGGGTCCTCATGCCTAATCACCTCTTGAAGTTCCCACCTTTCAGCACTGTTGCATTGTAAATTAAGTTTCCAACCCACATAAACTTTGGGGAACACATTCAAACCACAGCATTGAGAAAGATAAAAGTTAGGTTTGACTATGACTTTCAGACAAAGCAACTGAGTGGTAGTATCATCTAATGAGTTTAGACTGAGTGGAAAAGCAGGTTTAGGGTGTGGAATTGATGAAAGCAAGCTTGATTTGGGAGATTTTTATTAGACATTCAGTTGGTGACATTAAGTATGTGAAGGAAATATGGTCTGATGACTTCAAAGAGTTGGGCACTTTTAGGAAAGAGGATGAATAACTCTAAACACAGCTCTGAGGACAAAAGAAAGCACATACTCCAGCACCAAGCCTGGTAGTGTGGGGGAGTAGGAGCAAAAAGCCAATGTTTGAATGGGTTTTAGTGGAAAACAAAGTCATCAGGGAAGAGGATGGTTTAGTTAGAGCAAAATGGCAATAGATCTGTTAAAACAAGAGATTGAAGATTCAGGAGATTTTGTCACAGACAGAGCACAGTTCCACAGGGCTCAGTGGAAGACTTTGCAATGCAAGTGATGAGGCAAGAGGGAATCCATGAGCTTCATGCATCATGAATATGGAAGGAGTCTTAAGGCAATAAGATGAGTCATCTGTCCACTGGACCTCTTACCTCCAGGCAGTCTCTCCCTAGCACAGCATGTGTCTGGAGTCTGCAAACACTAGTTTCTCTACAATTCTTAAGGGAGTAATGATAGAACAACATAAGGGAGAGACCCCTGAATGAGGCCACTGAACAATTCCAAATATCCACTTCTAGGACACAAGTTCTGGGCTTATCAAGTGCATATCAGAACCCACTTGATAATAAAGGCCCTGATATTTATGGCTACACCCTGTTCTCACTAGTCTGTTTTCCTAAATGCCCCAAGGCAAGTGGTCTCCCCTTCCCAAGCTGGGGAAGGGAATATGGTTAGACCAAGTTCTATCCCAAGTCTTGTGGACAGAGGTTGAAAACACAAAACCACAAACTTAGAAGAGCTAACAAAAGATTACAATATATAGCAACTGCAAAGAAAAGTACCATTTTAGGGCACTGAAAGATGGGGCCCAACAGACAGGCCAAATCGTCAATCAGTCTGTAGGTGTAGAGAAATGGAAAGCTCACTGCAGTCATAGGGTAGCCAGTAAAGGCCACGGAGAAGGTGGGTCTCAAAGAGGTCCCCCAAAATGAGGGCATTCATTCAATCACCTGGAGCAGTGGCTAGGAGGCCGCCTGCCTGGATCTGCAGCCATCAATTCAGCAGTGTGCCTCTGAGTGAGAAAGAACCATTTACTCCTTATCATTATCCTTAATAATTCTAAATCAGGTGGTGATGAAAAACCAACTCAAAGCTCATTTCAAAGGGATGTAGAAAGGGGGAGAAAAACACATCAGAAAACAAATTCATCTTCTCCACACAGAGACAAAGGACTGGGGCTTGGTCCAGAGCTACAAAGACTGATCCTTTCAAGGCTGAGCTAGTTTTTCAAGACATTCAAGTCAAGTAGTGATAAAAATCCCACTATTCACTGTTATATTAATGGCTTCTCCACTATATGCAGATGCGTAAAAGCATCATATCTTTATTTGCATTTCTTTTTCTATTGCCTCCAGCTCACTGAATTTCTCCCTTATCTGCCAAGAAATGTCTACTTTCAAGGTATTCTTTCATTTCCTCATGCCATTGGCTGTCAAACGACTTAATAACTTGCCCATCATGGGAGTCAAATATAGTTTATTAAAAATGCATGTCTCACTCAATAAGATGCCCTTTGGTGGTCTTCAGACCTTGACGACTCTGTCTCAAAGCTCGGGAATGCAGAATGGTCTTGGCTGGCCAGCTGCACTGCCTTGCTTTGTATCATGCCTGCTGCCCAGATTATGCTGAGCCAGACCAAGAAGGGAGGCAGGAACTGTCCAAGGAGGGGGCAGAATTGGGCTACTTGTCTGACTTGTCTGACTAGGAAATGGGACCTAGGCCTGAGAACCCCAAGTTCCTGAGGGTTTCCAAGTCATCTGGCCAGGTCCCAGGGAAGGAATACAGGATAGGCCTGGTACCCTGAGAGAGGAAGGAGGGGGGCCTCTTAGGAAGGAATGGCATCAAAGCAGGAGTGGGCTGTGTCAAGTCAGTGCACTGGAATGATGAATCATGCCTGTGATGGCTCACATAGCAAGGCTACATCGCTATTTACAGGGGCTAATGAGGCATCTGCAGTCACAAATTCACAGAGTCAGAATGCTATGGTGGCTGAGGAGAAAGCAAGAAGCTAAAAACACAAAGGGAACTGGAGGTCACCTTTTCCATCGTCTGCCACAAGGAAGGACACCACCAAAACCATTCCATCTAGATAAGTTGACCCTTTTCCAAAACTGTCTTAGAGCAGCCCCATAACCTCTCTGGGTAATGTTTCCCAGCTGCTCATGGATCTCCTAGCCAGATCCCCATGGCTTCAGCTAATCCTTCACTCTTTACTTTTGCTACATATTTTTTTGTTCACATGAAAACAGCTGTATATGCCTCACCCTATACTGCAACCCTTCACCTACTTGCAGACTCTACTCAGTCCCCACTTAGTCTCCTCTCCTTGATGCCAATGAATCCCAAAATGTTTTGCAAGAGTATTTTTTCATTGATCTCCCCTAAATTGTTGTTTCTGGTTTTTCACTGGCTTATTAAGTGGTATGCCACATTGAACTCAGTCTACTCAGGAACACCCAGGTCTGCAGAAACAGGTGAAACACTCCAGTTTTTCTGCAGAACAGAAAGTAGATGCCACTCCTAGAGCAGAGACTTGGGGCTGCAGGAAGACCAAGAGAAGAGACAAAGGGGTTGATGGTAGGAAAGTGTTGCATACTCTACAGGAAGAGGGTCTGGAATCTCCCCCAGGGGAAAGACAAACTTGGCTATATGAGTGCATGAGGGGAAGATATCGACAGGATGAGGGAAAATAATGAGAAAGAAAAACAAAAGGAAAGAAACAGGGCTGGAGTTAGGTCATGAGACAAGACAAAGTGATATGGCTTGGCTGTGTCCCCACCCAAATCTCATCTTGAATGGTAACTCCCACAATTTCCATGTGTCATGGGAGGAACCCAGTGAGAGATAATTGAATCATGGGGGTGGGTCTTTCCTGTGCTGTTCTCATAATAGTGAATAAGTCTCATGAGATCTGATGGTTTTAAAAAGAGGAGTTTCCCTGCACAAGCTCTCTCTTTGTCTGCTGCCATCCATGTCAAATGTGGCTTGTTCCTTCTTGCCTTCCACCATGATTGTGAGACTTCCCCAGCCACATGGAACTGTAAGGCCATTAAACCTCTTTCTTTTGTAAATTGCCCAATCTTGGGTATGCCTTTATTAGCAGCGTTAAAATGGACTAATACAGTAAATAGATGAAAAAAAGTGTTGGGGAGAAGGAGATGAATAAAGGGGGAGCTGGAATAAGGTCAAGAGCCAGAGAGAAAGATAAAGACCAGAGGCCAGGGAGGAAATAGAAGGAGAAGGGTGAGTAAGGTGAGCCCTCGAACAGGGGGACAAAATCCATGGTTAGGAAAAGTGAAGGCAGAGCAAGGGTCTCTGCCTGGTCAGTCCAGGGAGAACTGCTGATCCTCTGTTGAGACCACCACCAGGAGAAATGCCCCAAGTCAAGCAGCTGGAAAAGCAGTGCACCAAGTTCCATTGCCTTGAACTTCCTTATCACCTGAAGTGGAGTGGGTCTAGGGGGGCAGAGGTAGTAAGGCACTGAGGTAGCATGGCCATGGCTGTGTCATGACCATCTCCTACCAGAAACCTCGGGAGACTGAGAAAATGAAGGGCAATGGGAAAGAGAGAAATAGAGGCCCACAGACAGAGACCTTGAGAGCAAGAAAGAGGGAGAAACAGAAGCCAGGACAGAAAAGAGAGGAATATAGAGGGATGGCAGAGAGTCTGATAAGAATGGGAAACATGACAAGAATGATTGGGAAATCAGAAGGGAAATTGAGAGAGATGTCAGAGATTGAGAGGATAGTGTGAGAAAAGGAGGTCGAGAGAGAGGAAGGAGAAAGACAGGGAGAGAGAGAAGATATACAGCATGGAGACAGAGCTGCAGAAAATGGAATCGGTTCTAATTCTGAACCTTTGCCAACATCTGAACTTGCTATTCTGATATCAGTTTTTCATCTGTCACTAAGACAAGCTGAAAGAGCTAAACTTTAGGTTTTCTTGATTATACAATGTTCCATTTTGATATGTAGCAAGGATAACTTCTCTGGATTCCTAAATGAGCCAAATACAATTAGAAAAAGAGAGAAACGGAAGAGAGATGGGGCAGGGAAGGTATATACTATACCATGAAGGATGAGGACTCCAGTTGTTTAGTTTCACCCTGCAGGGCTGAAGGAGATTCTTCCTTATGTATTAGTGTCACTCCTTGGGAGCACGGGGGTCAGCATCACATGAGGACATCAGTTGCCCTGGAGGTTCCCAGGCTGGCCTAACTGCCTGCAAAGTCTCCCTGTTACCTCTCTTGTTTTTGCCAAATGCCAGGTCAGGGATCTAATTTTACCACGACCTCATGCAGGTGATTTCTGCCCACGCAGATGATTTCAGTCTACCTGAGAGAAGCCAGGGTTGAGCTGGGTTAATGGGGAGCGGGCCAGGAATCCTGGGCCCCTAATCACCAGCTTCCACAGAAAACCTCACCAATGCCTGCAGCTTTTTAATTTGCAGAGCCGACTTTAGGACTCACTGGGGTGGTGCCGCCCAGAGAAGAGGCACAGAGGGAGGACAAGGAGATGGCAGCATGCTCCACTGCACTTCTCCCCAGAATGCAATGTGACACGAGACATCGGGAGATGGCAGTGAAAGTTCAAGGGAAAAACACACAGTTATTTATGGCTCGGGCATCTGTTGTCAGATCAGAAACAGAGACCTAATCTAAGACAAATCCAGCAGCCTGTACCAGAGCAGATGGGGAGGTGTGTGCAATGCTCAATCCTGTTCAATCCTCAATTTATTATTATTCCTCATCTCCAGATCCCATCTCCAAAGGAGACATTTGTCCTGGCTACCATGCCAGGAGCCCCAGTGGGTGGATAGGGGAATGAAAGTGTCCTTCTGCTGCATAGGTGGTTATTTCCATTGTGTGGCTTGGAGCCTTCCATGTGAGAAGAGAAGGTTTTGGCAAAATCCAAAAAGGAGACAATGAAAAAGGGAGCAAAAGGAAAATTCCAGCCCAAGAAAACCACAGGCTGAATGGAAACGGGATTGGCCTCAAGTCCAGAGATTAAAGACTCCAATCTTCTCTTGTCCTACCTGCTGAGTGACCTTGGGCAAGTCATTTTACCTATCTGAGTGTCCTTTTCGGCCAAATGTTTGAGATTTTGTAATTGTGCATTCCCAAAATTGCACACAGATGCCTGTTAAACCCGAGTGCAAATGAAAACATACAAAACGTGGAGTCAAGAGATCTGGGTTGATAGGGCTCCTCAGCTCTCTGCTCTCTCCCACATCTGGGGGTCCTGGGGGAAAGGGATTTGGGGAGGCAGCAGGGCCCACACAACCACTCTTGCTTCCCATCTTGTTTGTCCCCACAGTCACGAGAAGCAGCCACACTGAGGACAGCAGTGGAGGCCAAGGTAGTGGAGGGGGTACACCCCAGTGGCCCCCTTCCGGTAGCCTCCCTCCATAACTGAGTGGTCCACATATTTGCACTACGGGTTCCCCAGCTCCTTTCCAGGGAGAGAAGACAGGAGGTCCTGAGGGGTCTGCGGCCCCTCTCTGGGCATCCCTGAAGAGTCAGGACTGCTCCCTGGGCCAGGCTGCACTGAGAGCCCCCTGAGTCCAGCCAGCCCGGGCTCTCGGGCCCTGTACCTGCCTCAGGTCTTTCTTGCTGCAGCCTTCTCCAGCCCGGCTTCCACCCCTGGGGCAGGCGGCCCCTCCTGCCTTCTCCTGCAGGGCACCTCCCTACCTTACAACTCTCCAGGAAATGGTGCTCTCCTGCCCTGCCTCTGGCCCTACTCGGGCCACTGCCCCCTCAGCCATGTGGCACTTCTGGGCTCCTGACCTAGGCCAGGGGGAGGTTTCTGCCCCCTTCCCTCACCCTGGGCTACCCTTGGGCCCTGCTCCTCAGGCCACTCCCCGACCCCTGACCCTGGGGAGGAGACTGCCCTGGTCACGGCTGCCTGTGAGTCGTTCCTGACTCATCACTGTCCCCAGGTATACCATTCCTGCCCTCTCCTCAGCTGCAGTTGAAGGCTTTAATTTTGCACACTTGGGGATCACAGTTGCATCATTGTGTATTAACTAATCAGAATAAATCAAGCAGGTCTCAAAAAAAAAAAAAAAAGAGATCTGGGTTGAAGTTCTAATTGTTAAGTACTAGCCTAGTAATCGAAGGCAAAACACCTTTCCCTGCTGGCTCTTAATGGTCATAAAAGGCATGGGTGTGTTACGGGCACTTTCCTACTCTAAAAACTCCACAATTATTTAATGTGTGAGAAGAAAACCTGAAAATTATTAGAAGATGGCAAAATGAAAGAAGTCTGAGAAATTCAGATGCAACCCCTGATCTATGTTAGGTACTCAATGTATCTTGGTTGAATGAGCGAAGTCAGCCTCATTGGTGACTTTGGTGATTTCTGGGTCCCTGGCTTGTTGGGCCCAGTCCTGTCATGCATTGCAGACTCTTAGCCCCCAGTGAGGCAGGTAGACCCATAGCCTACCCTACCTCACCCTGGGAGCAATCCATCTATCTCACAAGACTTCTCACATTAGCATATGCCTGTCTCCAAGAGCAATCTACAGTAAGAGGGCAGAGGGAGAAAGAGGGAGAGAGGATGGGAGCTGCCTAGAGGAAGGAGACTGTTAAGACAAGGCTTGGAGGGCCTCGATTTGAATCTCCATGCCTGTACTGATTAAGCTGCTTTGCAAGATTTTTTCAGAAGGTGCTTTAATCTCAGGAGACACCTTATTTTGCCCATTTGAGATGCACCGTCTCAACTGAAAATATGCATCAATAAGCCCTATATGTTTCATTAAAAAGCAGAATTACATTTCCTAACCTGCCCATTTATACTTTGGTCAGTGTCCACTTACACTTTGGTCAGTGTCATTCAGAAGGCAATGCCTTCTCAGGGCCTGAAGCAGCTAAAGTGAAGGGGCTCAGCTTCCCTGAGAGAGCAGGACAAATAGACTTTCTCCTTGATCTAACTGCAGGCACACTCGCTGGGAGCTCTGGCCCCAGGAGGGCTACGTGTATGTGAAAACTGGGTAGTCTGATATAGTAATAATGATACATAAAGACCTGGAGCAAAGCTTCAGGTAGACAGATGTTTTGATTGACTAGACACAGGAGTCTTTGTTGCCAGTGCCTGAGAGAGGGTGGGTGAAGGGATAATCACATTTCAGCCCCCATTCTCGGGGGCTGCCCACTACTGCACCTCACCTGGGTGTTTTGCATTCCTCTGACAACCCAGGCAATCAGAAAGGACTTAAGGCTGCCAAGTAGTCCTTGTTAGTTAGCATTTGCAAGTGACCATGCAAGACCTCACTTTTCCCCAAGCTTTATTCCTTCCCTGGGGTATCTACCTGGAAGGGAAAAAAAGATATGATCTGTTGTCCCTAAATAAGGCCTGTCTGGGAAGTCTCTGGGGGTGCCTTTTGTGTTGAGACCAGAGGTCTTTCCTATGGTCCAGCCAGTACCTCTGAGCAGAGAGAAGTAGGGGAGCTAGATCTCATCACCCCAGGCTACAAGGCAGAAGCTTCTGAGGAAGACAGTGTCCACGTCTGGTAAGATGATGAGATGGGGCCTGTTTGCAGTCCTAGGCAGGCTCTTTCCACAGCCTGAAACTCTGCAGTTGATTTTGCCTATGTTGGCATCTGTTTGTAGCTTTCACCAGTGAGATGCGCCCTGTTTGCAGTCCTAGGCAGGCTCTTTCCACAGCCTGAAGCTCTGCGTTGATTTTGCCTATGTTGGCATCTGTTTGTAGCTTTCACCAGTAATGTCTGTCAATGGACTCATTATCATCAAGGATAAGAGATTAAGAAATTATGAATGTGTAGACACTTTTGTTTGCATCTAATGGTTTCTGTATTTAATGGTTTATTTTATTGATGACAACTGTCCTCATGTGCACTTTATAAAGTACAAATTGGACTTGTAGTTACTCTTATTTGAAGTTTCTCACCTCTATTATCTTTGACTTTTAACCACCCCTAATGAGGATAATAGTCATTGTTCAGATAAATAGATGATAGATATAGATAGATAGATAGATAGATAGATAGATAGATAGATAGATAGATAGAGATAGATAAAAAGAAAGAAATAATAAGGTCTCCAAGGTAGCAAGGGCTTTGGAAATTATGTCTATTAAAGGAGCTCATGATGTGTAGCCTGGAAAAGAGAGTTTAAGTGGGACATGATAGCTGTCAAGATTAGAATTACATTCTTTTATTTTTTTCTTCTCACTTTTGTCAAGTCTCTACTGTTTTATAAAATCTTTCATTTTAGGCTCAGGGATAATGTGCGGGTTTGTTTTATAGGTAAACTTGTGTCATGGGGGTTTGTTTTACAGATTATTTTGTCACCCAGGTTCTAAACATGGTAGCCAGCAGTTATTTTTTTCTGCTCCTCTCCCTCCTTTCACCCTCCCCTCTCAGGAAGGCCCCAGTGTCTGTTGTTTCCACCTTTGTGTCCATGAGTTCTCATTATTTAACTTCCATTTATAAATAAGAACATGCAGTATTTGGTTTTCTGTTCCTGCATTAGTCTGCTAAACATAATGGCCTTCGGCTTCATCTATATTCATTCAAACACCATGATCTTGTTCCTTTTTATGGCTGCATAGTATTCCTTAGTGCTTTATCTAATCTGTCATTAATGAGCGTTTAAGTTGATTCCATGTCTCTGCTACTGTGAATGGTGCTGCAGTGAATATTCACGTGCATGTGTATTTATGGTAGAATGATTTATATTCCTCTGGGTATAACTCAGTAATGGGATTGCTGAGTTGAATGTTAGTTTTGTTTTTAGCTCTTTGAGGAATCACCGCACTGCTCTCCACAGTGGTTGAACTAATTTACGTTCCCATCAACAGTATGTAAGTGTTCCCTTTTCTCAGCAACCTAGCCAGCATCTGTTATTTTTTGACTTTTTAATATAGCCATTCTGATTAATGTGAGATGGTATCTCATTGTAGTTTTGATTTGTATTTCTCTAATGATCAGTGATATTGAGCTTTTTTCATGTGCTTGTTGGCCACATGTATGGCTTATTTTGAAAAGTGTCTGTTCATGTCCTTTGCCCACTTTTTAATGGAGTGGTTTGGGATTTTTTTGTAAATTTGTTTAAGATCCTTATAGGTTGTCTGTTTACTCTGTTGATAGTTTCTTTTGCAGTGCTGAGGTTCTTAAATTTAGGTCCCATTTGTCAATTTTTGCTTTCATTGTGATTGCTTTAGGACTCTTCGTTGTGAAATTTTTGCCCATTCCTATGTTCAGAATGGTATTGCCTAGGTCATCTTCTGCGGTTTTTTAAGTTTTGGGTTTTACATTTAAGTCTTTAATCCAACTTGACTTGATTTTTGTATGTGGTTGTAAGGATGGGGTCTAGTTTCAATCTTCTGCATATGGCTAGCCAATTATCCCAGCACTATTTCTTGAATAGGGGGTCCTTTCCCCATTGCTTCTTTTTTTCAGCTTTGTCAAAGATCAGATGCTTATATGTGTGCGATCTTATTTCTGGGCTCTTTATTCTGTTCTTTTGGTCTATGTGTCTGCTCTTGTACCACTACCATGCTGTTTTAGTTACTATAGCCCTGCAGTATAGTTTGAAGTCAGGTAATGTGACGTCTCCAGGTTTGTCCTTTTTGCTTAGTCTTGCCTTGGGTATCTAGGCTCCTTTTTGGTTCCATATGAACTTTAAAATAGTTTTTAGAATTATATTCTTAAAACTATTTGTGAAATTGTGAAGTATAATACACATGTAGAAAAGTATGGAAAATAAATATATAGCTTAACCTATCATTAAGAAAGAAATTCATGTAACCATCACCCCCTCAAGACAAGATACATAGCATTGCCACCCTCGTCCACACCTTGCCTTCTCTACTGCACCATATTTTGGCCCTCAGTGGTAATCACAACCTCACAGTTGTGTCTTCTATGGCAATTAACTTTTTAAAATTTTGCTAATAGATTATCATCTAAATATGCAACCCAAACAATATATTTTTGCATTTTTGAATTGTATATAAATGGAGATGTATCTTATACTAACTTCCTTTGCTCAACATTGTGGGTTTTTAAGATTTATCCATGTTGTTTCTTGTAATTACGGTTTGTTCATTTTTGTTAGTGTATAATATTTCCCTTGCATTAACATACCATAATTTATTAATCCAACCTAATGTTAGTAAACACTTGGGCTTTTTCCAATGTGAGGCCGTTAAACTGACAGTGCTGCTATGAGCAGCATCATTTGTGTATCCTGGTACACATGAGCAGCCATGGGGTAAATATCCAGGAGGAGCATTTCTGGGTCATAGAGTTTGCATATCTTCAGCTTCATCAGATGACACTAAACACTATTTTTCAAGCTGATTGCTCCAATTTACTATTCCACTAGCCATGACAAAACTTAACTTGAACCTCATCTTTCTCCATACTTGCTATTGTCAGACTTTTATGTTTTCTGCCATTCTAGTTATTAATGAGGTTGAGCACCTTTTCTCTTATTTATTGGCCATTTACGAGTGTCATCCAGCCTTTTGTTCATGTTTTCATCAATTTGTCTTTCTTCTCATTGTTTGGAGGAATTACTGATATGTCATGAAATTAAAGTCTTTGTCAGATGTGTGTACATCAAATGTCTTACCCTAGCAAATGGCTTGCATTCTACACTTTAATGGGGTCTTTGGATGGACAGATTACAATTTTAATATTGTCATATATATAAATCTTTTCATTTATAATTAATTCATTTTCTGGTCTGTTTAAGAAATTCTTCCCTATGCACTTCAAATTCCAAGTTGAGATTTATATATGTACATTTAGTTCTAAAAGTAGAATCAGGACCAATGTATCTGCTGCTACAAGGAGCATATTTTCAATACAGAGAAGATTTTCCAACATTTCAGAGCTGTTCAATGAACCATCTTGCTCCCTGTCACCCAGGAGGTTTCAGAAAAGAGTGTGTAAAGACCCACCAGGGATTCTGTAGGGGAGGTTTTCCTTCAATGAGACCTCTATGGTCTATTCAAACACTAAGATTCTAAGACTCTAATTAGTTATAAAATATACTTTGATAAATATTGAATTATAACCAGTACGGGGCTTTAGCCGTGACATAAGTCGTGATGCATTTGAATGCTTATTAACATAAACAGACATGAATGCCTATATTCCACACTGTTTGTGTCCCGTATTGTGTCTTACCTCAAGTTGCCTGGCCCCAGAACTTCTCTTCCATTCTCATCTCCATACCTAGTTCACAGAAGCATACTCAGCCTTCTGCGTGGTCTATTGTTATCACTGGCTAAGGTTACAGGCAGTGCTAGAAAATAGGGTTTATTTCAAGCTGACTCAATGAGTGGTAGTTTCCTGGAGAGGAGGACTAGGGATGAGAAATAGCAGAGGCTGCCTGACTGGGGCTTCATCAGAATATTCTCAATATGGAGCACTGCAGTGAGATCTGCCCAAGGATGTAGGTTGCACCAGAGGCCCAACACTTAGCTGCTGGGGCTTCAGAGGGCAGAGCCCAGAGGTGGGCAGTGGGGCCTCTGCTAATGCTTGGACAGCAGAGGAGATCTAATCCTAATCCCCCAAACACAGATCTTTCCCAGGTCTGTTTGTCTTCCCCTAATCCTCTAATATTTAAAGCAATTTCAATCCTATTTGAAGAGACTTCCCAGCAGTTTGAGTCTGGGGCCTCTGGAGGTAGGTATGGAAGGAGGGGGAAAGAAGGAAGCAGGGAGGAGCAAGAGTGAGAGGAAGCCCTGGAGAGCAGGGGGAGGACTGAAAAGAGACAGGCTGCCAATACTGCCTGAATTACATCTTCCTGAAGCTACCTTCCCAAAGATGGCTTCTTCATGATTTCTGAGAGTGAGGATGGGAAGGGAGGAAGAGAAGGTGGGCCTTAGACTAAGATCTGGCCCTTGAATAAAGTAAGTTCATTCATTCATTTATTCATTCAATCAGTCAGTCAACAGAATACATATTGAGCACCTACTGTGAGGCTAAAGCTACATTGACCTTGAACAGATAACTACCAGAATCGTAATGATTACCAAAAAAAGTACAGAGTGCAGTGAGATCCTATATGGGCTACTCAAAGTTGAGACCAAGTCAGATGTGTCTGTAGAAGCAGAGACCTGACCATTCACTTGTATGCTATTTTTATAACCTTATCACTTGTGCTTTCTGCTCTTTGTAAAAAAAATGATTCCTGCTTCTTCTATTCTGGTGTCCTTTAGCTCTAGAGCCCTTGGCTTCTGCTCCATCAAATTGGACTAGCCAAAATTAGAAAATAATGTATTGGTCTCTGCTGGATTATGGTAGCTCATGACAAAGACCTGGGAGAAAGGAGTTTCCCAGAAAGACAAAGGGAGTGGCTCTGTCTAGAAAGATATGTGGTGGTCTAAGAATGGTCTCATTCCTTACACTTTGCCTTTTTTCAACAGACCAAGAAGAGGACACACCTCTAAGCAGGGCATCCTCATTCAAAAACATCTGCCTGTTCCAGGTTATTGAACGGTCCCTCCCTTTAAGCCACACCCCTTGCTTTGTAAACATTTAACTGACATGATAGATACAATGAATGGGTGGATGGATGGAGGGATGAGCAGGTGGATGACAGACAAATGGAAAAATAGATCTATCTTAGATAGGTGGATGATACATTAATTTCTCTAGGATTTTAAATGAGAAAGTAGAAGGTAAGATAAAAGATTGTATAACTACATAGAAGGCAAAGAACCGAAATATCATTTCAAGCAAAAACAAAAATCTCAAGCAGTTTTTATAAGAGAAGTGCAAGCGACAGATGCAGACCAAATGTACAATTTATTTAGAAGATTCCCTGAGGGCATTGATAGAAAAATGAGGAAGGAAAGCCAGTACCCATCAGTGTGAAGTCTGGCTAAGCATTTCTTTACACTCCTCCTTGATGCTGGGGCAAGAATGTAGGGCAGGATTTTACTGAGCAACTACTAATATTCTAATAATGCATAGAATGTAAGGGGATCTACCAAGAAATTTGCTTAAGATCTACAACATTAACCTTAAACCACAGTGTTCTAGTCCATCTCTGCCAACAACTGCCTGAGTAACCTTGGGCTGCCCCTTTAAATTACAAGCCTCAATTTTCTCATCTGCGAAATGGAGATGAGACCAGGATGTCTCTATGGTCCCAACTACCTCTGATATTCTCTGAGGCTAAGAAAAGGAAAACTACAGTAACACTCAGAGCAACAAGCAAACCTAGTATCTTGCTGGGTTCCCACAGCATCTTCCAAAGACTTTCCCAGCTTTAATCCTTCATGCTCAATAAGCATCCAAGCCAGAATCAGAAATGAGAACTTCGCCAGCCCTCCACCAACTGCATTCTGAGCCTATCTCAGCAACTTCATAAGTATCTCTTCCTTGCAAAGACTTTTAAAGCATCTAGCAATGTGTTCACATGGCCATTTTTAAAAAAATTTTCAAAATTAAGATGTTTTGTATTTCTTTATCCTAAAGAAGACAACTGGATCAGGTGCATCTGTAGCCCGACTCCAGGCCCCTCACCTCACATCTGATTTCAGCCCTGGCTGCAGTGACAGGTCTGTGCAGCTTTTGCCTCACCTCATGCTGACATCGTTTCTCTGTACATCTTTTGCTTGCTGTCCTGGGGCTTCTCCAGTGCCCTGGTGACAGGCTGGGCATGGGCCCACTGCATTGACCCCCTCTCACCAAGGCTGATCTAGCTGTGGTTACTGCTGAATGTCAGGAGCAGAAACCAACGCTGAGATCCCAAAGTGGCATCCTACATTGTTGGAGACACATCAGCCACTTGTGGCAAGTGGATTACATCGAACCCCTCTACCCTAGGAGGGACAGTAATTTTCCCTTCTATAACTGACACCTACTCTGGATGTGGGTTTGTTTTTATCACCTGAAGTTCTTCTATCTGAAGGCTGAAGAAATACAGATTTGCTGACATAGGATTTGGTATGATTTGGATATGTGTCCCCACCCAAATTTCATGTTGAACTGTAGGTGGAGCCTAGTGGGAAGCAATTGGATCACAGGGGCAGTTTCTCATGGATGGTTTTGCACCATCCCCTTGGTGCTGTTTTTATGATAGTGAGTTCTTATAAGATCTGGTCTTTTAAAACTTTATGCCACCTCCTCTGCGCCCTCTCTCTTTCTCCTGCTCCACCATGTGAGAAGCCTCACTCCCCTTTTGCCTTCCAACATGATTATAAGTTTCTGAGGCTTCCCCAGAAGCCACGTAGATGCCAGCTTTATGCTTCCTGTACAGCTTGTGAAACCATGAGCCAATTAAATCTCTTTTTAAAAAATAAATTACCCAGTCTCAGGTATTTCTTTATAGCAATGAGTGAATGGACTAATACAGAAAATTGCTACCAATAAATAAGGAATTGCTAAAAAGATACCTGAAAATGTGGAAGCAACTTTGGAACTGGGCAACAAGCAGAGGTTGGAAGAGTTTGGAGGGCTCAGAAGAAGACAGGAAGATGAGGAAAAGTTTTGAACATCTTAGAGACTGGTTAAATGGTTGTGATAAAAATGCTAATAGTGATGTGACAGTGAAGGCCAGGCTGAGGAGGCCTCAGATGGAAACGAGGAAATTACTGGGAACTGTAGCAAAGGGCACTTTTGGTATGCCTTGGCAAAGAACTTGGTTAGATTGTCCCCTGCTCTAGAGATCTGCAGAACTTTGAACTTGAGTGTGGTGATTTGTTTCGGGTATCTGATGGAAGAAATTTCTAAGCACCAAAGTGTTCAAGATGTGGCTTCGCTGCTTCTGACCACTTATGCTCATGTGCATGAGCAAAGACATGACCTAAAATTGAAACTTATGTTTAAAAGGGAAGCAGAGCATCAAAGTTTAGAAACTGCGGCCTAGCCATGTGGTAGAAAAAAAAAAAAGCCCATTTTCAGGAGAATTCAAGTGGGCTGCTGAGCAACCACATGCTAGGGAAAATTTGTATAACTACAAGGAAGACAAGTGCTACAGTCAAGACCAAGGGGAAAAGGCCTTGAAGGCATTTCAGAGACCTTCACAGCAGCCCCTTCCATCACAGGCCTGAAGGCCTAGGAGGACTAAAGGGTTTTGTGGGTCAGGCCCAGGGCCCCGCTCAGCCTAAGACAGTGTTTCCTCATCTCAGCTGCTCCAACTCCAGCCATGGCTCAAAGGTGCCCAGTTACAGCTCAGGCCACTGCTTCAGAGGATGCAAGCTGTAAAACTTGGTGGCTTCTATGTGGTGTTAAGCCTGCGGGTGTGCAGAGTGTAAGAGTTGAGGCTTGGGATTCGCCACCTAGATTTCAGAGGATGTATGGAAAGCCTGAAAATCCAGGCAAAAGCCTGATGCAGGGGTAGTGCCCTCATGGAAAACCTCTACTAGGGAAGCACAGAGAGGAATATGAGGTTGGAGCCTCCACACAGAGGGCACTGCCTAGTGGAGCTATGAGAAAAGGTCTACCATCCTTGAGGATAATAATAAAGACTTACTGAACAGTACCATATGCAAATATTTTTTAAATATTTGTTGAATTAATGAAGAAATACCTCACAAGGTTGCTTTGAGAACTGAGTAGGATAACTTAAACACTACAAATGACAGCTAAGAGCATTCTATCCTCTGACTTTAAAGAAAATTGACTCAGACCATCTATCTCACATTCCACTGGAAAGTTAAGGTCTTCCTGAGATTCCTATGAATGTCAGAGAGCTCCTATCTTCATGATCCCTTCAGTCGTTGATTTCTTGCTTCTATGTGATCTCATCCTCATCTTGCCACCATTCCTTCTGCTCTCAGTCTCTGTCTCTAGTGTTCTTCCTAAGGAAACATGTAAGCCGGTTGTGTGTGTATAGCAGACAGCTAACAAGGTTTGGGATAATGACAAGGGCTTATAGTCCAAAAATAGAAACAACCTAAAATTAAATATTAGGACTTATATTCTTTTTTTAACTTTTATTTTTCTTGAGACAGAGTCTCACTCTGTCACCAGGCTGGAGTGCAGTGGCTCAATCTTGGCTCACCGCAACCTCTGAATCCCTGGTTCAAACGATTCTCCTGCCTCAGCCTCCTGAGTAGCTGGGATTACAGTCACACACCACCATGCCCAGCTAATTTTTGTATTTTTAGTAGAGATGGGGTATTATCATGTTTGCCAGGATGGTCTTGATCTCCTGACCTTGTGATCCACCCACCTCAGCCTCCTAAAGTGCTGGGATTACGGGCTTGAGCCACTGTGCCCAGCCTAGTGCTTATATTCTTAAAAGACCTTGGACCACTCAGTAGAGACCATCTCACCTTTTTCATTTCTCCATGGACTCCAGGTTCTCCACCCTGTACTTTTCTCCCCTCCTCCTCTCTCAAATCATATCTGCTCCCCCCATAACCAAATCTCTGTTCATTTCTCTTTTAAAAGAATTTTAAAATATTTTCATCAGAGCAATGCATGAATATTATTATTTAAATAAAATAGTACAGACATTCTTATAATTAAATCAATAGTCTCCTCTGCCTATCCCTCTCCTCCTCTGATCCCACCCCCCAGAGGAAACCTCTTAAAACCATTTCTGTTTTGAAGGCTTCTGGTGGTTTCCTCCTTACTCTAAATGGTATATTTATACCTGTTTCTTGATTTATTGACCACAGATATTATCTATTGTTTACCCACCATAAAATATAAAGATTTATATTCATACCACATGTAATGTCATTTTCATTGTTTTCTCTCAACTTATACACTTATTACTTTTTAGTTCTATTAATTACATTCATCATTTTAAATGATACCTTGAAATATAGATGTTTTGTTTCATCTATATCAAGTAGCATCCAAATGAAGATATGAGCACACCTATTTTCCTTCCTATTTTTTCACGTACTTTTCTATACTCCACTCTGTTGGCTAGCTATAGCTCTACTTTTCATCATACAGAGGAACATGACATTGTACTGTATATTTCTAGGTCTTCCCTGTTTTATATTGCCGGGGTCACGGGGGCCTTCAGGGACTGGACTGGCAGTATATATGAGTCATGGCACGGAGAGTATTGAGGACTGTAATAAACTAGAAATAAGGTGTCCCATTTAAAGACATCCAAGTTTTTAAAGTTTGTGTACTCCAAGAAGGTCATCTGCAGTTTGTATTTGCTCCAGGTAACCAGTATGTGTCCTCTCATGTAAGTTCTTCTTGAAGTTGAATGCCAATGAACAAAGATGGCAGGCAGTGATACCCACCACATACTTCATTTGCTCTCTTGCATTCTCCATCTTCCTTACTGTTTGATGGGCAGAGAACTATGACTGACCCTAGCCAGTAAAATATGAGAAACCTGATGAGTCATTTTCAGGTTGAGACAGTTAGAGCCCAATGAGATTTACTGATGTTTCTCTTCCTTCTGCTGTAGCTTAGGAGGCCAAATGTTCTAGATGGTGCAGCTCCACAGTGGCATAGCCTCATCACTGGGGTTCCATTGTGACCGTGAGTAGGGGGGACAGAGTCTCATGCTGACCTGCCTAGGCCATGTGGGGTGACTGAGAAATAAATTTTCATGTGCTCAGTCAATTAAGAGAGCTGGGTTTGTTAGTTCAGCATAACCTAGGCCATTGTTACTAATATTTTCATTAATATTTCTATAGAAATATGTTTTACTGCATAGATAAGAAATGAGTTAGAATTATGTTTCTTTCTCAATAAAGCCAACATCATGATTCTTTCACCACTCAATAGACAACGTTCCTACAATCTAGGTCAAATGTATCCTTTTTTCACACTCAAGAATGATACTCAACACATGACAAACTTTATTTGGTTTCAAATGTAAACCATTCATTTCTTAAGTGAATTTTTATATTTTCTGAAATTTTCTTTTGTTCACTTTTGAGAAAAGAAGAATGCACCTTTAGTATATCCTTAAATCATTAGGGCTACAGTTATTTATTACTCAGAACCCATTTTCTTCATGGAAATATAATTCTAGAAGTATTAAACCATCTGCTCTAACCTATACCAGTTGCCCTTTAGGCCTACCACACAACTATTATCGAGGATATGCACTTCTTTCCTATGTTAGTTCGATAATTTCCAGAACCCCATCTACACCTCTTTTTTATTTTATCTTCTTTCTTTTGCTGGAATACATCTTCAAATAAATTCCTTAGAAAGAATGCCTAGAAGGCAAACATTCCAAGTCTTTGGATTTCTAAAAATAACATGATTTATCCCTTTCACTTAATTAGTAATGGCTCTATGTTCAAATGTATTTTTCCTTCAAAATCTGAAAGCAAGTTTTGCATCTGGGTTGACAGGGTAAGTACACATTGCCCTGTCTCTCACACTGAATACAGCTATGAAACCCATAGGCAATGAGTGGAGAAGCTCTTTCAGGGTGCTGAAAAGTAAATGATAGCAGCAGATTGGGAAAGAAGAACAGAATTAGAAATACCACCAAATCAGCAGTGAGTTTCCCACTTTTCCTTCACTACCTCCAGGTCTGGGCAGAGGGAGCTCCAGGAGCAGCCATCTAGCTGTGGGTCAAGAATGGGAAAAGGGAGTCCTACACTTAGAGAGAGAGGAGAAATTTCCCTTTTTTTCTTTTTGCTTTTCTCTGTTCTGATGACTCAGGTTCCCAGCAATCCTGTGATATCAGCAATGGCAGCAAAGACAGTGGTAGCAGTGAGGATCCAAAGTGGTTAAAACTCTGAGGAACCAGAATCTTCCTCTCCAATTAGAGAAGCTGTGGTGCCAAGAGGGTAGGATAAACTCCCACTGATTTTTTTTCTCTGTCCTCCTGTGGCTTGACTGCAGAAATAAGTACAGTTGCAAATTGCAGATAGCACGAGGCAAAGTGAAGAACTAAAGCCCAGCTTTCTGGACAGAGGAGTAAAAAAAAGGAAAGAACCAGAGAACTGGAAAGTGCTAGGAAGATGATAAAAAAGGAGGGGCTTGAGAAAACAATATAACAAAACGATACCATAAAGTTGTATATCAACTCCAGGGACCACCTTGAGCTATGCAGGAATGGATCTACTCTTAAACGGTACATCAAAAATTTTGAGAACTGCACTACAGAAGCATTTCACCAGCACCCGGGTCCCCACTGTGGCCACTGGGTGGTACACATAGGAGCAGATCCAAATGGCACTGCAAAGATAGACAACTGAACGGGCATAGAAACCACAACCCAGTGAAGGTCAGTTATGATTTGCAGCCTGAATCCAACTGGGCTAGCTGCCTGATAAGACAAAAATATCAACATTTTCCATGGGATTGAAACAAGACCCAGAAGCTCAAAACATAATATTCAAAATGTCCAGGACACAATCCAAATTACTCAGCATATGAAGGATTAAGGAAATCTCAATCCACATGGGAAAGACAATTAACAGGTGCCAATGCCAAGAAAACACAGATGTTAGAATTACCTGACAAAGCCTTTAAAGTAGCTATTATATATATATAAAAAACTGAAAAGTAAATGATAACAGCAGATTGGGAAAGAAGAACAGAATTAGAAATACCACCAAAAGAGTGTAAAGGAAAATACTCTTGAAGGATAGAACATATCAGGAAAGAAATATGACACAAAGAATCAAGTGGAAATTTTAGAACTGAAAACACAATAAAGAAAAATTTTAAACCACTGGGTGAAATACATAGTGGAATCAGGATGAAAGAGGAAAGAGTCTGTGAATTTTATAATTGATCATTAGAAATTATTGAAATTAAACAACAGAAAGAAAAAAATCTGAAGAAAGAATTAACAGAGCCTGAGTTACCTGTGGAACAATAACAAGAGTTCTAACATTCATGCCATCAATGTCGCAGGAGAAAAAGAGAAAAAAATTTGCAGTCTCAAGAAATTATTTGAAGAAATAATTGCTCAAAAATTCCTAAGTGGGTGAATGACATACACCTATAGACTCAGGAAGGTCAGAAAATCCCAAACAGAATAAGCCCAAGAATATCCAGTTTCCTAGACATCATAATCAAACTGCTGAAAACTACAGACAGAAACAATCAAACAAAAACATAAGAGCAGTCAGGAAAAAAAGATGGACCACTTACAGAAGAGTAATGATTCAAGTGACTGCAGATTTTTTATCAGGAACCTTGAAAGCTTGAAGAAAGTGGAATATTTTTAAAGTGCTGAAGAAAGAACTGTCAATCTAGAATTCTATTTCCACTGAAAATATCCTTTAGAAATGAAAGTGAAATAGATTTACAGACAAAGGAAAACTAAGAGAATTCATTGCCAACAAACAGATTCTGAAAGAATTGCTAAAGGAAGAGTTCAGACTCTGGGAAAATAATTCCAGAAGAAAACCTGGACCATTAGAAATAAAGGAAGAGCGGCCAGGAGTAGTGGCTCATGCCTGTAATTGCAGCACTTTGGGAGGCTGAGGCAGGCGGATCACTTGAGGTCAGGAGTTTGAGACCAGCCTGGCCAACATGGTGAAACCCTGTCTCTATAAAAATACAAAAATTAGCCAGGCGTGGTGGTGGGCACCTGTAATCCCAGCTTCTCAGGAAGCTGAGGCAGGAGGATCACTTGAACCTGGGAAGCAAAGGTTGCAGTGAGCCGAGATTGTGCCACTGCACTGCAGCCTGGGCAACAAAGCAAGACTCCAAAAAGAAAAAAAAAAAGAAAGAAAGAAAGAGAGAGAGAGAGAGGGAAAGGAAGAAAGAAAGGAAGGAAGGAAGGAAGGAAGGAAGGAAGGAAGGAAGGAAGGAAGGAAGGAAGGAAGGAAGAGCAGCAGAAATGGTAAAGATCTGGGTAAATACAATCGACTTTTCTTCCCCTCTCCAGTTTTTTAAAATTTATTTGATAGCTGAAAACAAAAACTACATTGTCACTGATAGGGCTATATTTGAAATAATTATGTGTTAGAAAGCAGAGTGGACACAGACTCAGGTAGATGAGCAGATGCACTGGTGGGTGCGTGAGGACATTGTCTTTTATTGCTTCTGTTTGGTCAACTAAGAGGGAGTGTGGGAGGAGTCTGTGAAGGACTGAAGAAGGAGAGTGAGTGACAGAGTCAATGAATTAGGAAAAGGCAGTGGAGTTGCAGGATAACCTTATGGTCCTGCTTGAGTCTGGTCATCACTGTAAAGTGAGGCCAGTCCGTATGGTGGCAAGCTTTTTCTACCTGTATCATTGTTGTTCTTGAATGTCATCAGTTTGTGTCTAGGTGTGGATCATTGTCATGCTTTGTGTTAGACACTTAGTAGACCCTTCCAGCCTAAGGACTTCGGCCTTCCTTTGGCTCTGGGGAATGCCTTCAGATAATTTCATTGATCATTTTCTTTCTTCCATTCCCTACCCCCTCAGTCTCTCTCTTCTATATTCTGGAAGGTATCTTTGACCTTATCTTCCAGCTATTCTACTAAATTTTTTATTTGGCAATCATATATTTTTAATCTTCACAAGAACTTCCTTGTTCTCTGGTTATTTCTATTTTATAGACTTTTTTCTCTTTTTAATTTTTTATTATTTTATTTTTAATGAGAAAAAGTTTAATGTGGTGTTTAAAAGCACAGACTTGAAAATCAAACTGGCTGCATTTAAATCACAGCTCTGCCACTTACTGGTTGTGTGAACTTGGGCAAGTTACTTAACCTCTCTATGCCAGTTTCCTCACCTTTAACATGGGGATCATTATAATAGGTGCCTCCTATGGTATTATGAGGATTAAATGAGTTAACATATGGAAAGTGCCTAAAACAATTCCTGTGCCAGAAAAGCACTAAGGTGGTATCAGTGACAGTGATGACAGTGATGATGATGATGACTAGGATGACAATGGACACAATGTTATCTAAAAGTTCTCTGGGGTTGTTAGAGTTTAGAAAGTTTTCTCCTGCTCTATAATTTAACCGTGTTTCCTCCCAGTCAGTTGTTCTGTTTGTTTGCCTTGTTTATATTTCACTCTGTTGATTTTCCTAGTATATTCGGCAATCTGTGTTTGCACATAAGGATTTAAAAATAAGGACTCAGTTGACTACCTAAAGTAGCTATTTTGTATGTGAGTCTCTTCATAATGGGCTTCCTTGAATAAGAAGGATGCCACAGGACACAGCTTTACAATGTCAGGCTTGCTTGAAGATGCAGGTTGCAAAGTCACCTGTAAGGTTGGAGCCAGAATGAGGAAGCCGGCATCCACACCAGGAATCTTAGATTGTCTACTGTTTGTAAGGTAGGAGCTCTGTACTGAAGAGAGAGCATGGTGAAAACTCCTCCTCCTCCCTTTCCCCACCTGAACCCAGAGCCTCTTTGAGTTTTGCAGGAAGGTTGGCTTCTACATCCTCTGCAGCCAACACCTGAACATACTTGGGGTCTCAGCTTCCTTACTACATTTCATTTACCAGCTCACTTTCTTCTGGTTTTCATTTTCCAAAGCTTTGCTGAAATCTCTCAACCGCTGGTGATTCTGACCTCACTTCCCATTTTCTTTAATATTACGGGTTTATTCACTTTGCATTCCTTTACCGTTGGGTTAATGTGTTCTCAAGAGGAAACAGGAGGTTGATTTATATGCCTCAGTCTGCCATTTTGAACCAGAAACTGCAATTCTTATGGAGAACAGTTTGACATTCTCTTTGTTTCTGTGCCTCTTTCCAAAAGATGCCCTCAACACCTCATTGTCAATACACAGTGGCTTATCAAATGTATTTTTCTAAAGAAAGACCATCTCCTCCCTCAGAGGAATGCAGTTGTGATATATTTAAATAATATTTTTCCAAATTTCTCCATCTATGCAAATCATTTAAGGCAGTACATGATTCATAGTAGTTGTTTAATAAATATTGTATCCCCTTCCCCTCTTCATAGTCTCTCCAGGCTACCACCACTGAGTTCTAATCACATTAATAATTCTAGCAACACTCATACTCTCATCTGAATTATTTTTAGAGATTCATTTCTGGCTAGGCATGTATGTTTCTTTATGTGTGTTTCTTCATGTTTGTCTATATTCTTATTAAGAAAAATGTGGCCCAGAGATGCTAAGGGACTCCCTCAATATTGTAAAAGTGAAAAATAGTCCAGCCAAGGCTCAGTACCATATGTACCAAGACCCAGCCTCATGCATGTTGTACTGGCCCATGCTGCCTTCCAAGGGAAGTGGGTGGCTGAGGCCTTCTCCTCCTCCTTAACAACTCCTTCTCCAGAGTTTCTGGACTCAAGATCAGAATGGAAGTCTGTCTGAATTCCAACGCTAATGCTAATATTCCATGGCAATTGCCCCTCCACCCCTAGTACCACCTCAGGGATCTTTAGGCTGAGTCAGGCACTCAAGGTTTATAGAGGCTCAAAAATTCAGCTTGGGGGTCTACATTTAGGCTGTGGGAAACTCTTTGCTCACAGAATTCTTGGGAAATTTGAGGAGACTCGTGCTTCAAAGCCACTGCTAGATTAAATGGGCATCTGTGGACACACACAAAACAACCTAATTGTCAATCAGTTTTTATGGGAAAACAAGTTCCCAAGTAATACACAACCAATTCATGAATGAGCTACATCTCATTTGTAGGTCTGCTTATTCTCTGAAGCAGGGCTTAAGGCAGGAGAAAAAAAGGATAGAAACGATTTTCATACAATACCTTTGATTATGCTTTCGTATTTTGCAGCCTCCATCTTAAGGTTGCTATTTTAGATTTTTGAAAGGGAATTCAAAGAGAAGAAGAAAGAAAGAAACACGAAGGAAAAGAAAGAAGAAGAGGTTAAAGGAATCCATTGAGTTGTGAATAGTCACTATAAAAGGAGGCAGCTAAATTAAATCCACCACTAGAAGAGCTAAAGTTTTGCTGCCTTCCAACCTTAAGCATTGACGTCAGGACTGGCCCTTGTCCCTTCCCCCAAGTGGGGGCTGTTTTGATGACCTCCCAAGGTTACCACAATTCCATGAAGTATGATTTCACCTCTGGAAGACCCCCAAGATTTGAGAAGATCTTCTTGAAGAAGGCAGATTCCAGCAGGATATGGAGAAGCGGGGAGTAGCCTATGGGAGCCCCCTCTCCATTTTCACTCTCTATGACCCTTTCCCCTGCCATAGGCAGAAAGCCTGGCACTTCTTCACCATCCTCCAGGTTCTCCACACTCTGCTTCCTCAGCTGCACAGACAGCTTTTGCTCTGTAGCTGCAGGAGTAAGGTGAGAGGAACGCAGTAGCTCCCCGTCCCCTTCACCCCCTCCCCACCACCAACACACACACAGTCTAATTAAAGTCTGTGGTGCCACAGTTGAACTCTTCATGCTCAGAATCTCTGGCGAAGGGCAAGAGGCCCCCATTGGTTAAAGGAAGGGAGAATCAAAGGATATTTTTTTCAAGAGAGCAACAAAACAGAAGATGTCACTTGTGCTACTTTTGATTTGGGAAAACTTTTTGTTTTTTTTTTTTTTTTTTTTTAGTTTTAAGAAACAACTACAAAATGAAGGAAGAGCCTGGTGGTTACTCATGGGCAAAGGACCACCAGGTCAGTGGAGGAAGGAGAATGTGAAAATAAGAAAGCAATCACGGCACAGGATGTGGGAGAGGAGGGGTTCAGTGGGCGGGGGATTTTACTCTTATTCTATCTCTAATGCTTGTTATTGTAAAATGTTCCACTCCTAAGGCTGGTGGGGGGCGGGGGCTGCTTCCATGGGCAGTAGTCCTGGAAGTCTTCCCAGCTTTCAGATTTGAACTGTGTAAGATGTGGACAGAGGACCATGATTCATTAACAGGTCACGAAAGTCCATGTACGCACACATTGAGGCTCTCATTGATAGAGAATCTAATAGGTCTTGGAGGAAGATGACCAGGTGTCAGCCACACCCAACAGGACTCAGAACCTGAGGAGAAGCAAATTTGGGGTTGTTAGAGGAGGCATCTAGCCAGGCTCTTCTGGAGCCCCAAGATCTGTACCTCTAACCCCTGAGTCTTAGAAACACACAAATCTTTCCTGAGGGTTCCCTGCCTAGTCTCTTTAGGAAGAGTACACATAAATAAGGCAATCTTAGGTGGGCAAAGACTGGAGAGTGAGCATAGTGCTGTGGATGATGTTAGGACTGGTGAGAAGCTGATTACACTGGGTAATTCCCACTGGAGCTAGGTGTGCCTGTGAAAGAGCAAGTCCCAAGCTAGGCCCAAGGCTCAGCAATAAAGGAGAGAGTTCTCTGTGTTAGAAGGAGGCAGGAAAAGGGAAGAAGGAGAGGGATAATGAATGCCAACAAAGATGCAAGAAGGAGGAACCAACACTTACTGAGTTTGATATGTTCAACCCACATCACGGCCTCAGAATGCAATTTTTATTATTCCCATTTTAGAGACTAGGGAACTGAGATTCTAGCAAGCTAAGAATATTGATCTTGATTTATTTACTCTAGGTCAAATAGTAAGAGGTGGAACCAAGATCAGAACTGACGTCTCTCTAATGTCAAAGCTAGTATAAGTGGTGGTTCTTAGCAATTACCCCACCACCCCCAAATTCATCCACAAATCTCCCAAATATGACTTAATTCCAATCATCTCATAATTTGGCCATTTTCTGGGCTTTGGGTAGAAATACAAAAGACTAGTCCACTGGCCACGTTGGGAGAATTCATTTTGGAAAGTGACAGCAATGTGAATGAGACCCAGGAGACGTGTTATCCATCCATCTCCCTATCCAGCTCCCGAATATCTATCCATGTGTCATTGACAAAGCCACCCCATCTCTGCCTCAGTCCCCATCCTGAGTTTCAGGAGGCCCACATAATATTTTCCAAGCTCCAGCTCTCTTCCTCTCTCTGTGTTGGGCTATAAAATGTTCTCTTCAATTATTTCCCTACTCCTCGCTTCAGAACAGCCAAACCAATAGCTCTGCTCTGTGGGTTATGTACCATGTGTCGCTGTGCTGTGAAATATTAAGCCTTCACAATAGGTCCGAAGTCAGCGACGCACAATCCTTTAATGGTTTAGCTCACTCGGGCTATTTGAAAGTGGCATAATATTGCTATTTTTAAATAAATGGGATCTGTATTAATGAGAGCCGACCTCTCTCAGCCATGCCGAGCTGCTCCCTGCCTTGAGCCTACATCGGGGATTCAGCATAACGGGGAGGGGGGAAACAGCTTTTCAAAATAGGATCCATGCAGCACTTTAAATAATGCTCACAGATGCTAATCAACTTGAGGGGAGGGGTTGGGGTAGGATGATTATCTGAGACTATAATAGATTTATTTTCAAAGAAGACTTAGAATCTTGATATCGAGAAGCACGGATGGGGAAGAGGGAGGGTGTGTGTGCATGTGTGTGTGTGTGTGTGTGTGTGTGCAGGGGGAGGCATAGGCCAGTGTGGGGAGGCTTCAGAGAGAGGGACACGCTGAGAAGATAAGAATCACTGTGCTTTGGGAGATTTGTGAGAGAAGCCCAGGAATGGGGGGAGCAGGAAGCTATCTTGGCTGGCTCTGGGGACAGTGGTGACCCAAGAAAGATCCTCCTGCATAGGAGTGCAGCTGGCTCTGGGGCCACAGTTGGAAGGCTCTGAAACTCTGGATTTCTGTCCCCAAGTGAAGAATGGCAGGAACAATGAGGGAGCTCTTCCAGGCTCTGACCCCATGATCTGGCAGGCTCACACCTCATTGCCAGGCAACAGGTACAAAGTAATAAATCAGACTGAGAGAATGTCACTCAGTGGGGCCCCTCTGCCTCTTGAGTCACACATAGTATTTGGAGATGTTGGGGCTGTAACCGAGGCCCAAGCATCCTGGCCTCAGAGTCTATGTTTCTATGATTGCTGAGTCTCCCACCCCTTGACCCCTGGGAGACCCTGATCAAATCACCTCTTCCTCAGTTGCGAGCTGGAGCTATAGCTGCTGGGCATATCCAGATGGAGCAAGAGGAACTCAGAAGTAGGAAGTGGAATAAGTAAAAGAGGACTTGAGAAAAAGGCTGATGAGAGAAGAGGCATGTGCCTCTTCTGAAGAATCTAGCTGGGAGGATTTATAAGAACCTGCAAGCCAGTTTCTTCACCACCTGGAGTGCCTGGGACTTCAAGTTAAAAACAACAGCCCCATTACCTCCTCCAGAAGGAGATTTCTTTTCCTCTTTCCTTTTAGAGAGCCAACATTCTGCTTTTAAAAAACATATGAAAAGGGAAAAAATTAAAATAAATTAAAATAAATTAAAAAATAAAAACATATGAAAGTCAGAAAAGTCATTCCTTCTTTATTCCTTCTGTATTAGTTATCTATTGCTGTGTAACAAATTACCCCAAAACTTCCTGGCTTAAAGCAACAAATGTTTATTATCTGACCATTTCTATGGGTCAGGGATCCAGACACACCTTAGCTGGGTACTCCCTCCTCAAGATCTCTCAAAATGCTCCAGTTACAGTATTGACTGGGGCTGCTGTCTCATCTCAAGGCTCAACTGGGGAAGGATCCACTGCCAAATTCACTCACATGGTTTTTAGCAAGAGTCAGTTCATTGTGGGCTGTTGAACTGAGGACCTCAGTGTTTTGCTGGCTGTTGGTAGGAGTCCTCCCTAGCTAGATTCCTTACTACATGGGCTCTTCCATGGAGCAGTTCAAAACAGACCAGCTGTCTTTCCTCAGAGTCACCATCTATTGGTAACCTAATCTCAGAGGTGACATCCCATCACTTTTGTCATACTCTTGTTAGAAAGAAGTCAGTAGGCCCAGCCTGAAGTCAAGGGGAGGCACTTGCACAAGTGTGTGAGTATCTGGGAGCAAGGATTATTGAAAACCATCTTAGAGGCTCCTATTGTACCTATTTTTTCTTCAACAATAATTTCCAGAGAATAGGACACAGTAAATCCCCCAAGGGCAGGGACTGGGTTTTCATCACCACTGAACCCCCGGCACTTAGCATGGAGCACAGAGAAGGGACCTCAGGCCCTGTCCAGCATGCCTTCTCCCAGAGACTCCCTTCTTTCCTAAAGAGAAACAATTTTCTGGATAAGACACAGCCTTATAGAGCCTGATGGTGGGAAGGGTATTTTCACCTCAATGGGATTTGTGGTCTGAGGTCCATGTCATTCCTAAGCTGGGTGTGGAGCCATGCCTGACTCTACTTATTCATTCCCTTTCATTACTTGCACTCTTCCTCCACCACCTCCCAATAGCTTCTAGGTGAAAGAGAAAGAATGTGATATGCCGGGAGATATCACAAGGCATGGCAATGAATATCAAGGAAGGTTGGAAGGCCAGGATAGAAAGAGACAAACTTCTCCCACCTCTGGCTGCTACCACACTTAAAATAATATAAAACATTCATTAAACATCTACCCTGCACCAGATACTTTCTCACATTAGTTCACTTAATCCTCACCACAAGTTTTGAAGGTAAACATTTAATCCACTTTCTATAGTTTTGAAAACTGAAATTCAGAGGTGAAGTGACGTGCTCAAGTTCGCACAGCTGGTAAGTAACGGAACTGGAATAACGGAACTGGAATTCAAGCCCATGCCTTCTAATAACCCTTGGTGCTCTTTCCATGTTAACAGATTGAAGATAATGGGGAGGAGGGAGTGACAGTCTACTCTACCCAAGAGTTAGCATTGCAAGGGTTATATTACTGTGTTGTTGTTGTTGTTGTTGTTGTTGTTGTTTAAACAATGGTTGTAAATTGTACAGCTGGGGAAGGTATAGTTAAACATTTCCATCACCGATGACAAAGACAAGTTGGTAAAGGTTAGAAGAGTGCCATTCTCATTACCATAGAGCCACATTGGCTGATCTCCCTCCTTGAACAAAGACTTGGTTGTGCACAACCTTTTGACTGAGTCCCAAAGCCACAAGAAAGATTTACACACAGTGAAGAGTTCCAAGGATGACATGAGCAAAGGCAGCCCTCTTTACTGCATGGAGGGTAGACAGAGTTTCTCAAGATAACTATGGGAAGCAGGGATACATCCTTTTGTATGTAAAAGTTCTGGCGAATTTGTGTTTAAAAATTGAATGTCATTACCATAGAGCCTACTTCTAAGCTCAGGAGGCAGAACTCAGCTGAAAGAGGTCCCTGAATTCCTTCTAGAAAGGATTGAAATTGGAAGGAGGTTGGTGGGGATGGGAAGGAGACAGTAAGGAGGAAAGGCCACCTTCTTTACCACCCTGCCACTGTTATATAGCCTCTTTTATGTGTGTGAGCATGCACATACACACACATACACACGCACACCCTTACCCAAATCTGACAACATTCACTCTTTCGTCCATTCATTGTAGGGTGTTTCTACTCAAATATCAAGGGCTTTCTTAATACTTCTGCTTTTCCCCAAGACCTATCAATTCTGGTAGCCTACTGCTTTTAAACTTCTCCACCTAAACAAACTCTGGGTGGGTGTCTGCAGATGCTTGAAATGATCTCATCCTAGGACTTAAAGAGACCTCTAGTGGCTGTCACCTTATTCCTCTCCTTGCTTCCAGACTGGTTGCACCAAACTCAGCCCCAGCCAGTGTCAATCCATCCTTTGCTACTATTGATATGGAGTCCCAGCATCCAGATGTGATTTTCTTGAATCTCACTGGCTGCAATAGAAATTCATATATGCTAAGGCAAGGAAGAAAAATACATTTTACTACAAGTAAATTGTAGTGATAAATACAATAAACAACTAGGAATCCTCTTTTAAAAAACTTGGCAAAATCAGAAGGCATACCAATTTAGAAAAAAATTTATTAAATGACTGCTAGATATTAGATGCACTGTGATTCTGTTACTCTTTTGTTTGTCTGTTCCAATTAATTTATCTCATTACCCACCCTCTCCTCCCCCACCAACATGGGAAAATATTGGGAGAGAACAGAGTTAAGGCTAGGAAATCCGGGTTCAGGTCCTAACTTGGCCGTTTTGTAACTTTCATCAACTCAGCAATATCTGCATGCATAGAATGAAGAGGCTGAACTGCATGATGTCTAAGTCTTCACCCAGCTCTACGTTTCTATGAATCAGGTATATGCAATGCCATGCAAGCAGCTGAGATGCATTGCAATCATTGTGTTATGCCATTCCTTTCAGAAAGAAAGGGCTTGGCCTCCCCATCCAGGCTGCTGCCGCCACCGTGCATTGTTCAGGGAATGCAGTAATGTTACAGTTGGCAGGTGCCTCTGCTTAACTCATAGCTCCCAGGAGCTGGCTGTCAGGGGAAAATTCAAAGTTACTGCCAGTCCCTTCTGAATTGCTAATATAGGATAGCTGTGGAGTCTCTACTGGAGGCCCCTATACTACTGACCCCCTCAGCCATGGACAGGGCCTGCTGCCATTTCACTGGTGCACCAGCCTCCCAAACCATGTGCTCCTTCATGGCTGCTAATGACATTCAACACACACAAAGAAATGGTGCCCTGACAAATGGAGTTCAGCCTCTCCAGTCTCCCAGGCTCAGAGCACTAGTCAAATCCATTTCAAAAACATCCTGCTTGCAAAGCAGCCTCAGACTACTTGGGCTAAAAGGCTTAGTGCTCTTGGCTTCTGGAGAGAGGTGCTCAGCCCCTGGCCCCTAAAGCAGTTTATGTGTTGACCCATCCATAGGTGCTACCATATCAGAGAGCATGAGGTGAATGGGCTGGGAAAGAGTGTTGGAGGCAAGAAAGGTGTGGAGGTTGGAGCAGTGTTCTTCTCACCATGTTTCTTGAACTGGTGAGGAAAGCGTCCCCCTCCATCACTGGCAGTCCCTTGAATGGGTATGGTGTGTATAAGCTGGGGGACTGTCTTAGTCCATTTGTGCTGTTGTAACAGAATATTGGGTAATTTATAAAGAACAGAAATTTATTTCTCAGAGTTCTGGCAGCTGGGAAGTCCAAGATAAAGGCCCTGGAAGGTTTGGTGTCTGGCAAGGGCTGCTCTCCACTTCCAAGATGGTGCCTTGTTGCTGCATCCTTTTGAGAAGAAACAAACTCTGTGTCCTTACATGGTGGAAGAGAATGGAAAGGAATAAACTCACTCCTTCAAGCCTTTTTTTCTTTTTTGAGATGGAGTCTCACTCTGTCACCCAGGCTGGAGTGCAGTGGTGCAATCTTGGCTCACTGCAATCTCCACTGCCTGGGTTCAAGCAATTCTCCTGCCTCAGCTTCCCAAGTAGCTGAAATTATAGTCGTGTGAGATATTTTATTAGAGACAGGATTTCCCCATGTTGGCCAGGCTGGTCTTGAACTCCTGACCTCAGGTGATCTGCCCGCCTCAGCTTCCCAAAGTGCTGGGATTACAGGCATGAGCCACCATGCCTGGCCTCCCTCAAGCCTTTTAATAAGGGCCCTAATCCTACCCTAAGGGCTCCATTCTTAATGATGCCACCTCTTAATACTATCTCATTGGCGATTACATGTCAACATATGAATTTTGGGGGACATATTCGGACCATGGCAGGGACCAAGGAGAAAATTTATATTTTTGTGTCATGGGAGACAATATAAAGTTCAGAATAATCATAATAAGGAGATCAGTATGGTAGGAAAAAACAATTCATCATGGAAGTACATGATTTGTACTCACAAAATGGAGGCCCATAATGAACTCCCCACTCTGAGAGCTTTGATACCCTGTCTGTAGCACTCTGTTCTAGCCATCCTGTCTCCCAGCTCTTTGCCTTTTCATGTGCGCTAGAATGCCCTCCTTTTTCTGTTTAAGTACTGTTGCCTCATTAGTGATGGAGGTAACTATTCAATATATATTTGCCTATGAATCAACTTGTGGAGGGCTTGAAAACTTCCATGTACCTTCTCCCCTCAAGCAAAGTCAATCACCTCCTTTTGGTATCATCACTGTATCCTTGCATGTCCTTATGGTATAACTTACACACTTTTGATTTTTGTTCATGGTTTGTCTTCCTGCTGGTCCATCCTGCATGGAGCACAGGGGCTGTGTGTTATTTTTTTTCCCTTCCACAGTACTTACCATAGTGCATAACATACAGAAGCACTGGAAACTATTTATGGAATAAGTAAATACATGAATGAATCAATAAGTGAATGAATGAATGAGGAGTAAACATTTTGAACATTTTAATAGATTGCCATCTCTGGGCTATGGTCACAGTCCTGTGGGATATGGCAAAGATGCTTGGTAACACTGTCTGTGATTCCAACCTTTTAACCCATGTCTTCTCCCATCATGTATAGTGGGGATCCTCTGGCATCCCTAGGAACAACTGCTCTCATTCTCAGCAGTAGGACAATCTGGTTGCCTGGCCCTGAGCAGTTATATGACATGCTAAACTCCCATAATCATCCATCAGGACTGATTATGAGAGCTAGAGGAAGAAATGTATCCATTAAGCCAGTGCTGAGTCTCAGTAACTGCCCTATGTGAATAACCAATTGCCATTACCCAACATCAAATAACCCATCAAAATGAAGCATTTCCTCCCTCCCTGCCTCCCTCTCTTACCTCCACCCCCTGCCAGATTTAATAAGAGGGTTCATGACACTCCATCTCTTTATGCAATACACGAAAATATCAAAATCAGGTGTCTCTTGTCCACCGGACATTCCCAATCACATGATTGGTTATGGGTGAAAGCAGGCTGGGAGCCTGGATCCCTGACTCAGCAACCCGTGCCCCTGTGTTCACTATGCTGGAGGGGTTCCTCTTCAGTAAGTCTCTCACAACTCAAGAAAAATACCCACATAAGCCATTTCTCATAAACAAGAAAGAGACGAATGTTCAAGATGCCGCCTGATTTCCATAACCCTTTCTCCTCTTTTTTGAAACACTATGTAATCTCTCCCCTGCAATATAATAAATATTTCACTTTCAAATCCTGATTCATTAAAGGAAGCCCAGGAGGGATAAATAATAAGGTGTCGCTTTACAGCCCAAATAAAACAGCAAAAGATATATTCTATAATTTATACTTCCGACTTTAGGTTGAGATAATTCATATATCATTTTCAGTTGGGGACCCAAAATGGTGCTGTGTCAGCAAATTGGCTGAAAAATAACTTTTTGCATTATTTTATGCCTTTCAGTAACGTGCCCTGGTTATCATACATCAACACTAGGTTGAGTTCTAGTGTCTCGGCGGCTCCTCCTAAGTCATTCCCTCTCCTAACCAGTGTGACTTTCTCTCCTTAATGCAGATGGAGCCCCTTGGTGGCATGCACATCCACATTCTCCCAGGCACAAAAGCAGAGCTCCAACTGGAATCAGCTTGACTGAAGCCATTTCTCTTGCCATTATTAGCACAACTTCAGTATTCTTCACCTTTAAGGATGAGAGAACTAAATTAACCTCAGCAGGAACCATGCTGTATGGCAATTTTCCAATAAAAAACAAACTTATATGTGTTTATATAGTACTTTATAGCCAGGGGTTTGGTGAGAAAAGCATAAGCTTTGGGATGAAGGACAAAAACATGTATTGAAATCCCAGCTCTTCCTCTTACCAGCTGGGTACTCTTGAGCAAGTTATTTAATCTCTCCAATCCTCAGTTTTCTCATCCATAATATGGGGATAATAATAATAATAATGGCTAGCCAAACAGAATTTAGAGAGTTTCAACTGAGGTGAAAGTAATAAATCATGATGAGCATTTACCATGAACTTACTATATGCATGCACGTGTGTGCACATCTACACACGAATGCCAGGTACTGTGCAAGCACTTTAGGTGGATCGGATTAGCTCATTAACATTCACCACAACCTCCATGAACTTGGCATTGTTGTGTTCCTTATTTTACACATGAATCTGCAGCTTGAGAAGTGAAACAATTTCTTTAAGATGGTCAGGTATTTAGAAAATAATACTTTGCTCAGTTTCTGTTTACAAAGTATTTGATCCATATCAAAGAAAGACGGGAGAATTTTTCTGAGAGAACAGGTCCACCTGCCCATAGCACCATGATGCCTGGGCCTTGTGGCTTTCCTTACTCACTTCAAAAGCCCTTTGGTTCAGGTGTTGAGTGGGCCTGTGGAGTCTTTGACTCCTTCAGGTCAAAAGCTAAAGTAAACATCTGCCTTTCTCTGCCAATCACCCTGCTACTCAACATACCCCAGGTTACTCCATTTGTCCTGGAAGGTACCACTTGAGACCAATCTTCTGTCCCACCCAATGATCTTCACTAGACATTAGACAAAGCTAGTCCTTCTCTGCCTGAAGAAAAAAGAAGAGGAGCCTCAGGAACACTCAAAACTGTGGGGTTCCAGCAGTGGTAGTGACATCAGGCAGACACATTATCCCTGCCAAAGGTCATTTGAGGGGCACTCATACGTCACCTAGGTTTACGTTTTCCTTTTCAACATCTGCAAAGTAATAGTGACCTGTGGGGTTAAAGTGACCTAGGCATATACAAGTTGGTATTAGCCCCTCAGTTAGTCCCTGAGCCTAGAACTCCTGGACTCACATTCTCTCCACTATACTGTGAAACCTCTCCATCCCAGCCCTGAACAATTCTCTACAGCAGTCACCAACAGTCTTGGGAGTCAATGTGCAATAATAGCGATAGTAGTAGGAGTAATAATAACAACAACAATAATAATAAAGGACATGGATTGAGAGTTTGCTATGTGTCAGACCCCATGTTTGATACGTATTAGTTTGTTTAATTCCTACAACAACCCTATGAGGAGATAACAACCCTATTATCCCCATTTTTACAGTTGAAAAAAATAAAGACTCAAAAAATAACTTTCCTATGTTACATTGATGCACTGAAATATTATTTAGTAATACAAAGAAATGAGCTATCAAGCCATGAAAAGACACAGAAGAACTTTAAATGCATATTGCTAACTCAAAGAGGCCAATTTGAAAAGGCTACATACTGTGTAATTCCAACTATATGACGTTCTGGGAAAAGCAAAACTATGGAAACAGCAAAAAGATCAGTGGCTACCAGAAGTTAGTGGGGAGAGAGGGATGAATAAGCAGAGGAGTTTTAGTAGTGAAGCTGTTCTGTATGGCATTATAATGGTGGATACATACCATTATACATTTGCCCAAACCCATAAAATGTACAAATCCAAGAGTGAGCTTTAATGTAAACTATGGACTTCGGGTGATAATGATGCATCAGTGTAGGTTCATCAGTTATAACGATTGTACCATCCTGGCAGAGGATGTTGATAGTGGGGAAGGCTGTGCATGTAGTGGGAGAAGGGGGTGTATAGGAACTCTCTGTACATTCCTCTAACTTTTACTATGAATCCAAAACTGCTCAAAAAAAAAGTCTATTCTAAAAGTCTCCAGCAATGAAAGAGATGCAAAAAGTTAAATAACAACCTTGTAACCTGTTAAAAAGAAAGAAAGGGAAGGAGGGGAGAAAGAACGGAAAGGAAAAGAAATAAGCTATCAAACCACAAAAAGACACAGAGGAAACTGAAACGCATATTCCTAAGTGAAAGAAGGTAGTCTGAAAAGACCACATACTGTGTGATTGCCATTGGGTGGGGACTGGGGAGAGGGAAGGATGAATAGATAGGGCACAGAGGATTTTGGGGGCATTGAAACTATTCTGTATGGTACTGTAATGGTGGATACAATACATGGCATTATATATCTGTCAAACCCCATAGAATGTACAACACAATGAATGAACCCTAATGTAAATTGTGGACTGTAGTTAACAATAGTCTACCAATATCGGTTCATCAATTCTAACAAGTGTACCAAATGGCTCATGATGCTAAATTAGGGGAAACTGCCTGTGGTAAGGGGTAGGGATGTATGGGAACTCGGTACTTTCTGCTCAATTTTTCTGTAAACTCAAACCGCCCTAAAAAAAGAGAAAGTGTATTATCTAAAAAGAAAGAAACAACAACAACAAAATAATTTTCTAGAACCACCTGGCCAGTAAGTAGGCAGCCAAGTTTTAAACTAAGACTTTTCTGGCTGCAAAGCCCATGATAAGAGATTTCAAGTCAAAAGACTCAACAATCTTTCATTTCAACTCTGTGTCTGAGTTCCAGTTTTCTCATTCCTAAAATGGGGACAAAAACAATTAATCCCTCTCTTGAGCGCCTTGCTCAGAAAATGCCAATAAAATGGTTTACTGTAAAGAATGGAAAAAATAATTGTAAACTGTAAAGTGCTGTGCACATTCAAGAAATCACCATCATTGACCTGAAATCCTGCCTACTGGTCCTTAAAAATAACATGGTTCTCTGAGAGCCTCTGCTGAGCTCACCTGGAAGGAGCTGTGTGGAGGGGGTCACAATGACCCTCCGTAGCCCAGGTCATTGGCCTCAACTGATTCAGGCTCAAAGAGGAAGGCTGAATCTCACTGGAGGTGCTGCAGTCTCCTGGCAGCCGAGGATGCAGAAGCTGTGGCTCCGCAAAGCTCTTAGAGCACAAAGAAGAGAAAGAGAGAGGGAGAGAAGAGCAGCGACAGCAACACCGGAACATTCATTTATCATAAGAGTGATTTCCCTGTTAATAAACTGACCTTGTGTAAACAGCTCAACTTCTCACAGCTCTCTCGTCATTAGGAGAGGGACACCCATTGATTGATCACGACCACATGGGCTGCTGAACTAGGGTGAACTGCTACTACCAAAAGAATTATATGTGACTGAGCCCAGCCCCTGAATCACAGAGAGGCAGGGCTGGAGGAGGGAGGTGCTTGGCACCAGCTTCTCCGTGGGCAAAGCAGCAGACTTGGTTCTAGGCAGTAGTAGGTCAGAGATGGGACTCCCCTCAAGATCCCTGACCCAGAGGCAGGAGTGGCCTCCCAAGGCTTGCGGCATCCTCAGGCCATGCTCTGCCGGCCCTAGCCTAGGAAGTGCCTGTAAAGATGACTCTTGCCTAGGAAGTGCCTGTAAAGATGACTCTTTCCTAACACCTCAGAAACAAAGGTCGAGGTTAGGCAGGACCTGAATTCCCTGGGTCTGTAATGTAAAAGCAGCCATTAAATGACTGCTGAGCACCAGTCTCACTCAATTTCTCCTGGGGATTTGACCTGACCCTCCCATGCTTCAGCACATCAAGGCCCCTTATTGAGGGGTCACCATTCACATAGCGTCAAAGCCATTGAGAAAAGGGGAGCTAACTGTGTCTCAGCCCCAACAGAGTAAGATCCATGGCTCCTCAGTGGAAGCCAGAAGGTGGATTTGGGAGATGGGAGTGGGTCCTCATGCCAGTGTGGGCCACACACTCGCTGTGTGACCGGGGACAGCGTGGGCCACACACTGTGTGATCGGGGACAGTATGTGCTACGCACTGGCTGTGTGATGGTGGACAGTGTGGGCCACGCACTTGCTGTGTGATCGGGGACAGTGTGGGCCGCGCACTGGCTGTGTGATCGGGGACAGGGTGGGCCGCGCACTGGCTGTGTGATCGGGGACAGGGTGGGCCGCGCACTGGCTGTGTGATCGGGGACAGGGTGGGCCGCGCACTGGCTGTGTGATCGGGGACAGGGTGGGCCGCGCACTGGCTGTGTGATCGGGGACAGGGTGGGCCGCGCACTGGCTGTGTGATCGGGGACAGCGTGGTGCGCGCACTGGCTGTGTGATCGGGGACAGTGTGGGCTGCGCACTGACTGTGTGATCGGAGACACCTGGCCTCACCTCTCTGAGGTGAGGGTTAAAGTGGTTGACCTCCAAGGTGACATCTGTTTCTAAGAGTTATGTCTGGGGCTTCTCTTCACTAAACATATAGATATTAAAGCAATTATTTAAACTAATAAGGTGAGCAACTGGAGTGGAAAATCACCTCATATTAATGCAGCCCTCTGCTCCCTTCCCCAGTTGTTTCTCTCTGCCCCCAGAAGCTGAAATTTCATTTGGCGTTTTTCAATTTTTGAAATTTTACAAGAAGATCTTATTTTCTTCAAAGACAAAAGACATCTTTTAACCCCCTTTTCATGTTTTCGTAGGTCTGGAATCCTGAGAGAGGGACACTTCTATCTTCCAGGAAAAAAAGGAGATTATAGGAGAGAATCAAACCCACCATCACCCCGTTTCCCTCCTAGTAGAAGCTTCCAATTCCCAGGCAGTGCTCTCAGCCCTAGAATTAACCCCCATTATGTTGCATAGCAGCCAGCCAGGAGTAAGTACAATGCAAGCAAAGGGCTTTTTGATGCACTGATACAATTTGGTGAACGTGGCATTTTTTTTTTTCTCTCACTCTTTCTTTTCAACAGAATTGCTCTTACCTTTTGTTCCATTTCTTTAAGGGCCACTGCTCTCAACCCAGCTATCACTGAATCTTCACTGAGGTGGTAGTTTAAAAAAGACTCAAGTTCTCCCAGCTCCTAGGAAAATCTGCATTTTAACAGAGAACTCATTTTTTTTTTTTTGAGATAGAGTCTTGCTCTGTCGCACAGGATGGAGTGCAGTGGTGAGATCTCAGCCCACTGCAACCTCTGCCTCTCGGATTCAAGTGATTCTCCTACCTCAGCCTCTTGAGTAGCTGGGACTACAGGCATGCACCACCATGCTTAGCTAATTTTTTTTTTTTTTTTGTATTTTTAGTAGAGACAGGGTTTCATCATTTTGGCCAGGCTGGTCTTGAACTCCTGACCTTAGGTGATCTGGCCACCTCAGCCTCCCAAAGTGTTGGAATTACAGGCATGAGCCATGGTGTCTAGCCAACAGAGAACTCCTAAAGGTTAAAAACCTTCAAAGGTCAAGGAATGACTTTCAGACATTAGGACAGACACTAGGACAGAGCTCTGGCTGGGGTGCACTGCCCAGACAGTATCCTCTCAATCTACTTCTTGCAGAGGCCCACCTGCAGGACTTGGTAGAGACAGAGTCCCTTCTCCCTCAGTAAAGACAGTGTCTCCCTGTCCACTATGCTATAGTTCTCTCACATGGCAATGAGAAAGACCTGGGTTATACCTGAAGCATATCCTGACTAGGAAAAAAGAATGCATCCTAGAGCCAGTGAGGGTTTCCTCTCTTAGGAATCTGCAGGGCCATCTAGATGAGGAGTGGGGAGAGGAGGTGCCTGGTCTTGGGGTTAACTTCTGGGGGGGTTTTAATTTGCATAAATACAAACAAAAGTTAATAGAGTAATTTGCTTCAACAAATAATAATTGAGACTCAACTGTTTAAGAGGCATTGTGTGGAAATTCAGATGGGAAGCAAGGGATGGAGAGGATAGTTTTAAAAAGCAAAAAAGATATGATTGTCATCCTCAATAAGCTCAAAGCCTAGTGGCCAAGATCACCACATGCACAGCATACCATAATACCACATGTTAAATATTATATGAAGAAAGTGCCATGCAGAAAGGAGAGCAATTAATCCACCAAAATGTCCAGAGAAGCCTCAAAGAGGCATCTGAACTGCATACTGAAGAATGAAGGAGAGGAAAGGAATGAGCAGGGTTGGTTGAGACAGAGAGAGACAGCAGCAAGCACAAAACACATACAGGCATAAAGAAAATGGCATATTGGGGGACTCCAAAAATAATTTGCCTAACTAGAGTGATTTCCCACAAGGGGGCCGGCCCCCTTCCAAGTTCTTCTCCTTCTCCAGGCAGATACCTGTCCTGGTGCCACTGCCATTCACCCCATTGGTCTTGTGTAGGAGGCTTTCCAGTAAGAAGCCAGACTGCAATCATTGGATAGGGATGAATGCAGAAGCCCTCAAATGCTGTGCTGAGAGTTTGAGTTTCATTTCAAGCCACCGACATTCTACAGTTAAGGGCAGCTCCTCTCCAACTTCTCCCCAGACATACCACTAACAGCAGAAGGAAATGAATGAAACTATATGGTTAGCAGCCTTAGGAAGTCCCTGCTGCAGAAGAATGTCCTGGAAGTTTTGGTTTTATCTTTAAAATTCTTGCCAATTTTGATTTTATACTAGAATTTATCCATGTTTTTCTCAATGTAAAAGTAACATTTGCATTCACTTCCTACTGAGTAACAGGAGGACTTGCCATGGTCACCTTGTGGATTCTCCTACCCCCAGCACACTGGCAGAGGCCTCCTGGTGTACTGCTGCTCCATTTTGAGAGGCAAGACATGAGGGCCAGGGGGTGCCATGCTCACTAGAAAGGAGGCAATGGCAAGAATGGGCTGGAGGGGGACAAAGCTGAAGGCAGGAAGACCAGGCAAGAGGTGACCTTGGCTAAGGAGGACAACAGTGATAGAAAGGGAGAGAGGTGGATACAAGGGAGGTTGCAATATAGAGTTGACTGAACTTGCTAAGTGTTGGTCATTGAGTGGGAGAAATAACAGTCCCAGAGAAGTTTTTTCCCATGGTGCTTACTGTAGTCACTGTTGCTGTGTAACAGATTATCTCTAAACTTAGCAATTTCAAACAACTATTTTATTAAACTCAGATTCTGTGAGTTAGGAATCTAGAAGGGCACAGCAGGGATGACTTGTCTCTGCTTCATGATGTCTGAGCTTCAGCTGGGAAGACCCGAAGGCTGGAGTGATTCCACAGCTGGGGCAGGACAACCTGTTTATTGGCCATTTGTATATCTTCTTTTGAAAAACATCTATGTCATTTGCCCACTTTTTAATGGAATTTTTTTTTCTCTTGCCGATTTGTTTGAGTTCTTGCAGATTCTGAATATTCGCTCCTATGTCTGGTGGCTGGTGCTTCCTGGCAACCCAGAGCTCAGCTGAGCTGTGGACTGGAGCCACACAGCCTGGGCTGGTTTGGGCTTTGTCCCAGCAGAGTGGTTGGGATCCCAGTTCAAGCATCTCAGGACCAACATGCATGGCATTTTTACCTAGCTTCAGAAGTCACAGAGCATCACTTCTCCTGTGCTCTGTTGGCCAAGGCTGCCATAAAGGTCTGCTCAGGTTCAGTTAGACTCCATCACTGGATGGGAGGAGTGCCAAGGTCACATTCTAAGAACAGCATGTGGAATGGGAGGATTTTGTGTGACCATCCTTGGAGAAGACAATCTGCCACAATGCTCTACCGAGAAACTCCTTTGTCAATTTTCAGTGACAGTTTAAAAAGCCCATCTTAGCAACTGTGAACAATTAAGAAAGAGTTCTTGTTGGTTTCACCTTTGCCTTCTCCCACAACACCTAGCATCCTATCTTGTTCTCAGAAGGGTTTAGTAAGAATGTGGACGATGAATGAATAAACAAATGAATGGGAAACAGATTGTTGGAATGTCTCCACGATACCTGACACACATATCTGCCTGGAAAAACTGGAGCTCAATGAAGGAAGGGACCACTTAAGGAAAGTTGATGTTATTGCTCTCACATCCCTGCTGTATGTTCTCAGCTAACCCAGCAATCCATTATTTATGTGTAGCCTAATTAAGGTTGTGAGTGGCTTGATCCTTGTTTACTTAAGTATATCCCGGAAGATTGCCAAGATTAAGTAAAATTACCTCTAGGCAGGCAAACCTCACAGGGGCCAGGCTAGAAGAAAGGAGAGCCCGAGAAGCTGCCCCAGGTCTTCTGGGAGAGCCAGTGCCTCAGAAAACTTCATCTCTCTTTTTCCAACATACCCACACATCACATGCCCATGCCACATCTCCCCTGCCGGGGCACAATAGAGCACACACGTGCACAGGCATCCATGAACTCGTCAACATGCACATGGGGCTACTTCTGTGTAAATGCATTCTCACACAAATGTTACTGCTCCTGTAGTTGTTACTGCCAATTCCAGTTCACTTAATAAAGATTCAGATAATCTAGACCAAACAAAACTCAGTGAAGTCTGAAACTAACTAATCGAAAACGATTAGCTCCTCTCAGCCTCTGAATCTAGCCTTTTTTCTTGTAAAACCAAAGGCCAGTTCTTATTTTGATGCTGGCCTTGTACATTTAATGAAGAGAGAAGCAGATTGGCTTTAGCAGCAAGGATAGGTTAATATTTTTGAATGATTAGTAGCAAATTAGAAAACCTTTCAAAAGGCCATTTTTATTTTTTTACCTCTACCCCTGAACCTGTTCTTTGGAATAATAATTAACCCAGCAGTATCCAGCTTGTACTCAAAGTTAACAGGACTCCTCATTCATGGGAAAAAGTTTGTGTTTGCTCAAGCTCATAGCCAAGAGACTATAGGGTGGCTCAGAAACTCAGAGAAAGAAGAGTATTCTTGGCTGCCACTCATCCTTCAGCTGGTACAAAAGAAATGCCATTGGCAATTGGTTGTCTAGCATTGAGGCCTGGAGGACAGTGATGGAGACAGAATCCGCATCAAGAGGGAGTAAATGCATGGAAAAAAACAAGCTTTCTCAATGTTGAGGAAGTGTAGACACATTTGAAATGCATTCATTTATTTGTTTATATAACACCACTTATTGGCAGTATCGCTATCCCGGGAACAGTGCTAGTCTCTTTCCTCTGGTTACTCACAGTTTGGCAGGTGACATAAATAAATGGAAGAGTTGATTACTGAATGACAGTGCTACAGCGGAGTTAGGCACAGGGAGTTATGAGGGTGCATAGCAGGAGATTTTCAGCCAGTTTCAGGGTCTGAGGCAGTCTCCTGGAGGTTGGTGAGGGCTAAGCTCTGAGTGAGTTGATTGTGGGGTTGGGGCAGTGGGGAGAGTGGGAAGAAATGGGGATAGAGGATGTGTCAGGGGATGGCCGCAGTACATAATATCCTGGAGAAGCAACTGTATAAACAAATGCATAAAAATAGCAATAGTAGAAATAGTAGTAATGGCACTACTATCATATACATCTGGCATAGTATTAAGAGCTTTCTTCCTTCTATCTAACTTGTTGAGGAAAAAAAGAAAAAAAAAGAGCTTTGTGTGGATTATTGCACTTAATGCCAAAAACAAATCTAAATTCTCTTTATTACACACAGAATGTAACTAAGTCACACTGATATTAAGGAATTTTCCAAAAGTCACAGGCGATGAACTTGAAACTTAAACCCCAAAAGAGAATTGGGCTCCAGTCTTCATATTCTTAGTGTCTGTGCTCTCCTGCCAGCCCCACTAAGGCAACTTTTGTTCTTTATTCTGTAAACAATTATAGGTAGTGAGGAATTTTAATCAGAAATATAACATAGAGTTGTGTTTTAAAGGCCAGTCTGGCTGCAGAGTGGAAGGGAATTGGAGAATGGTAATGGTGAAGGCAAAGTAACCAATTAGGAGGGTTTTGGGTTCAAAGTGGGAGAATGTAAGTGCCTGAGCTGGGGGTGGAGATCAGAAGGAAGGGTCTAATTTGAGGAATGTTTGAGATAAAATCTTGAAGAGTATCTATGACTGTTTGAAAGAGAGGGATGGATGAGAAAGAATCTAGGTGATGTCTACATATATGGACAGAATGGCTAGAAATGCCACCAGCCACCTGGAAAACACTGAAGGCAAGGTAGACCTGCAGATCAGAAGGTAAAGGGAGACAGGTATCCCCTCAAGCCCTGGGCTTGTTGATGCCAAAGTACTGTGGGACATCCACAGATGAGTAGAAATCTGGTGGATGAACCAGCAGTTGAGCTAAGAGGTCAGAGCTGAATATATTACTCACATGAAGTTGGTGGCTAAATGCAAGAAAGAAAACTCTGTACTGTTTTCCATAGAGGTTGTTCTAATTTACATTCCCATCAACAGTGTACAACCTTCCCTTTGCAATGCATCCACACCTGTTGTTTTCTGACTTTTTAATAACAGCCATTCTGACTGAGATAAGGTGTTATATCTCATTGTGGTTTCAATTTACATTTCCCTGAAGATTAGTGAGGTTGTGCATTTTTTCACATGTTTATTGGCCATTTGTATATCTTCTTTTGAAAAACATCTGTGTCATTTGCCCACTTTTTCATGGAATTATTTTTTTTTCTCTTGCCGATTTGTTTGAGTGCTTGCAGATTCTGAATATTAGCTTTTTGTCAAATATATGGTATGCTTTGTAAATATTTTCTCCCATCCTGTAGGTTGTCTGTTTACCCTGTTGATTATTTCTTTCACTGTGCAGAAGCTTTTTAGTTTAATGAAGTTGCATTTATTTATTTTTGTTTTTCTTGCATTTGTTTTTGGGGTCTTAGTCATAAATTCTTTGCTTAGGCCAATGTCCACAAGAGTTTTTCCTAGGTTTTCTTCTAGAATGTTTATGGTTTTAGGTCTTAGATTTAAGCCTTTAATCCATCCTGAGTTATTTTTCCTATGTGGTGAGAGATAGGGATACAATTTTATTCTTCTGCATGTGGCTATCCAATTTTCCCAACATCAATAAATGATGTTGCCTGCTTTATCAGTGATCATTTAGCTGTATGTATTTGGCTTTATTTCTAGGTTCTCTGTTCTGTTCCATTGGTCCATGTATTTACTTTTATACCAGTACCATACTGTTTGGGTTACTATAGCTGTGTAGTATAATTTGAAGTCAGGCAACGTGATACCTCTAGATTTCTTTTCTGCTTAGAATTGTTTTGGCTGTCTGGACTCTTTTTTGGTTCCTTATGAATTTTAGGATTGTTTTTTCTAATTTTGTGAAAAGCAGCATTGGTATTTTGATAGGAATTGCATTGAATCTGTAGACTGCTTTGGGCATTATGGTCATTTTCACAATTATGATTATTCCAATCCATGAGCATGGGTTGTTTTTCCATTTGTTTATGTCATCTATGATTTCTTTCATCAGTGTTTTGTGGTTCTTCTTGTAGAGATCTTTCAACTCCCCGGTTAAGTATATTACTAGGTATGTTTTTTCTTTTGGAGCTATTATAAATAGAGCTACCATTCAATCCACAAATCCCACCACTGGGTATCTACCCTAAGGAAAGTAATCACTGTCTAAAAAAGACAACTGTACTCCTATGTTTATCACAGCATAGTTCACAATTCCAAAGATATGTAATAAATCAATGTGTCCACCAGATGAGTGAAGAAAGAAAACATTATATATATATATATATATACACACACACACACACACACATATACATATAAAGTCGTGTGTGTGTGTGTGTATGTGTGTGTATATATATATATATATATTTCCACTACTGGGTATCTACCCAAAGGAAAAGAAGTCACCGTATATATATAGAATATATACACACCACAGAATACTGCTCAGGCAAAAAAAATATGAAATTATGTGTTTTGCAGCAACTTGAATAGAACTGGAGGCCATTATCCTAAGTTAAATAACTCAGAAATGGAAAACCAACTAACATATGTTCTCACTTATAAGAAGGAACTAAGCTATGGGGGCACAGGGACATACAGAGTGGTATAATGGACATTAGAGACTCAGAAGGGGTAAAGGTGGGAGGGAGATAAGGGATGAAAAGTTACCTATTGAGTAGAATGTACACTATTTGGGTGATAAGTACATTAAAAGCCCAGACTTCACCACTATGCAATTCATTCATTTGTACCCCTAAATCTATTGAGATAAATAAATAAATATTAATAACAACAACAACAAAAAATAAAACCAAGGGAGGTGGTGAGATTTCCCATGGAGGGAAGGGTGTATGGGAAGAACAGGAGGCCTAGAGAACAACTACATTTAAAGGGCAGGCAGAAAAAGAGAAGTTGGAAAGTGGTCCAAGAGAAAAATATCTAAGAGTTAGGAGGAGAACCTGGAAAAAAAAATGGAGCCACGAAGGATAAGAGAGCAGAAAGTTTCGGGGAGAGAGTAACGATTACATCTAATGATACAGAGAAGTCCAGAAAAAGGACTGAAAAATGTCCTCTGGGTTTTAAAATATGTAGTCCTTCAGTGACCTGTGACAGAACCATTCAGTGAGGTCATGGAGTAGGGGAAGGAAGAGGAAATAAGCCAGGTCCCAGAGAATGGAGTGAATGAGAGGGATGAAAACAGATACAGTAGAATAATCTTCCAAGCAACTTGTTTAGGTAGGAAAGGAAAAAGACAAGGGACCCAGGATCAAGGGAGAGTTGTTTAAGATTGGAGAAATCTGAGCTTCTTTAAAAGATGAAAAGAAGAAACAAGCAGAAAGAAGCTGGTAATGTGAGAGAAAGAAAGCATAACAAAGAAATGAGGTCCCAGGCTGATGAAAGAGGACAGAGCATGGTGGGAAGTGGGCCTTGAGCAAAAGAAGGATCCTTCCTCTGATCGCAGGAACTGGGGAAGAGGTATGTAAGTCCCAATGGGGAGGGCATCTGGGAGACAGGGTTCTGTCACTTCAATTTTCTATTTTTTTTTTTTTTAATGAAGCAATGGATGAAAATATCTGCTTAGATAGTGAAGGAAGAAGATTGGAAGGAAGCTTGGGAAGAGAGAAAAGGATGAGAGGTGGGGAGGGGGAAGGGAAGGGAGCTGCCCAATAACAAAATAACTGGCCAGCTGCACTACAGATTTAAGATTGCCACCTAGTTATGGGACTGTGCCTTGGAATTCTCAACAATTCAGGCCTAGAGGCAAAGACTGTAGACCCATTGCAGAAGTTTGCCAGCAAGGTGGAGTATAAAATAGAGTCCATGAGATACATCAACCCTAAAATCACTGGTGAGCCAAGCCACCACCATGCCTGTGTGCATATTAAAGGAGCCAGTGCATGTGAGGTATGTGGTGCAGTGACCGGCATGGAGTCAGCCCTCAATAAATGTTGGCTATTGGTAATACCAATCGGTTGGTGATTTCCAAGATCATTCCCTATGTTAAATTATAAAACCCAATATTCTCCTTCTTTTGCTCTACTATGCGATTCTACTAAAGAAGGAAAGTAGAGATACAGGTTAACACCTTAAATGAGAGTTTAAGATTAATTGCCCCCTGCCCCTAAATTTTCCAACAGGAAGGGCTGGAAGATATTCATGAAGGCTATTAAAGAAGATGATAGAATTCTGGATGAAATTAGGATCTGGACAGATTCCTGTATGTCTAGAATGGATTTGATGTGGCCCTTCTTTGAAGCAAGGGATAACCCCCAATCATGGGGTCAGTTTATTCTCTAAATGGAAAAAGCAATGACACCCCACAATGCTAAATCCAGTCTACTAATAATGGCTGCCTAGAGTACTGCAATGTAGGGGCATATTTACTGTCCCCAGTCTAGCCCCAACCCCTCCCTCTACATATGGGAAACTGAGGCCCAGATGAGGGAAATGCCCCGGTCAGCTCTTTAGTTGCAAACTTGGACAATGAGCCAAATTTTCCAACTTGCCCAAGTTCTGCCTGGCACACCATGGCACCATTTCCAAACATTACTTCAATGACTACTAAGGACCTAAAAACTGTAGCAAAGACCCAGAAGCAGCAGATTTATGAATTGAGGCCGTGTTTCCACATCTAGGCACCAGGGAATTACCGTTTAGCATAAATAAGCCAGAGCATAACCTAGAGTAATCCTGGGCAAAAACAAAGTGCTCGGGGAGCCGGAGTCCCTGCTGTGAAATACTAAGTGTGCAGTTTAAGCCTATTTGAAGCATGTAAAGGCCTAAGGGCCTGCACATGGGCACTGATAGCTTTAAGGAGAGGCTATTTTAGTTGGAACAACTTTGTTTGGCACCTAATGCTTATCAAGCACCGAGGGTGGTAGGCCCAATTATAGAATTAACATTGCTCATATCTGCTGAGCCAAATAGAAAGCAACGACTCTATAAAGGGGCTAAGCATCCAAAATAAAACAGGGGAGGGAGAGCCCGCTAATTGCTCTCATTGTTTTTTCCAGCAGCGTGGTGCCAGTCTCAGAATCTCCTAAGCAGATGGAAGGAAGGTAGGGGTAGAGAAGGGATAGGGAAATAACTTCGCTTCATCAAATTCCTCCTCCCACTCTGTATCTCTCTCTCTCTCTCTCTCTCCTCCCCACTATCTCTTCCCCTCCCTCTGTGTCTCTCTCTCCTGGCTCCTTTTGTTCAGTCTGTCAATGCTTCAAGTCCGTCTACCACTACTGTCTCCCCTGAGCCTAGTCTATGAGTAGGGTCAGTTTGGTGAAATAAAAAGAGCATCAGTCAGAGAGATATGAGTTTGAATTATTCCCTCCCTAATACATGCTATGCAATCTTGGTCAAGTTACTTAACCTCTCTGAGTCACATATGAAAATACGCTCATATGAAAATAAGAGAAAATACTCTAATATTTACCTTTTACTTTCATTCTAAAAAATAAATAAGATGGCAATTATTAAAGGCTTTAGCATGCTATGTCTTGCCCAGGGTATTCATAAACTCTAATGTCACGTGGAGTCAGCCTGTCCTCTGAGATTCAAGTGTTCAAATGAAATAATTGACTGCACCTCAACCCCATGTGTAGGGGAAAACCCAGTCTCTCCAAAGGCTCTTGGAGGGGGCATTTATGCTTCTTCTGGTTACCTCTGAATTAGTTCAGTTTGGAATTTATTTTATTATGTAAAGATAATTATCCCCTTTCCACTCCACACAAACTAACACTGGACACCACTCTGATTCCTTCATTCCTCCAAAATATTCTTGCTGTGAGACTGTGGGTACAGCAGGCTTTTACTTAAATGTGGGGGAACAGAAAAGTTTGCATCATGATATGCCAACAACCTCAATTGATTGTAACATCTCTCTCCACTTTTAAATGTCCTTCATTTAAAGGACAGGACTTCCTCACTGTCTCTCTCTGTGCACATTCCAGCCTCCTGCCACCTTGTTTCCCCACTCCTTCCCTTCCTCTTTCATGTCCTCCCTCTTCTTTCCGCCCATCTCCATCCCCAAATTCCTTTATTTCTTATGCAGAACGGTTTGGTTATTTCTTTATCTTGCTGTGTCTTAGCATACCAGGGCTTCATCTTTCACACTTAAAACACCCTGTCAAAGTATTTTCCTCAACAAAGTCAGTCCTCTCCCTAGGAGGAGTTCTGGTGCCAGCTGTTAATGCAACAATTATGTTCTCCCCACTACACATATCCTCAATCAATAAATGTTAGGAGCCTCTCTTCTTCATACTAAAAAAAGTCTTCTCTCAGACCACCTTCCCCCATGCTCTTTGTACCATCTCTAGAAGTCTCATGAGAGAAGAAGCCATCCTCTCTTCCTGCTCACCCCATTCCCTTCTCAGCAAGCTGCTCCCTGCCACCACTCTGAGACTACTCTCGGAAAAGTCAGCTTTAATTTGCCAAATCCGATGACCTTACCCGGTTACCTGTGTTTGCTGTAGCAATTGACACTGTTGACCATTGACTACTTCCAAAAATGCTCTCCCAGTGGGTCTCCCCATTGCTGTCATCCCCACTTCTCCAAGCATCTCTGACCAACATTTTTCAGTTCCTTCTTGGGATGTTCCTCCCTCACCCACCTTGGATGTTGTGTGCTTTGCATTCCCATCAGTAACTCTCCTGTCCTCTGTCTCTATGTGGACTTCCCAGCCATCTTATCCATTCCAACAGTTCAACCCCTTCCAAGAGGCTGATGAGACCAACATGTTTCTCTTCAGCTGTAATTCTCCACCAAGCTCTCACTCCCATTTGTCAGCCCCTCCTGGAAAGCTCTAACTGAATAAGGAACAGGCACCTCCAACTCACAAACCCAAACCATGTCATTATCTTCTCCACCCCCTCTGCCAAAGCATGCTCCTCTGGCATTACCACATTCCATTAGGGAGTCCTGAGCCCTTCAACCCCCTCCTGGCATCTATTGATGCATTCGGTAAACATGTATGGGACCTTTCTCCCCCAGTAATCTCATTCATTCCCATGACTGTAAATAGCATTGGTAGGCTGACAACTCCAAAATTTATTCCTCAGCAGAGCTCTCCTCCTAGCTACAGATTTCACATCCTGCCGCACCCTCAACAGCAACTCCTCTGACGTATCTCCTAGCTACCTCACTCAATATATCCAAAATAAGACTCTTACCTTCTCTCCACTGTAATACTGTTCCTTTCCCAATTGAACCCATATTGGTAAATAGCACCTCCCATCACACAATTACCTAAGCTGAAAACACAGACATCACCTTGATTCCTTCCTTTCCCCACTCATGCAGTTTCACCTATTAGCAATGCTCATGACTTCTTGTTCTAAAATATATCCAAAATCCGTCATTTTTTCCCCACTTTCATTGCCACCCCCATGATCTAGGCTGTAATCATGTTTTCTGTGGATGACTAGAGTATCTTACTCCCCTCCAAATTCATCCATGCCCTGCACAAGGAAATTTTTAAAAAACATAAACAGGATCATGTCATTTATCTTCTTCAAACCCATCAGTGGCCTCCACATTCCTTACCATGTCCTGTAAGCCTTTGTCATCTCTCCATTCTTTGTACTCCTCTCCAGGTCTATTCGTAATGACTAGATTTCTTTCAGATCCTCAAATAAGAAATAAGCCAAGCTCTTTTTAGCCTTGGAGACTCTGTGCTCCCTTCCTCTTCTGACTATGAAGCTTTTTTCAAGGTTGGCTCCTTCTTAAACTTTAGACCTCAGCTTAAATTCACCTTCCTAATAAAATCCACTATAATTTTTCATCACTTCACCCTGGACCTTTAATAGCATTTAACCATTTTTTGGATTTTTTTTTTTTTGGCTTGTTTACTGCTGATCTCCTCCATGAGGAGAGGGACCATGTCTGCTTTGTTCACCACTGGATTCTCAGCACAAAAAACATTATGCGGCACATAGGAATTGCTCAGTAAATATTTGTTGAATGAATGGTTGGAAAAATAAATGCATTTATAATATGCATAAAATGTTGGGTAAGACACAATCCTTGTTCTCAAGGGATGAGCCACCCAATAGAATAAAAACTCATAATTGCAATACAATGGAGTTATTTCTTCTGTGAGAGGCAAGGTCAAAAATAGTATAGAAATACAGAGGTAAACCCTGCCTAGCAGGGGAAGAAGCATGGAGGACTTCACAGAAAGCTAACAAATAGATGGGGTGGGCAGAGTATAAGATACAGATTTGGTAGATTTTTTTTTTTTTGGCTGATTGAATTGAAATTGAAATTTATGCTTGCATTTTAGCTTGAAGTTAAGTCAGGTAATCACCTGATGCTGGAGATAAGAGCTGGAAATTTGTGGTACCAATATAAAAATACAGTCTCAGTATTTGTAGAAAATAGTTAATTTGCTGCTATGTAAAATGCATTTCTTCTACCTCACCCTCCAAAAAGAGTGTCCAAAAATTATACTCTGTCCAATGTGCCAATATTATCAATGGAAAGCCACATGCTGCAGATGTAACTCAATGAATTGGATTAAGGACAGAGCAAGGGCCATGCCACATCACTACACTTCCTTGTTGGCATATATGATTGTTCTCTTAGGCTATGTTATGCTGTGGTAGCAAGTGTGCCCAAAATCTTGGTGGCTTCCACAGCAGGTTTATGTCTCACTCACATTACTTGTGTGTTGAATTTATCTTTATTCCCTCACCCAGACTGAAGCATCAGCTCCTATTAGTGACATGGTGGTCTGGAGACAAAAAGGGAGAAAGAAAGTGTAGAACCAAGTGATGGCTCTTAAAGCTTACGCTTGGAGATAACTAATGTCATTAGTGTTTCACTGGCTAAAGTGGATCACATAGTCAAGACTGGCATCATGGAGTCAGGGGTGTAAAATCCCTGCAAGCATTCTGTGATAAAAATATAATCTACCACAGCCTATACAATCCAAATTCATTGCTTACAGTATTTCATCACTGTAAGAATGCCAAGAAATATTTGTGTATGATCTAAATAGGAAATGTACCTAGACGTAAAACAACAGCTGATGCTACTGATGGAATGAGGCAGCGGAAAATAGCCAGCAAAGACACAAACTTCATGTCCTATTGGTAGACTAGCTCTGCAGAGCCCAAATTTAGGATTTCCTGAGGTTTTCAGTATATGACATCCATAGGAGGAAGATAGCCCTTTCTTCTTCCAAGACCAAATTAATATAAATTTCAATCCATAAATAAGAAGTATTTGTTTTTTTTCTTCAAAATACGTGATTTTGGAACAAAAATAGAAGCATTTTATATGCCTACATATTTTTCAAGCTGGCAAATACATACAAAAGTTTTTGGTTGGCTTCAAGAATTAGAAAGCTTTTCTTTGTCTGTGATAGACATAGTTAAAAAAATAAATTTAGGGTCAGAGCCAGCAGCTTCTCAACCATATCATTAAGTGCAAATTCAAACAGACGTTTTAGAGGGAGGAGAAGGAGCCTACCATTTAATTAAAGCAAATACTCAAGTACAAGCTCCTCAATAACAGAGAACGTGTCATACATATTTTTGAATCCCCAGCACTACTGTAGTGCCTGGTACCCAGTAAGTGCCCAATAACTGTTTCATGCTAACATTTTTCTGGAGGGCAATTTATTTCAAATTCAAAATGCTCATTCAGGTTGACCCTGAATTCCAAGTTTAAAGATTTACCCTAAGAAGATAATTGGAGATGTGCACAAAGAAAATAATTAGAAATGCATATGTTTATCACAGCCCTATTTATAATATCATAAATTATTAATAATTAAAACTAGTCAAACATGTTACAGTATGTTATAATAAAATACTATATGAAAAGCTGTTTTCAAAGAACACTTAATTGTAACAGAAATGAATTATGTTATGTGGGAGAAAATGTTACTGGTTAAAAAAACTAGTAGATATAATCTCATTTTAATAAAATATATACTAAATATGTGTGCACATATATATCATATATAGACATATGTACTTACATGCATATCTAAATGAGACAGAAAAAAGTTATCTCTTACAAAGGAAAAAAAATGTATGTTCCTTGCAAGCTCCTCCTGGCTTTTAAGATAGAGGATGCTAAGATGGGTTCTTTGTTTACCCAGTGGAGACAGACATGGGAGGGTGCAGAGAGAAAAGAGGCTGGAGCTGGGACAAGACGGGCTCTGGGTGGCAGGTCTAATGATAGGCAGGGAGCTAAGGCAGTTGACATTGATGGGAATTAGAGGCACAGCAAAGACCCCAGATGTCTAGTGGAGATTTTGTATTCAGTTTTGCTGTGTGGTATGTACTGTATCTTTCTCCTTTGCCTCCCCCTGAAGATTTCAACAAAAGCTTCATTTTTCTCTTCTACTTTGTGCAGGTAGATTTGCTTTGAGAGGAGATGACCGAGTGCTGATTCTTGCTCAGGAGCAGGAAGCAAGGCTGTGTAAGGGGCCCAGCCACATCTGGGAGATTACAATAAAAGGAAATGCACCGAAATATTAGACCATCATTAGCTTTGGGTAGAAAGAAAAGAAGGTGATTCTCATTTCCTTCTTTGTACTTTAATGGATTTTCCACATTTCTGCAATGAATATGCATTACTATCATAATCAAAAAAATGTTCTTTTTAAAAAATAATTTGATGTTGAATGAATGAATAGGTGAATAAATCAATGAATGAATGAATTAACTAATTAGCGAAATGATTGACCGGGGCAACAGAAGCAAAAGCAGGATTCTAATTGACAAATTTGCTTGTTCTTATTTCCTGCTGTGGACATTAGTCAGTGTCTCTCTTTAGATGAGACATATTTAAAAAAAATACTCTTCAGAAGGAAGCAAGCAATGTTTTCATATTCTCTACTCTCCAACATTTGCAAAATGCCTTCATCCCATCCAACTTGGGTCATGCTTGACATGCCTCTTATCTTTTCTCCCAGGGTCTGTGGCCAACACCCCCAGAATTCACTAGCACAGAATTCCATGAAAATCGAAGAAAACCAGGCAAGAGATAGAAGAAACAGCATATACAAAGAAGCCTACTGACTGCTGGCTTTGAAATTCTGTGGCACTGTGTTTCTATGCAGCCCTATAATATTGTGTGTGTGTGTGTGTGTGTGTGTGTGTGTGTGTGTGTGTGTATGTTATACATATAGAGGCATAAAGGCAAGGCTACAAATTGAAAACATATTTAACATACACCCAAATACATTTGATCTGAACCAGTGCCAAACCACATGTGTTGAATGTGTCAACAAACTGTCTGATTTGTTCCTACCTTACACGTAAACACTGTCAGGCCGGGCTGAAAATCAGGTGTGCTGTGTTGGATGGAACCTACAAGGGCTTCTATAGAAAGCATATTGTTTACCCATATGGGCTGGTGGAGATGGCAGCTGGGTGAGGGGAGGAACTTGCCACCTGCCAGGCCAAGAGACAAGCGGCCTGCCCTGGAGTCCTGGAATCCAAGCTGAGGACAGCTCAAGGGCACAGAGAGCTTTCTGGAATATTTGGGGAGGATGATTACTGGGTAGACTCTTAGAGAGGAGAGGAGAGGGAGTGAGAGGGAGCAAGAAGCCTGCCTGACAAAGCTGATTTTTTTTGTACAGATGCTGCTGGCAGAAGAACAGGGTGGGAGCAGTGTGTTCAGCTACATTAGTCAGGGATAGAGTTTTAATAGGCTGCAGAAGGAAATGATGACGGCAAAGTTAGGAGCAGTGAGTAACTCAATTTGAGAGAGCCAAGCTCCCCGGGAGATGACAGCCGAGGCACTATTTTTCTGTTTGGCTCCGTGGGGGCAGGGTCGGTGTTGGGGTCATGGCAGACACTGGCATTGGGAACAAACAAACACAAGCCAGGGCCTCTGGGAGGTGACCCTGTAGCTCCTCCTGCTGTGACACCATGACATACTGGGGCTCATCAGCAATGCCAACCCGTATGGAAATGATCCCAAGCAGCTGGGGAAAGAGCTGTCATTTATGGCTATAGGAGGGGAAGGAGAATGCTGTTCCTTAGGAGGCTTTGTACGTGGATGGCACATATTTTTATAAGAGAAGCCTTTTAACTGCTTCAAGAGTTAAGGAGAGAAACCACCACCCCAAGAATGTAGAAGGTAACACAATGAGGTGCCGGTGGCCAGTGAGCCCAGTAAAGGGGCAAACTGGTGACAAGGGTGCCAGGACTCAGGGTGTCTGCATGTAAGTTAGTAAAAGGTGTCTCCCCTATGGGTGGAGGATGTGTGGCTGGATGGAAAGGAGAGCGGGATGGATTCAGCCTTCACTTGTTCCTCTGACTGAGCAGCCTTGTTCAGGGTAAGGTAGAAACAAATCAGGGTATGATCAGGATATGATCAGGGTATGATCTTAAGCAGCAGCCCTGAAGCCTAGCCTTCAATAAACAAACTCCTTGGTGAGCCAGCTCCAACATGACCATCCAGCCTAGTCTCATATGACACTTGCTGCAAACCCACACCCCAGCAGAACTAACCATTCTCCCGGCTTGCCTTGACTTTCCCACATTTAGAATTTTGTTCCTGCTGTTCTCTTTGGCCACAACACCCTAACCTGCATCTTCGCCTAACCTTATCCCATGTGTTTTCAAGGTCCTGCCCAAATACCACCTCCTCCAAGAATTCACCTCTGGTTGCCTTCACATCAAAGTGACCTTGCCCCAATCTGAGTTCTTGCAGAATCCCATCTCTACATTTCTCATCTTATCATTTTTGGGTCATTATTTACCTCTTTCTACCCTGTAGTTTTTACATGGATGTCTTATCTTCTCTACAGACTGTGAGCCCCCTGAGGGCAAGTCCTGTATCTTATTCATGTCACACACCCCATAGCAGTAAAGTGTGACACCTGGCACATGAAAGGTCGTCAATAGGCAGCCTTGTGGAAACAGTGTTAGGCAAAGCAAGTTAAGACCCCAGCTCTTGTCACTTGAAGACAATAATAGCTAGTCATTTATCATCACATGTGTCAGGTATTGTTGAAAGTGCTTAATACATAGGAAGTTACTAAATTCTCCTAACTAGTCTAGGTAAGTTCTGTTTTTATCTCCAAGTGCAGAACAGGAAACTGAGACACAGAAAGGTTAAGTATCCTGCCCAAGGTCACCAACAGTAAGTAGCAGAAGTGACATTTGAACTCAAATCAACTGGCTCAGAGTCCACGCTTGTAACCATGTACTGTCCTTTCCCTATGTTGATGGAGCTTGGATTTGATCGGTCTGATTCTTACCTTCTTTATCTGTATAGTGGGGATAATGATACTTATATATTACGTATGCATATATATCAATCACGGTCATGTGCATAATGACATTTTAGTCACTAATGGACTGCATAAACAATGGTGGTCCCATTAGATGGTAATGGATGGAGCTAAAAAATTCCTACCAGCTAGTGCTATAGTCGTCGTGTCATTGTAGCCATCATAACATTCTGGTGCAACACCTTACTCACATGTTTGCGGAGATGTTAGTGTAAACAGACCTATTATGCTGCCAGTCATATAAAAGTGAAGCACATATAATTATGGACAGTGCATCATACTTGATAATGATAATAAATGATTATGTTACTAGTTTATGTATTTACTATGCTATACTTTTAGTTGTTAGAGTGTTCTCTTACCTATATTTTTAAAAAAGTTAAGTGTAGAACAGCCCCAGGCAGGCCCATCAAGAGGGATTCCAGAACGCACTGTCATCATAGGAGGTGACCGCTCCCTGTGTGTTACTGCCCCTGAAGACCTACTAGTGGGACAAGATGTGGAGGTGGAAGACGGAGAGATTGATGACCCTGACCCTGTGTAGGCCTAGGCTAATGTGCGTATTTGTGTCTTAGTTTTTAACAACAACAACAACAACAACAAATTTTTAATTAAAACTTTTAAAAATAGAATAAAGTTAATAGAGTAAGAACAAAAAGAGGCCGGCCGTGGCGGCTCACGCCTGTAATCCCAGCACTTTGGGAGGCTGAGGCAGGCGGATCACCTGAGGTGGGGAATTTGAGACCAGTCTGACCAACATGGAAAAACCCAGTCTCTACTAAAAAAAAAAAAAAAAAAATTAGCTGGGCGTAGTGGCACATGTCTGTAATCCAGCTACTCAGGAGGCCAAGGCAGGAGAATCGTTTGAACACGGGAGTCGGAGGTTGCGGTCAACCAAGATCATGCCACTACACTCCAGCCTGGGCAACAAGAGCTAAACTCTGTCTCGAAAAAAAAAAAAAAAATTGTACAACTGTATAATATGCTTATGTTTTAAATTGTTATTACAAATGAGTCAAAAAGTTTGAAAAACCATTAACACGTTTATAAAGTAAAACAGTTACTGTAGGCTGAGGATAATTTATTCTTGAAGAAAGAAAATTATATTTTTATAAATGTAGTGCAGCTCAAGTGTACAGTGTTGATAAAGTCTGCAATGATGTACCATAATGTCCTAGGCCTTCACAATTCACCCACCCCTCACTCACTGCCTCTCCCAGAGCAAGTTCCAGTCCTGAAACCTCCATTCATAAGTGCCCTATATTATAGGGGTATAATTTTTTATCTTTTATATTGTGTTTTTATTGTATCTTTTCTATGTTTAGATGTGTTTAAATACACAAATATTTACCATTGTGTTCCAACTGCCTACAGTATTCCATACAGTAAGTGCTGTTCAGGCTTGTAGTGTAGGAGCAATAGGCTATACCATATAACCTAGGTGTGTAGTAGGCTCTGCCATCTGGGTTTGTGCACTCTATAATGTTTGACAGTGATGAAATCGCATAAGAACACATTTTTTAGAATATATCCCTGTGTTAAGCAAGGCATGACTGTAGGTATTAGCTATGTACATTCTCGAAACCTAATAAATCTTCAATAAAAAGTAGTCCTATTAACATATATGTTTTGAATGAAAAAAATAGGGAATGCAGAAATGTTATCAAGAGCAGTATTTCCAATAGAAATATAACACAAGCCACAAATGTCAGCCACGTATGGAATCTAAGTTTCTCTGGTAGTCGCAGTCATAAGGAGACAAACAAGTAGATAAAATTAATTCTAATAATATATTTAACCTAATATATCCATAATTTTATTATTTCAACATGTAATCATTACAAAAATTATGAATGAGATATTTCACTCTATTTCTTTACACTAAGTCTTCGGAATATGTCTTGCATTTTATACCTATGGCAGGTCAGGCTAACTACATTTCAAGTATTCAAGAGCTTGCAGCTACTGCATTAAAGTATAGATCCAGCAGATCTAAGGAAAAAACCCTATCTGAAAATCCAGTTAGGAAGTCAAACTTCTGCCATTTGAGATATGACAAATTTTCTTTCTTCAAGAGCTGATTATTAAAACGTAAATACCTCTCGGAAATACCAATGACTGCTGATGCTGAGGCTGATGTTGCCACTCAGACCAGTTGGGACATTCAGAAACCACATTCAGGGTTAAAAGTGTGAATCTCAGAGTTGGGCACACTTGTGTTCAAATCACAGCTCTGCCTCTTAACGATTCATGGGACCTTGGCTGAGTCCTTTCCCATGGCTATGCCAGTTTCCTCATCTGGGAAAGGAGTACTGTATTAGGACGGAGAGAGATGAGGAAAGCAGGGGCCAGCACAGGTGTCAGTTCACTTCCTGCTCCCCTTGACCTCTGTGTCAACATAGTTATCTCTCTCCCTATCCCCTCCCTATTATACGGACACACTATGAAGGCATTTGCTGGATGAATCACCATTTGGGGAGCGCTGCTTGATCAATTATCCCAGGGATTTGTTGAGTGTCTATGTTCCTAGAACATGGAGGCACTGAGGGGGATCTCAAAAATGTGCATCATGAAGTTTTGCACAAAACACTTCATGTGCATTGTTTTCATCCCTCATGCTGATCCAAGGATTTTCACATCCACTGTGACTTGGACTCTCCCTTGGAGTCTGGTCTCAGCCTGTGTTCTCCTCCTCTACCCCTGCCTGGAGCTTTTTATTCCTGGGTAAAGGAAGCAGCAGCTGGGTCCTTGACTGCTACCATCAGATGCAGACGTAAGGCCCCAGCTGTAGGAAGTGGACTTTGCCTCTGGCCCTGTCCATAAATGCCTCTTCTATTATTTGCCTCTTTTCTCCTTTTCTTCTTGGGCTCAGGACTTGTTGCAGTTACTCTGTCATAGCCTGTTACTTGACTTTGTCTAGTCTGGCCTGTAAGACAAAGGCAAGTTGTGTGAGGGGCCACCCAAAAAGGTGAACACAAGTAGAAGAGCCTGAGAGGCTCAGTTACACATGCCAGGGTGCCATCCAAGGGGCCAGGGATACATTTCTGCCACAGAGGGAAAAACCAACAGTCAAGAGGAAAAGCCCAAAAATAAGGGCTGACTGCTTTGAGCCAAGAAGACCAGTTGAGGACCTAATGGCATAAGAAACAGTATGAGCTGAAGTCTGGGTATGCCATGAGAAATAAGGGAATGATACATGAATGGGTTGGTCTGTCCAGGAAGCTAAGTCTGCGCATGAGGTGTGTGTTCCAAAACAACCCTTTCACTCAACACCCACATAGGTTCTTGGGCACAGGAGCTCCTAATGCCTCCTTGCTTGTTTCCATGGCTTGCAAACCTCAGATACCTTGCAAATATCTCCACCTGCATGTTGAAACATCAGACATTTCAACTTGGGCTTGAGCTTGTCTCTATCGTTGTCAACTACTTACTCAGCTGTGCCCTGCTACACTAGCATGCCCTGCCTGCCATTCTGGACACAGTGTCTATTCCATCCTGGTCATGACCTCACCGGTCTCTTTCTAGTTTATAAGCCATGCCCACCTAATCTTAAGACATAACATTAGGATGCTTACTGTCTCAGAGGGCAGCTTGACACACCTAGGGTTTGGCATAAAATAGTGGTGAAGGGCTTTTATGTCAGAAAGATCTATGTAGAAATTTCAGCTCTACCACTTGTAGGATTTTAATCAAGTGGTCCAATATCAATATTCTCATCTCTAAAATGGGCATAATAAGATCTATTTTATGGAGCTGCTGTGACATATAAATGAGGGAATAATATATGTAAAGTATCTTTCAATACCTAGCACATAGGAAGCACTCAATCTATAGTAGCTTACCTCAAATAAAGAAGTGATTTCTCCAGTGGCTCACCATGCAGTGAATGCAAAATCCTTAGCCTGGCACATGAGCCCTGTGCAAACAGACTCTGCATCTTCTCTGCCTCATTTTGTACACTTTCCACAAGCTGTCTTCACCCTTGCCATACTCAACCACAGAACTCTGGAGTCTGCCACATGCTTTGCTGCTGTCTCTCCTTAGGATGCTCATTGCCACCCTATTTACCTGGCTAGCTCCCACTCCCACAGTGCAATGATGATGCAGTGGTTTGTCTTTATCAGTAGGATTCTTGAAGTCCTAGAGTTTGCTTTGGAAATTTAGCTAAAAATAATACCTGTATAAATGTCTTCATTGCTTAGAGAACCTTGCACCTTGAATAATCACAATGGACCGTTGAAGAAGGAGGAGGAAAGGGAGAGGAACTAGAAGAGGGCAGAGATACAGCTCAGGTGGGCAGCCTGAGCCATCCACAAATCAGCCCCAAATCTACGTCCTCCAAAGCCATCCCTAACTCTCCACCTGAAATGCAAGCTCCCCTTCTGTAGAGCCTAAGTCACCTCACAGAGCCCTCAACCATATTTCTGTTCTCTGTGCCATAACCACCAACCCAAACTCCTTGAGGGCAGGGCTATGTCATTCTTGTTTCTGTACCCAGGGGCCTTACATAGAAAATCAATAATAGTAAGAGCAAATATGTAGTAAGTGTTTACACTCTTTCCAGGAAAAATGCTATGCCCTTTACAAACATTATCTCATTTAATCTTCAAAAACCTATGTGAGAGAAACTATTATTAGCTCTGTTTTTCAAGAGGAGAACTTGAGGCCTATATGCACTAAATAACTTGTTGCAATAAAACAAACGAATGGGTAAGTGAAGGGGCTGATATTCCAACTTGGAGTAATCTCACTCCAAAGTCTGGACACTTGGTCCCACCATTCAAGGAGCAGTGAATGAAAAAGTGGAAATGATATAATTAATCAAGTTATAGAGAGTAGAGAGTAGTGGAATAGAGAAGCATACTCTTTAATCAATCATTTTTGGTCTTTTAATTGCATATTTATAATTTATGGCACACATCATCATGGTAGATGGTGAAATATTTTTTAAAAAACAAAAGTTTGAGAAATAAAACACTGGCCAATGGTTTTGGTATCACCCAGATCATAGAACAACTGTCCAAGCAGTGGTCAGCCAACCACCCTTGGAAGACACAAAGTACTATGGTCAGCCACCTCCTGCTTCCCCTCCTCCTCCATCTTCCTGTGCAGAGATGCTCCCTACTGTGTCATTGCAGAAACTAGTAAGGAACTGAAGCCCTCCCGAGGTCCAGGCTCAAGAGTAGAGGATGCTGGCTGGCCATCCCCACCTCTGAGGGGACAGGAGAAAGGAAGAAAACATCTGAAAGCAGTGGCATTTCGTTCTGGACCCCACGCACATGAATGATGCACTAAGACAATTCTCTGCCTTATCATAAATTCTGCAAACTCATGAACTTTGCAATCTCTGAAGCTCAGCGCTGTATGGGAGCCACTTATCTTGTGCTGAAAGCAATATAAAAACAGATGGCAAAGAGTGCATCGGGAGATAAATCAGCGGCCTGGCTGCCAGGAGTTTGCGGACAAACACAACATGGCCAGCTTCTCAACTCACGACCATAGGGATGGCTCAGCAGGGGCACCCCTGGGGTAAGACAGCCCGGCTGGCAGACAGGGTGGCTGGCAGGAGAAGACAGAACAGAGTCCCTTGGGAAGGGCAAGGGAGAAAAGGCACCTTCGTAGGCAGCCTTGGGAAAGCGGCCAGCCCTTTCCCAAGAGGGAGAACATGGGTAGAGGACAGCTTGGGGCACTGTCCACAAAATTGTAGCTGAGAGCAGAGCTCTAGCATTTCTACAACACTTTCCATTGTCACCACAGTGAATGCTCATCACAGCCCTGTGAGATATTAATACTTATTTTTGCAGATAGGGAAACTGAGTCTCAGGGAGTATTACTTGGCCAAAGTCATGCAGCAGAGCCAGGACTTGAATCAAGGGTCATGACTATGGAGCTCTGCTACTCACATCACAGGGTCTAGTTTGGCCTTATTTGACTCTCACCACAGCTGTGAGGAAGGTGGACAAAAAATGAAAATGAGACTCAGGGTTGACATGCCTGCCTGAGATCATGAGGCGGGTATGCAGCTGAGCTGGAGAAGCACCCCATCTGCGGGCTGTCTCCACCTCCCCAGGCTGCAGGCCAGGCTGGTGCACTAGTGACAGGCCAGCCTACACTCTGCCTTTGCCCTGGGGCCACAGTGAGTCTCCAAAGACACAGGGCAATGTCCACACCTGCTGGGGACAGGCCCAGCAAAGAGGCAGTAAGAGGAAAAAGCAAAAAAGATATAGAAGAAAGGGGAAACATTAAGGGACAAGAGACGAGGGGCAAGAGAACAAGAGAAGACAAGAGAAAGAAGAAGACAGGTGCCCAGGAGGGCAGGAGGTATAAAGAGTGTATGCTACAGCCTGAGGAATACCTTAGCGGTGCTCAGCGGTGCTGGGCCAGGGTCAGCCCATCCTTGGAACATGCACAGTGGAGCCAGAGAGAAAAGACACCACCACTATGTGCTCTGAAAAATGCCACAAATGCCCTCTCCTCAGAGCGGGCCGACAAAGAGCAACTCACGTGTGTGGGGGCTATATTGTCCCCATGCAGCAAATATGTCTTTAGTGAGCACCTACTCAGTGCCAGGCATGGCTGAGTGCTAGAAGAACAAAATGCTGGTGTAAACAGTGATGCTGAGACATGAAGATGAAGCCAGGTTTCAGATTAGCAGCCACAGACCCAAGGCCTGAAAGAAAATGGATCAATAAGCAATGCATAATACTCAAACTGAAAAACTGCAACCCAGCATTGTGGCATGAACCCAGGCATGGGAGGCAGGCTGAATCCTAGCTCCATGCTCTGGACAGTGTGACCTGGAGCTGTTCTGGAACCTCTCTTAGCCCAAGGTCTGCAACTGCCACTCAGGGCTAGTGCTGTCACTTCAAAGACTTGTGGGTGTGATGAGGTGTTGGATGAGAAGCCCCTAGCACTCATCTGCCACACAGGCACTCTGCAAATGCTCACTCTCTCCTCTCTCAACCACCCGGAGATTGGCCCAGTCAGGTACCTTTTACTCCTCCCCACTAAGTCCCTATTGGACCCTTTCCCACACTGCTCAAGCCCGCACTCTGCGTCCTTCCGGTGCTTGAGCACTGGCCTTGGCCTTCTCATCCGCACTGGGGTTTAGAGGACCTTGAGTCTTTAAGTAGTATATTTCTGTCCCTTTGGTCTGAACTTCCCCAGGGTAGAGACCGTACCTCCCATTCCTGAGACCTCCACAGTCAACACCACCATGGGACTGTGGCCCTGGGGGCCTATGCCTGGGTGCGGGCTGAGTGACTTTGTCCACCGCAACTCAAAGAGAGATCTGTCTAGTGCATATGGAGCCCCTGCACTGTTCTGCATCCCACCTGTGCAAGACATTTCACACTCATTGGCTTGTTTAATCTTCACAACAATCCCATGAGGGAACTGAGGTCCAGAGATGTGAGGGGTTTGTCCAAGGCCACACAGATCCTCAATAGCTAAGCTGGGATTTCTAGAATGAACAGCAATTATGAACACACAGCACTGTTTCTGTGCCAAGTACTATGCTATGATATCTCATTCATGTCTCTTGATAGCCTCGTGAGGTAGATACTGTGATTATTTTCATTTTGCAAATGAAGGAACTGAGGCACAGAAAAGGCAAGGCAGCTTTTCCAAGGTGCCATGGTTTGGGCCTTGAACCCAGATGCATCTGACCACATTCTGATGGCTTAGACGCAGTGTGCATCGTCTCTGCAGATATTTCTTGTACGGGGGTTTAGTGCAGGCTGAGGCCTGCCTGGCTTCTGTGACTCTGGATTCTGCAGATGGGCACAGAGAGTGGTTTTCCATGACTCAGTATGCACGTGCCTTCAGAGCCTCTTTGCATGGAGGAGTGGTTCAAGGAAGGAGTCAGGCTCTGCCCTGCCTACCCAGCCCTCTCCAAGGAAAGGCCAGAACCAGTTTGGAAGCAAAGCAGAGAAAGACCAGATATGGAGAGGGGCTGAGATGAGCCACACTGAGACGCCTGCTGGTGCTTCTTCAAAACATCCCGCCCCCTTCCCAGAACGAGCAGGCTTAGAGCCACGGCTGCACTGAGACAATAATCACTAATCAAGTCAAAGTCTCCTTCTAATCAGTTCAGTTGTTAGAGGAAGCAATGCAGCCGGGCCTGGGCCTGAGGATGGCTGTTCTTCACTGCCACATGCCCACAAGGACTGCAGGGGTGAGCCTCCGGCCCACCCAGCATCCTGTGCTGGCAACCTCTCCTGGTGCCAAGGGGCATTCGGCACGGCAGCTGCTCTGGGACCAGGTCTCAGCCTGCTTTCTGCTCCAGCTTCCCCGCATAAAAGTCCTTAATCTCAGGGCTAAAGGAACTAGAAATGGCAAGAATGAAATCATAGAGGGAATGTTGCCTCTAAAGTCAGGCACCCAGGGTTCAAGTCTGGCTCTGCCATTTACAACCAGGAACTTTGAAAAATTTACTTACCATTGCTGCCCCTCCATCGTAAAAAGGAGATTAAAAACAAGTGATGTCTTACTGGAAGTTTCTATCTATCCTTCAGAACTTAGCTCAAATATCACCTCCTCTGTGACTGCTTTCCCAACCAGCATCTTGTGCCATCCCTGAATTAATTGTCCCTTTTCTACATTTTCCAAAACACGTTACTCAAATACCTGCAAGAGCATTTATCATTCTGAGTGGTGGTTTCATCATTTATAATTCTATTTTCCAGACCAACCACCCTGAAGGGGGAGAAATTATAATGTATTCATAACTGTGACCCCCACACTGGCCTACCACAAAGCCTGGCACATAATAGTTGCTTATGAAATGTTTGTTAAATGAATAATGAATGAGGAGTAAATAAGTGGTGTATATACTTGAATCTGTAATTTGTATGATGCTTCCCCTCTTATCGACGTTGTTATCAAATGCAAAACCTTGTTCAGACTCTGACACTCCAGCAATATTCATCAAATAGGGCTAGAGATATGCAGGAAGTAAGAAAACTGGATGATCAACAACTCCTGTAAAATTTCATCAAGAGTTTTCCAGTTACCAGCAAGTGTACAGATCCTACTTTATTCAATCTAGATTAAACCTCTTATTGGGAAGACTTTAAATTAAGTGTGACTGAATTAGCTGCTGTTAATTTTTTTCCCCTAGATCGGCTAATCTCTAAGCGAGGCCCTCTCTTCCTCGACTGATCGGTTTCCTCTCTGGTGCGCTGGGATTGATCCCTATCTTCCTGGATATTGAGTGGCCCGTGTTCTCAGGCAGGAAGAGATACTGAGTTTGCTGGTGGAGCTGGGCCTGTTCGCTGTGAGATTCCCCCGCGGGAGGGCTGTCTGGCACTCGGTGAGCTGGGACAACAGGTACAGTGCTTGTGAGGTGCTATCGCTAATAGTAATCTGTGTGCTTCGATGAACTGCTGCTGCAAACCCTCATTTCATAAAATGGAGATGCCAGGGAGTTAGCGAAGCCTCAAAGCTTCTTACCGCACTAACTATCCTCAAGGGCAGCAAAGGGCAGATGGATTTGCTGCTTTTCTTCTCTTTTCCGCATTCCCTATCCTCCACCCCCAAAAAATGTCCTCTCCTTCCCTCCCGCTTCCCTACACTCCCAGGTTCCGGTGGCTGGAGACCTCACAGAAGGCCTGGGTATCTCAGGGGGGAGCCCACAGAGCACAGCCGGCAGGAAAAAGACTTCTCTACAACTTGAGGTCCACTTTCATGGCTACCACAGTGTATTAGAAAGAGCTCAGGCTTTGGAATCAGAAGCGTGTTTGAATCTCTGGTTCATTATTCACTGTGCTTCAGTTTCCCCGACTGTACAATGGGGATAGAAGACGGAGCTTGCATTTCTGCTAAGAAGACTAAGCCAGAAAATGTATGCAAAGCCTGTTTTAACGTAAGCACCCGATTCAATCAATTGAAACTGTTACTGTTATTGCAATAACATTAAATTAATACCAGAGAAGTGTGCAAAAGAGACAGGCAGACTGGAGTACTTGAATGAGACTTTGCCGTAGCTCTCTGATTCAAAGCCGTTGGGTCCTCACAACCCAGAAAGCAGTTTCACCTGCCTACAGCTCCTCACAAGCTGGCCCCACTTCCTCATGGCCGCAGACCCCGTGTCCAGCAGGCAGGAGCAGTTCCAGCACCCGCCCACTCTCAGGAGTGTCCTTGGGGTCCTCTTTGCTGGGAGTGGGGTGAGGCAGCACTGATGATTCACGACACAGCGGCAGGAGCACAAGGACTCCGGGCCGGTTATGAAGCCATCAATCTTGAGCTGAGATTTTCTGGAATGCTATAGCAAGAGAGGAAAGGTTGCAGGGGCCTGGGGGCGGGGGTGGGAGAGACCTTGCTGAGAATCTAGGGAGTGCACAAGAAGAAATAGGGTGCATGACAAACTGGAGTTGTTGGAAACATTTTTCTACTCTCATCCTCTTCAACCCAAGCAATGCCCTCTATCCCCTGCCCCAAAATGAACACATGCTGAATCCATTTCACCCAGGCCAGTGTGGCCCTTGGGGGTCCGCCACTCTTGCCCATGAGTACATAGCTGGTTTGGGTCCTCTGAATGCCAGGAAAGTCTTGCAACTTCACAGCCTCACAACTGACACTCTCCTCCTCTGATCTCCAAATACCTTTACGACCCTCTCCTGCTATTTGCCACCCAAGCTCCCCCTCCATCAGACCCTCCCTGCCCTCAGACTCATGCCCACCCCCTGTGCTCAAGTGGTAACCCCTGCTAAGAATGTGCCTAGGCCTTAGAATCAGATTTAGATCAGCTGAGGCACAGCAGGGATGAGAAGGCACGCTGAAAACCAAGCAACTGGTGGAGAATTTAATACAGGGACTATTTACAACAATGTGAGCAGCCTTAGGGAAACTAACAGGAGATGGGGCAGAGCAGGCCAGTGGCAGCGGAGAGCCCAGGGCCACTCACAGGCCAGGAGGGATGAGAGAAGGGAAACTAGAGGAAAACATGTGAAAAAAGAGAAAGATCAGACAAGCACTGTGGCTTTCAGAAAAGGCACAAAGCCAGCCCACAGCAACCAGTGGGAAGGGAGTTGGGGAAATAAATATCCTAACCTCACTCTACACCAGTCACTGCCAGCGCCTCCCATTGGCAAAATCCAAAGGGAAGCCAAGGCAAGGGAGTTCATTGATGAAATTCCTAACAGTCCACCTCTCTGGGCTAAAAGGATAAGGGAGGGTGAAGAGAGGATCTGGGTGAACACACAAGAGGCTTAAAGCATTTTATCAAATCCCAATTCTGTTTACTAGCTGTGTGACTTTGGTCAACTAACTGGACTACCCTGAGCTCCAGATTCTTTATCTGTTTAAGAAAAAGTGGAAGAAGACTTTTATTACAAGTATACCATTGTGAGAATAAACTAAGTAATATATACAAAGTGCTTTTCACAGTGCCCACGCATAGTACATGCTCAATAAATAATGGCCATTAGGTATTTTTAGTCTTATTCAAATCCTAGCTAATTCCCATCTGCTGTTAAATTTTCTCTAGCTTTTCCTTTATCCCCCCCTTACAGGGTTTTTACAGTATCTACAGTAATAGCAAACAATGTTTTCTGTTGCCAGATCATTGTCAAACTTAGAAAGACCTTTCTGACCTTGAGATTAAAACAATTCCCCATATTTCCTTCTGATTATAAATTTTATGTTTGAATCTTTTATCCTGTAAAATTAATTTTGTTGTAAGACAAGGACTGCAAACACAAATGTACAAGTGGATTGCAGACACAAGCCAGACATGTTGCATATATGAATAAAAATATCTAAGTGGGGTTGAGTTCAGAGGGGTGAACTGGACAATAGAAATGGGTCCCTCAAAGGAGTCACTACTACTCAGCTCAAGCACTTGTTTATATAACAGGCAGAGTGATCTTTTTTATTATTAGCATTTTTAAAGATTATGGCAAAATACACATAATATAAAATTTACCATCTTAACAATTTCACAGTGATCTTTCTAAAAATACAGATCAGATCAGATCATCTCACCACCAACAGCTTCACGACCACTAATGTCTTCTTGTTGCCCTTAAGAATAAAATCTAAACTCTTTGCTGTGGCCTGCAGGCTCCATGTGATCTGGCAGTCGCCTTCTCTAAGATCTAGAAACCCTCGACGCCCTCTCCTGCTCACTCCCTGGGCTTCAACTGCACCACCCGCCCTCTCCTCTTCCAGCCATCAAGTCTGTCCATCTCAAGTTCCCTGTACTTCCTACCTCCACTCCACAGCATGGCAGCTCAAAAATTCCCTTCCCACAGAGGCCTTCCTGACCACCCTATATAAAAGACAGATATTGATACAAAATCTCCCAGTGTTGAAAGGTCAAAAATGAATCCAAATGTTTTTACTGTCAGATTATCAGGCTAAACAGCATTTGTAGCCAATATGCATAGTTAGCAGGTAGATTCTAGTTCCTCCTAAGGCCAAAATGACTAGCCAGTGGCCTGAAGCCTATTTTTAAAATAATTCACCACTACTTAATCAAAATGCCATCTTCAGCATTTTCCAAACTCCCATATTTATTTGGGTTTACGTCTGGACTCGATTTTCCTATTCCTACTCTAGTCCCCGAATTTTTAAATTACCTTGGCTTCATAGTATAATTTAATTTCTAACAGTATCTCAATATCCAACTCTCTATTTATAATGCTTCTTTTCTTTTCACACTTTTCCTAGCTGCTTCACAGGGTTCGTTCATTAGAGGAACTTCAGCATTATTTTGTCAAATTCCTCTTAAACAAATCTTGTTTGTGTTTTGATTGGGATCATAGCGAATGTATAGATTAAATTTGGGAAATTAATGTAATTACACAGTTTAATCATCTTATTCAAGATCAGCATATCTTGCTACTTATCCAATTTTCACTTAATGAATTTCATTACAATGTCAAGGTTTTGTTCAAATAAGCCCTACGCACATCTCTTGCCATATTTACTTATGGTTGTTTTATCTGTTGTTTTTGCAAATAAAAGATTTTCTATTACATTTTCTAATCAGTTATTTTTAGTATAAAAGATAACTTAATTTTTATATACTAAAATATTTTAGCCAATCATTTTGCTAAATTCCTTTCTAGTTGTTAATAGTTTTTAAATACTTCTCTTAGTTTTTCCAGGTTTGCACTCATATCTTAAAATAGTTATTTTGTAACTTCCTTCCCAATATGTATGCCTTTTTTCCAATATGTATATCATTGTTTCCAAGACAATGTGGAAAAATTGTGGTGATAGTGGGCATCTTTTTCTTATTCATGACTTTAACAAGAATGCTTTTTTAAATTTTAAACATGACGTTGATTTTAACTTTATGTGAAGGAAGCAGTCATCTATTCTGAATTTAAATCAGAAATTTGTATCGAAATTTGTCAAATGTGTTTTTATTCAATATCTACTGAGATGATCCCAAAAAGGACTATCCGGGCTTGACTACACCCTTGCTGTGAGACCACCCCATGGACTCTATAAGGAGTGAGTGCCTCCGAGTTCCAGGCCCCCGAAGCTAGGTCTACTCCCTGTTGAATAGCTCTCCAACGGCTGTGAAGAGTTAAGGGAAGCCCCTAGAGCTCCATCTGTCCCTGGTAAGACACTCACCACTGTCATGATGGCATTGCCTAGGAAGCTAATCCCACAGGAGGGACTTTGTGCGTGTAAAACTCCTGACACGTCTTCCCCTAAAGACTTTCAGGACTAAACTCATCAGGCTCCACAGCCGTTTCCCTCTCTTTCTACCTTACTCATATCCCCACATGAAAATGTTCCAGTACAAATGCAGCTCAATCTCCCAGCTCTCCATACCCACAAGACCCTTCCCCTTTAGCCTCTGGACCTCATGCCACCATATGCAAAATCCCCTAGAGAGGATGCATGAGCTCTTCACTGAAAGTTCCCATCACTATCTTGCTCAGAATCCAGGTTCTGCCCTGAGACACTGCTTCCCCAGGAGCTTCTTCAAATGGTGGCTGTTTGTGCTTCCACGACCCACAGTCTGGAGTATGGTAGGCTTCCTTTTTCTTCATTGATGCTTCCAGGTCATTTCTCCTCCATCATTCCTCTAAATCTCCCGCTCCTCTGAAGCACATGTTTTCTGTTATCCCTGACGCAGTTACCTACCAGCCATCCTGTCATCTCACTGGAGTTATTCTCTTTACTTTGCTGTTACTGTCATTTGTTCTTGATCACTTCATTGTTCACATAGATGATCCATATAACACCCAACTCTTTCATATCCTTGAACTCCTCACTTCCAATAAACTGAGGGGTTTTCTTCCAAATTTACCCATGCTCTACACTTTGTCATTCCCAATAACTGGGTCACCTTTCCACTCTCTCGCTGTCCACTCCTATCTTTCCACTCACTTACCCCAGCACCACCACTCCAAGCTTATTTGAGCCTCATCAATAACTTCTGTGCTTGACTTCTTATTTTCTTGCTCTCTAGAACTTCTCTCCATTTTTTGTTGTCCTCTCCTTTTTTTATTGTCCTGTCCTTTTTTTATTATCCAGCTCAGATTACAAATTTCATCAGTATAATCTCTCCTGTGCACACACTCCCAGCTCCCTTGCTCTCTTTTTCTGTTAAATTCACCTGAAAAAAAAAAAAACAAAAAAAACCTTTCTCTACTCACTTGTACTGAAGCAGTAAGACATGGTTACTTACAATTTTTACTACATTTTCTTAATTCCTTACCCCATTCTCCAAGGTAACTATTTCACACCATGGCATGGACTGATAGTCATCCCACAACATCTGCACTCCTTCCTTAGTAGTAGAATTTTTAGTTGGACATACGGCTGCCCAGAATTAAGACTACATTTCCCAGTTTACTTTGCAGCTGTGTGTGGGCCTGTGGCCAAATTTTGGCCAATAAAATTTGTATGAAATTTTTATGTGGCAACTTTTAGAAACGTTCTTTAAAAGATTATAGGCACACAAGCAGCTCCCGCCTTCTCTTTTCTTCATTCTGCTGCTTGGAACATGGATGTTACAGCTGGAGCTTCATTTCACACCAAGAAGATGAGGGCTATGTCCTAGGAATGATGAAGTGGAATCAGGCTGGCCTCAGAGGGACATGTCCACATTGACATTGTGTACTCTTCCCCAGTCAGGATTATCCTAACACATGGTTCCTCCATTCACCTAGCTGTCAAGTTCAAAAACCCTGGGAGTCATTCTTGACTCCTCTTTCTCTCTCCCTTTTTTCCATTCTTGATTCTCTTGTTGCTGGAAAGCTGGAAAAAGCTTTGACTCCCAAGATCTTCAGGGAGTAGGGTTCCCACACCCGCTCTTGGTAGCCTACATCCAAACTTCTGACTTACTTAAGCTGCTATTATTTTGAGTGTCTGTTACTCACAGAAGAATAATATCTTAATCAATAGACATTCTTTCCTTAAATCTCCAACACCCCCTTCCTAATCCCTACTCTCAACTAATAATCTTATTTAACGTAGGAAAGATAAGCTATCAAAACAGAATTTCCATATCCACCCACCACCAGGTCTATCAACCTATCCTCATCTGTGCGTACATCCTCTGCCATCACTTCCTTGACAGCGGATGAACTGAACCGTTCCTTTTCCTTACCTGTGCCCTGCAGCCTACCTCTCTTGCCTTCTCAAGGGCTTTGTCTCTGCAGTTAGCCCTCCCTCTCTTGCATCATTATTTCCCCTTCCAAAGAATCACTCCAAATGATATACAAATGCTTCACTTTCTCTCATATTTTAAAAGAAAGAAACACAAAACTCCATTGTTCTCCAGCTCCTAAAACATTTTTTTTCTATTGCTTCACAGCAAACTCCCTTGCTTAACAGGTATCTGTTCTCAAACTCTCCATTTTCTCTCCTCCCATCGTTTCTTGAACACAATTCCATCAGGCTTTCATCTCTGCAGCATCATGAAAGTGCTTTGATCAAAGTCACTATGACCTTCACCTTCCCAAATCCAAGAGTTAATTCTCAGATCCCATGCTGCCTGATATCTGAGCAGCATTCAGCACAGTTCATCATTGTCTTCACTTGGTTTCTGGGACAATACTCTTTTTTTTTTTTTCTTTTTGCTTCACAGGTTTGCTCTTTCTCACTCTCTTACTGATTCTTCCTAATTTCCCTGACCTTTAAGTGATTGTGTGCCCTTGCATTCAGGCTGTAGATCTCTTCTAATTTTATCCAGTCTTGTGGCTTTAATTGTCGTCTGTATGCTGATCACTCCTCACTTCATATTTATAGGTCTGACCTCTTCCCTGAACTCCAAATTCATACCCAACTGTCTATTCAGCATCTCCAGTTGGATGACTAATGAGCATTTCAAACTCAACATAGCCAAAATCAAATTCCTGAAAATGCTAGACTCATGCAAATAGGAAAAATCAGTCTGGCCTCAGATGGGCATGTACACATTGACACTGAGTACTCTTACCCAGGTAGGACCATCCTAGCAAATGTTTCCTCCATTCACCTAGACACCCAGTTCAAAAACCCTAGAGTCATTCTTGACTTCTTTTTCTCTCTCCCTATTTTTACTCTCGACTCTTTTGTTGATGACCCCTGCCTTCCTCCCCTCACCCTTCACCCAGCTCCACTACCATCAAAACTGTCAGCAAATCCTATCAACTCTACCTTAAGAATGAGGCCAGAAACTACTTTCCCACCTCCATTGCTACAATCTATGTCCAAGCCATCACTATCTCTTGTTGAAACAACTGCAAGAGTTCTATAATGAACCTGGTTTTCAGCTACCTCTCTGGTCTCACCTATGACACCTGTGAACACTCGGCCAGTCTCCCACTCTGCCTCAGCCACACTCCTCCTTGCTGGCCCTCCAACACACCAAACACTCTCCTGCCTTAGATCCTCCGGAAGCGTGGTTCTTGGTGTCTGAAATGCTCTTCTCCCAGTTATTCATGTTTCCCTCCCTCATTTCAATCAGATATCTGCTAAAAGGCACCTTGTGAGAGGGACTTTCTCTGCCCATCCTATCCAAATTAGCAGCCTTTCTCCTCCATCATTTTCTGTCTCTTACATTGTTTTACTTTTCTTTATAGCATTTACCACTGCTTGATACTTGATATGGTTTGTCTCTGTCCCCACCCAAATCTCATCTTGAATTGTAATAAACCCCGTGTGTCGAGGGTGGGGCCAGGTGGAGATCATCAAATCATGGGGGGCAGTTTCCCTCATACTGTTCTCATGGTAGTGAAAAAGTCTCATGAGATCTGATGGTTTTATAAATGGGAGTTCCCCTGAACAAGCTCTCTTGCCTGCTGCCATGTAAGATGTGACTGTGATCCTCCAGCACCCTCTGCCATGATTTTGAGGCCTCCCCAGCCATGTGGAACTGTGAGTCAATTAAAGCTTTTTCCTTTATATATTACCCAGTCTCAGTTATGTCTTTATTAGCAGTGTGAGGACAGACTAATACAATACTATACTATTTATATATTCATTTCTTATTTATTGTATCCTTCCCCCATTGAAATTATAAGTTCCACAAAAGCAGGGACTTTGTCCTCCTCCCCTCACGCTTATATCTGGGACTTAGAATAGTACCTGAGAATGGATTCCCCAAGAATATTCCTTATTCCTTTTATTCTTTAAACTAAGAACCATGTAGGCTGAACTTAGGTTTAGCAACAGGTAGTTGGGACCAAGGTGAGAGCTGCTGATGTTCAGCCCCTCACAAGAAAGAGCCCTCCACTGGGAGCTTTGGAGAGAGGGAGCTGTCTGTTCTCAACTGCACCCATTTGGACTGAAGTCTCTGTTTCACTGGGCTGGGCAGGAGGAGCAGGTAGATTTTGGTTCAAATACCAAGACTCTCACTTTTCTTATCAAGTTTTAGCATATTTTCTTGAATCACTATTTCTTCATTTGCTGTGTACCATTAGGGCCATTTCCAGAGATTTTTACATGGTTGCTTTATAAAATAATTTTCACCAGTTTTTTAAGGGGAATGGGTTGGGTAAGTCCATGATCTCTTACACTGTCATGCTGGAAATGAAACTTGTATTCCACATAGGTCATCTTGCTTTTATCCCATGACCTTGCTAGGCTATCCCCCTTGCTATCTTTTTTTTTTAATACTTAGGGTATATAGGATTGAGTCTTCAGTGTATGGCATATCATCACACTATCATCTGTGAAGGCCCCTCTATTGTGTGTGTGTGTGTGTGTGTGTGTGTGTTTAATTGTCTCCTTTCAATTCCTCACTTCCATTCTGGTTCCAACCTCACAAGCAGCCAGACTCCTGTGTTTATTGAGTACATTTTTGTTCTTTGTGTAATTTTAAATGTGTATTTCATTACATCTTAACTTCCCTTTCTTTCTTCTTTTCACTTAGCACTTTTTTTAAGATCTCTTCATGAATCTATCCAGCTCGCTGTTTTAAATGCTGCCTGGTATTCTGTAGTGTGAATCTGCCCCATCGTATCTGCCTACACTCCCAGCAATGAACACCCAGATTTCCTACAACTCTCTCCACCACAAATAGCATTGCAATAGATATCTTCACTTGTCTTCTTATGGATCAGTGTGAGAATATATCTTGGATATCTTCCAGAGGTGACATTGCTGGGCATAGTATAGGCTTATATGTAATTTGTCCAAGAATATCCATACTGCTTTCCAGAATGACCGTGCCACTCTGGGGCCCTGAAGCCATGCACAAGGGCTGTAATCATCCTACCTTCTCACCAACACTTGGCATTATCCTAATTGTGCCAGTCTAATAGGCTTAAAGTAATGTGCCATTGTTGTTTTAATTTGCATTTCCTTGATCACTAATTAATTTCTACATCTCTTTATATGCTTATTAACCTCTAGGGTTTCTTTCTCTGTAAATTGGCAGTTTATATCTTTATAGCTAACTTGTTTTCATATGTGATATGTGTTTGATATCATTTTGAGTGCTTTATATGTGCTACATCATTCCAATTCTCATAACAACCTTATGATTTAAGTAATACAGTTAGCCCGCTTGCTTCGAAGACTGAAACTGTGACTTAGAAAGTTTTAATAATTCTCCCAATGTTGTATATATTTAATTAGTTGCAGATCCATGACTCAAACCCAAGTCTCTCTGGCTCTCAAACTCCTGTTCATAATCACTGCACTCTACTGCCTCTCACTGCACTCTGCCTAACAGAGACACCACATACTGACTGGGCACAACAGTTGGAGTCTTAGGGGGTTTAAATGGATTCATTTCTTTAGAAACTCTTTATCAAGGACCATAGTAGGCACTGGGGATAGAGAAATAAATCAGGCAGAAAAGTCCTTCTTTTGCAGAGCTTAGAGTCTAATAGGAAAGACAAATATCAAATGAATATACAATCATTTATGAATTACAATAGTGGTAAGAATTATTAAAAAGTGCAGATGGACCTAATCAGTCAGAATTTTCTGAAAGAGTGGCATTCAAGATGAAATCAGGGAAAGGGCAGTATAATAAAAATCCATGAGAAAGCAGAAGCCGCCAGTTAATGGAAGCCATTGGGGACAGAGATGCAGAGCCAGGAGGAGGAAGGCCACAGAGGCTGAGGAGGCAGAGGCAGGGACAGCTCTTGAGATTACTGATGGGGATAGTGTCTGTTGATGCCACCACTTTGGAAAACAATTTGGCCATGTATGATAAAGCTGAAAAGTACATACTTTATAGTATAGCAGTTGATTTTCTTCCATAAACTCCGAAGACTATCCCAGACACACACACACACACACACACACAAGGAGGTTCATTGCAGCAGTGCTTTGTATAGTAAGAAATTAGGGAAAAAAAACAAATGTTCATCAGTAGAGAAGTGAATAAATTATATTTCATATTCACACACAATGGAATATAATACAATTGTTAAAAGAATGAGCTAGATCTGTTATAGGTATTGACATGAAAATATCTATAAAGTATAACATAGGTATGTACAGTGTAAAATATTTATACAGATGTTTGAAACCCAAAACAATACTGTATTCACTTTTATTAATATAATTTTAGGTAGAAAGTATAAAAACAAGAAATGGAAGAATATGGAGAAGTTTCACAATAGAGGTTTTCTCTGAAAATGAGTGTGAGAAATTGAATAGAAAATGAGGGAAAAAGGAAACTTTAGTTTTGTCTGTGTTGTTATATTTCTTTTATTTAAAATGAGGAAAACTGCCAGGCACAGTGGCTCACACTTGGAATCCCACACTTTGTGGGGCCAAGACGGGCGGATCAGTTGAAGTCAGGTGTTTGAGACCAGCCTGGCCAACATGGTGAAACCCTGTCTCTGCTAAAAATACAAAAATTAGCCCGGCATGATGGCATGTGCCTGTAATCTCAGCTACTCGGGAGGCTGAGGCTGGAGAATCGCTTGAACCTAGGAGGCAGAGGTTGCGATGAGCTGAGATCACTCCACTGCACTCCAGCATGGGCAACAGAATGAGACTCCATCTCAAAAAAAAAAAAAAAAAAAAAAATTAGCCGGGCATGGTAGTACATGCCTCTGTAATCCCAGCTACTCAAGAGGCTGAGGCAGGAGAATCACTTGAACCAGGGAGGCAGACGTTGCAGTGAGATCATGCCATGGCAGTCTAACCTGGGCAACAAAGTGAGACTTTGTCTCAGAAAAAAAAAGAAATTGAGGCAAAAAGTAAATATATTATTTTAAAACTCTGGATGGTGGGCACGCTGATGTTGTTAGTCTTATTTTCTGAACATTAAATTTGTTTTTAATATATTTTTAAAAACATGTAAAGAAGGCCAGGTGCAGTGACTCACACCTGTGACCCCAGTGCTTTGGGAGCTGAGGTAGGAGGATCCCTTGAGGCTAGAAGTTCAAGACCAGCCTGGGCAACATAGCATGACTCCCCTCTAAAAAAAATTTTTATTTTTAAGAATTAGCCAGGCATGGTAGCATGTGCCAGTATTCCTAGCTACTCAGGAAGCTGAGACAGGAGGAGCAAGCTCAGGAGTTCAAGTTTACTATAGTAAACTACGAACATGCCACTGCATTCCAGCCTGGGCAGCAGAGCAAGACTCTGTTTAGAAAAAAAAATTTTTTTAAACATGTAAACAAAAACAAAATACCAAGCCTAGTCTATTAAAAATGTTTAATAGACTCATAATATTTTAAGTGTTAATACCCTAGGTTGAAGAGAGTGCAAGGACATCTTTTTCCAATAGCATTTCCATTGCTATTGATGAGACCTTTCTATAAGGCAGGCATTCAACCTATAAAAAGTAATATTTGGCATTTCTTAGGATCTTTCAGATTTCAAAAACATGATATTCAGTCTGCCTCCATGACTGTAGTTTATTGTGCTAAGAGAAAGTAAGGAACTAGAAATAAGGCACTAGGTAGATTTGGATACAAGACAGCTTGTAGCCACCTTGCTATAGGGTCATCCTTCAGAACCAGCATCTGTTACTCCCTCTTCTACTCACTCCACAACTATTAGGCTGTTATGGCAACCAGGATCCATTCCTCTCATAGGATTAGCCCTTGAAATGCTGCACTAAAATAGAACAATGGTGAGAACAATTTGTATGAATCTTTAGAAATGTTATTGATCATGAGGCATTCACCATGCTGGCAAAATTGGACAACAACAAAGGCCAGGTTGGACTCAGAAGGGGGAAAGTGCACACCCCCGTCCTTTTGTAAGCATGAATATTCCAGTAGCTTCTTTAGTCTCCTTCCAATGCCTTGCACTTTCTCCTATAAGATGTGGCATATGTTTTTATCTCAGGTTTTGATTCATTCTTTTATATGTCATAATTGAAAGTGCGCTATGAAGACCCCAACTTATCTAAAGTTTTTATAGACCTGTATCTGAGTTTCTATTGAAGGAATTTGAGATGTTACAGATATTCTAAAGCAATTATCTAAGAATTAAAAAAGAAACATCATTATAAAATACGTCATCAGTCATGGCTATCTTGTTTTGGGGTAATAAAAGTAAGCGGTTGGCAGAAAATTGAGATGACAAAAATTTGGTCCAGCAATTCCATTTCTATCCATACACCCTAAAGGCACTACCAGAGGCAGTGGGATAGTTGCCCCTTGATGGCCTCATAAACCAAATTAGGTAGAGCTATTGATCAATTTTGGTGTTTTGGGACGGTTTATATAGCACAAAGATTATGCATTTCTTGAAAGTTGAAAGTAGTCCCCAGTTTACGAACCTTTATTTCTGAGAAAACAATTGGTCAGCTTCTTGAAAAATTTAATTACGCCCAACAGCAACAAAATACACATTATTCTCAAGTGCAAACAGAACATTCTCAAGAATAGATCATATGTCAAACCATCAAACAATACAAATTCAAAAAGATTGAAATTATACCAAGTATTTCTTCCAACCACAATTTTATGAAACTAGAAATCAATGTCAAGAGGAAAATTAGAAAAGGTATAAATATGAGGAAATCATACAACACAGTCCTGAACAACCAATGGGTAAAAGAAGAAATCAAAAGGAAAATCAAAACATATCTTGAGAAAAACAAAAATGAAAACACAACGTACCAAAACTTGTAGGATGCAACTAAAGGAGTTTTAAGGGGAAAGTTTATACCTATAAATGCCAAATTAAGAAAAAAGAAAGATCTCAAATAAACAAGCTAAGTTTACACCACAAGGCACTAAACAAAGAAGAATAAACTGAGCCCAAAATTAGAAGATGAATGGAAAGAATAAAGATTAGAACAGAAATAAATCATATAAACAACAGAAAAACATTTAAAAATATCAATAAAACTAAGAGCTGGTTTATAAAAAAAAAAAGATAAGCAAAATTTACAAACCTTTAGCTCGGTTAACCAAGAAAAAAGAGAAAGAACTCAAACAACTACAATTATAAATGAAAGAGGAGACATTATGATGGATACCACAGAAACACAAAAAATCATAAGATACTACTATGATCAATTATATGGCAACATTTATATGCCAACAAATTGGATAACTTAGATGAAATAAATAAATTCTTAGAAACAAACAACCTACCAAGTCTGAATCATGAAGAAATAAAAAATCTGAACAGACCAATAATGAGTAAGAAGATTGAATCAATAATCAAAAAACTCCCAACAAAGAAAAGCCCAGGACCAGATGGCTTCACTGGTTAGTTCTACCAAACACTTAAAGAATTAATCTTTCTCAAACTCTTCCTAAAATTGAGATTAGGGAATATTACTAAAATCATTTTACAAAGCCAACGTTACCCTGATACAAAAATAAAGAAAATTACCAGCCAATATTCCTGATGAAAATAGATGCAAAAATTCTCAACAGAATACTAGCTAACCAAATTCAACAGCACATTAAAAGGATCATTCACCACGATCAGGTGAGATTTACCCCTGGAATGCAAGAATGATTCAACATATGTAAATCAATGAATGTGATACACTGCATGAACAAAATAAAGAACAAAAATTATATAATTGTCTCAGTAGATGCAGAAAAACATTTGACAAAATTCATTCCTTCATGATAAAAGCCTTTAACAAATTAAATATACAATAAGGTATCTCAACAAAACAAGGCTATATATAAGGAGCCCACAGCTAACATCACACTCAGTGATGGAAAGCTGAAAACTTTTCCTCTAAGATCAGGAAGAAGACAAGGGTACCCACCTTAGTACTTCTATTCAACATACTACTGGAACTTTTAGACAGAGCAGTTAGGCAAGAAAAGGAAACAAAATGTATCCATATTAGAAAAAAAGAAGCAAAAGTATCTCTGTTTGCAGATTACTTAATCCTATACATAGAAAACCCTAAATACTCTACAAAGAAAAAATAAAAAACCTGTTAGAACTAATAAACAAATTCAGACAAGTTGCAGGATACAAAATCAACATACAAAAATGATTTGTGTTTTTATACACTAACAATGAACTGACCAAAGAAGAAATTAAGAAAATAATCTCATTTATAATAGCATCAAAAGGAATAAAATACGAGTAAATTTAATCAAGGATATGAAAAATCTGTACATTGAAAATTATGAAACATTAGTAAAATAAATAGAAGAGACAAATGAATGGAAATATATTCTGTGTTTATGGGTTGAAAAAAGTTAATATTGTAAGAATATCTACAGTATCCAAAATGATCTATAGATTCAATGCAATCCCAATCAAAACTCCAATGGCATTTTTAAAAGAAATATTAAAAACAATTCTAAAATTCATATGAAACAACAAAAGATTCTAAATAGCCAAAGCAATCTTGAAAAAGCAGAATAAAGCTGGAGGTATCATAGTTCCTCACTTCAAACAACGTTACAAAGCTATAGTAATCAAAGCAGCATAGTACTGGCATAGCAATAGATATATAGGCCAATGGAATAGACAAGAGAGCCCAGAAATAAACCCATTTCCCAATATGGCCAATTAATATTTGACAAGAGCACTAAAAATACACAATGGGAAAAGGATAGTCTCCCTTAAATGATAAGAAAACTGGATAGCCATATGCAAAAGAATAAAATTGGACCCCTATCTTGTATCATTCACAAAAATTAACTCAAAATGGATTAAAGACTTAAACGTAAGACTTGAAGCTGTTAAACTTCTAGAAACAAACATAGAGGAAAAAGCTCCATGATATTGGCTTTGGCAATAATTTTTTTGGATATGACACAAAAACTACAGGCAACAAGCAACAAAACTACAAGCAACATAAGCAAAAATAAACAAATTGATCATATCAAACTAAAAACTTCTGCACAGCAAAGGAAACAATTAACAAAATGAAAAGGCAACCTACAGAATGTGAGAACATATTTGGAAACCATATATCTGATCAGGAGTTAATAGCCAAAATATGTAAGAAACTCATTTAACTCAATAGCAAAAATGATTTCATTTTTAAAATGGACAGAGAACCAGAATGGATACTTTTCCAAAGAAGACATACAAATGACCGACGGATATATGAAAAGGTACTCAATATCACTAATCAGCAGGGAAATGCAAATCAAAACCACAATGAGATGTTACCTACACCAATTACAATGTCTATCATCAAAAACGGCAAAAGATTAAGAGTGTTGATGATGTGGGAAAAAATGATCCCTTGTACACTATTGGTGGGAATGTAAATTAGGACAGCAATTCATTGTGAAAAACAGTATAAGGGTTCCTCAAAAAATTAAAATAGGACTACAATGTGATCCAGCATTCCCACTTCTAGGTATATATGCAAAAGAAATGAAATCACTATGTCAAAGAGACATCTGCACTCATATTCATTGCAGCATTATTCACAACAACCAAGACATGGAGACAATCTATGAGTCTGTGAAGGGATGAATGGGTCAAGATGCCATATATATATATATATTTATACACACACACACACATATATACATACATATATACATATATATACACACACACACAGTGAACTACTATTCAGCCTTTAAAAAGAATGAAATCCTGCCATTTGTAACAACATGGATGAGTCTGGAAGGCATTATGCTAATGAAATAAACCAGACAGAGAAAGACAAATACTGTACGATCTTATTTATATGGGAAATATTAAAAAAGTTTAACTCATAGAGAAAGAGAATAGGATGGTGGTTGCCAGGGGCTGGGAGTGGGAGAAATGAAGAGATGTTTGTTAAAAAGCCCAAACCTTCAGTTATTAGATGAGGAAGTTCTGGGAATCTAATGTATAGCATGGTGACAATACTTGAGATTTGCCAAGAGAATAGATCTTAAGTGTTCTCACTACAAAAAAAAAAAAAAAAAAAGAAGAAGAAGAAGTAGTAACTGGAGTGGTAGTAGATGTGCTAACTAACTTGATTGTGGTAATGGTTTTACAACCTATATGTACATGAAATCATCACAATATTTAATACTTTAAATATATACAATTTATTTATCATTTATATCTCTAAATCTGGGGGGAAAATGAAATAACTATATTATTGTGAAATAATTATGGAAATCAGTAATTATAATTACTTATTATAATAAATTGCTTTATTATTAATTATTTAAATTTGCTCATGAGTTCCAGTTACTTAGGATATAGCCTTTACTTACGTGTTCAAATAGTTTTGACACTTATAGAGTTCTTTTGTATAATAAAGTCCATATTCCTGAATTACACTTTGTTTCTTTTTAATCAAATGAGGTACATCTTTAAGTAATTTTTTCCAAGGAGAAATTATTACTATTATTATTAATATTAGCTAACCTTTTTAGAGCCTATAGATACCTGACACCTTCCTAAATGCTTTATGTTATTATATCATTTAAAATTCAAAATAACTACATGTTATTGAAGTTCTATATAAGGTGCCTATTATCAATGCCCCCATATTACGCAATTTACAAACCCTTGAATGTCTGAGAATTTTCTTTTTTCTTACATATCCACAGCAACAAGCTGGGGTAAATATTATTGTGTCAGCAACATTTTCCACAGGAAATCTATGTAGAAAATTTAAGTATTTAGAGTTACTGAGAAGAAATCAAAGGTCAACAGGATTTTTGTTCCTTTGGCAGCAGCCTGTTTCGCTGTTGTTGTTGTTGTTGGTGGTGGTGGTGGTGGTGGTGGTGATGGTTGGTATTGGTGGTGTTGGTAGTGGTGATGGTTCGTATTGGTGTTGTTGGTAGTGGTTTATTTTGCTTTGTTTTCCTGGGAAGTTGCTAAGGCCATAGCATGATGCCCTTTCCCTTATCATTTCCTAGAACAGAGTAAGACCTTGGGATCTGCATATTCAGTTTGTTATTCACTGCTGGCAAGTTTTCATCAATACCATGTTGTGCATTGCTTCTGTTGCACTTGATGTTGATTGTATCTTGAAGACACTGGCAGAGCTCTGCTCTCTGTCTTCAACCTCCATGTTACTCTCTTTAAACTTGCTCTGCAATCGAAGATATTTTAAAGGTTTTTTTTACCCCTAGGCATTGCTGTTTTAATTTTCCAGAGTCAATTCTGTTCTTCATTGCTTCCAGTGTGATTTTAATTCTTCTATTGAAATTCTAGTATCCTTGGAATCCTTCCTTAACTCAGCCTGTTTTTCTTTTTGGCACATATCCTTATGTAATCATCTCACCTAAATTTGTTCTTTCCCAGTGGCTTTCTGGTCCTATTTCAATGACACCATGTTCTTGCATCCCAAAGAAAACAGTGAGCAGCTTGTAATACTTGGGATGTTTTGGTTTGGAAACAATATTAAACCAATTTAGACTGTCACAAAGCAGTTCAGAACTTATGAACAAAGCACAGCTCCAGATCTCAGTGATTCTCTTTTTCTGCCCTCCTCACATGTCGGTTTCTTCATTGGGCAGGCTCCCAGGACAGCTATCAGCCAGAGCTGCATACTTCATCCTATGCATCCACACAGAAAGGACATCACCTCCTATAATCATTGAGCAAAAACCCTGAGCTTCTTTCTGGCCCACCTTTGACCAAGGACATTCCATGTACTGTTTGACTTATGTCTCTTAAAACCGTCACTATGATATGGGCACAGAATCACATACCCCTAGAGGTGAAGATGAAGTTAGCTTGGGGAAAGGATGGATAGCCTAAACAAAAATCAGTGTGGTTAGCATTTTGGGGACTTTGTTGGTTGGTTGGTCTGGCATATACATGTATATTTTAGTGGGGAATCTCAGGTGATTCTTCTCTTTTCCTCAACTCCCCCACACTTCATGCATCAGTAAGACCTATCAACAATACTTTGAAAACATTTCCTGGCTGGGCAGTGGCTCATGTCTGTAATTCCAACACTTTAGGAGACTAAGGCAGGGGGACCACTTGAGCCCAGTAGTTGGAGACCAGTCTGGGAAGTACAGTGAGTCTTCATCTCTACAAAAAAATAAAACACTAGCTGAGCACAGTGGTGCTTGCCTGTAATCCCAGCTACTTGGGAGGCTGAGGTAGGGGGATCACTTGAGCCTGGGAGGCAGAGGTTGTAGTGAGCCAGGTTGTGCCACTGCACTCCAGCCTTGGTGACAGAGTGAGACCCTGTCTCAGAAAAAAAAAAATCCCTGATTCTGATCTGACCAATTGCCACCATGGTCCCTGTTTACCTTAATCCCAGCCACTGCCCTCTCACCTAAGGCACAACAAGAGCCACTTTCACACTTCATTCATTCATCACCAGGCAGTCAGAGTATTCTTTTAAAACAATATCTAAAATAAACACTGCATTTAGAATAAAATTCAAAATAACAATGACCTACAAAAGTCTATATACAATGGACTACTTTTTACTATATTCTAAATTCAATGACTTTTTTTTTTGATACCAACTCCAGCTCTACTTCAAGACCTTTCCACTAGCTATTTCCTATGTCTCATGGGTTCTTCCAACAAAAAGGTAGAGAAATTTCTCCTGACCACTCCCTGTAAAATCATGCCCACCTGCTTACCCAATCACTCCATTCTCTTCTCTTGTTTTCTTCATGGAATCTGTCATGAATTGAAATTATCTTACTAATTTATTTATGTGTGTGTTATCTCTTTGTTTACGCCATTGCAGTGAAAATTTCATGAGGTCAGCATCTTTGTTTGCTTTGTTCACCACTATATTTCCAGAAGCTCTGACAGTGCCTGGCACTTAGCAGTTGCTCAATAAACATCTGAAGAGTGAATGAATAAGTGACAGAACAGATTCCATGAGAGATTGTTGGCTGTGCTGAGCCAGAGGTTCATCCTCGCTACTTCTGAAGTGTGTTGATAAGAGGTGGAGGTGTATGGGATCGGGATCGGGGAGGGGGTGGCGGATACAGATGAAGATTGCATTTCAAAGAAGTACATGACGTGTTCACAGTCATACATCAAGGCAGGAAAAACTAGAGTCTCAGTCTTCCAAACCCCATTACCCCTCTCTCCTTCCTTACAACAGAAAATTCTGTCTCACATGACATGATCTGTATTTGTCCAGAAACAAAACAGACAAAGGAGGCTAGACAGCGGCTCTCACTCCTAGAGCTCATTTTCCAAGAATACACAAAATATATGGAAAACATTGATATGAGACTCTTCAAAAAAATCAGTTGCAAACAATTCATATAACAAGCACTGGAAGGCTCATACATCTTCCTAGATTTATTAAATTTCATTTCAAAACTTGGTTGTAAATCAGCCAACAAATTTCCTTTTCAAACCATCTCCAATATCCTCCATTGCTGTTATTTAGAAACTTAACTGCCATTTTCACAAAAGACATAACACTTTCCATGGCCTTCGACAGCCGATAACCCTGGCTGATTTAGACTCTCCATTTTGGCAATGGGCTTGAATAAGCCCCAAGAAACTAAGGCCCAAAAGGCTGGGGGTGGACGGAGAGTCTGAGAGGGCTGCTTGCTAAGAAGAGGGAGAAGGCAGAGAGAGGAGAAAGCACTGCCGATGCTCGATGCTCATGCACAGGGAGAGGAAAGGAGGGCAGCACATGAGGCCCCTGCTGCCATGTGCCCCCTGCTGAAGAGTGGGAGCTTTGTCACTAGGCAGACCCGGGTTGAAATCTCTGCATGGCTTCTCCTTACAACTGTGCCTTGGTCGGATTATCAAACCAATTTGAGCCTCTGTGTTATCATTTAAAAAGGGTAGCATCACCTAAATCACTGTGTTGTTGGGAGCATTAAATGAGATCACGCATGTAAAGCTCTTAGCTAAGTGCCTGGCACATGTAAACCCTCAATAAATACGATTTCTCAGGGGCCCTCCTGCCAACTGCACATCTGCTCTCTCTTGGGACAGTCAGCCTACTATGCCCCTAGATGAATTTATAGTAAAGCCTCATTAATTTGAACCTTACTCACTTAGAGTTTATGATAATTCATCAGTGGCCTAAGCTGAAATTTACTTTTATCAGTACTATAAAAAAAATAACAGGGAGGTTAAAACAAATTTATGAGGAGACTATTTAAGTTAATGAATCATTCACTGTTATTTAGAAATAGTCACTTACATACTAATAATTGATGTGCTAATTACAAATGATTCTTATCTACACAGGAAAGCAAGCCCTTAATTCAAAGTATAGTTCAAATTATTGAAAATTTGAAAAATGTTTAAAATTTTAGTTTAGTTGATGCTTTTAAGAAATGGATTTTATTACAAGTAAGTAATTAACATGTTTGCCAATTTTTAATATAATTTTCTAGCATATTCAAACATTGGTTTAAGGAGAAGTTTTAGCCCTGCTCTGTTGAAGCACATATGAAAGGAGAAAGGGAGGAAGGAAAGAATTCAAGAAGGGACACAGCCTTTCCTTCCACACTCCCCCGCCATTTCAGGTGTCACTTTTTCTAAGTAACACTGATCCTCACACGTACAATTTTCATAGTAAATAATGACCATTTTCCTATTGCTTGGGCCTCTATAACACATTTTATTTTTATTCTGATGAAAGCTGACATTTTTAGTAACTCTAGCCTTTTTTAAAAAAAACAATCTAGAGTTCATCTTTGGAGCGAGAGTTGTTATGATTAAAGTAGGCAATGAACACATGCAAACGCTGCTCATTTAAAAGTACTGATTTGGAATGAGGGAAGTAGGAGCAAGGAAAAGATGGAGAAGTGGTCAGTTGGAATGAAACTTACTTCCATTTGGAGAAAATGCAATCTCAGGGCTTGAACTAACTGGCAGTGAAAGGCATTTTTTTTTCTCTAATTGCTTCTGGCTTTTAAAATTTCTTTTTTAAGGACAGGGTCTCGCTCTGTCACCTAGGCTGGAGTGCTGTGGTGCGATCATAGCTCACTGTAACCTCGAGATCCTGGGCTCAAGTAATCCTCCTGTCTCAGCCTCCTGAGTAGCTAGGACTACAGGCACGCCACCACACCCAGCTAATTGTTTTTCAGATATTTTGTAAGAAATGGGGTCTGCTGTGTTGCCCAGGTTGGTCTCAAACTCCTGGCCTCAGGTAATCCTCCTACATCAGCCTCCCAAAGTGCTGGGATTACAGGCATGAACCAGCGTGCCCAGTCCTGTTCTGACTTTTAATAGAGAGTTCAAGAGACCTAGGAGTGGAGAAGACTTGAGAGAAAACACACCAACATTCTAAGGATTCTTTTAAAACAGTTAACCTTTGGTTATGGAATTTCCAGCCAAGATGGAGTAACAAAGACTGATTTACCCTCCCACCTGAAAAAATAATGTTTAAAACAAAACAAGAAAAAAAATGAAACAACGGTTTCCAGGACAATAGACATCAGGACAGTGATCCCTGAGAGATGGGAAGAAAACAAAGTGAGCCCTAGGATTGCCCCAACTTCCTGCCTGCAGAGAGATTTAATTCCACATACAGGGAAGGGGAGCCCAGACAGAGCCCAGAGGACTTTCTGAGTTGAGGAGACAAAGTTTAGACTTTGGGGAGGCCAAGGCAGTGAGAGTTCAAGGGCAGAGTACCACAGAGGAGGGACTGCACAAAGAGCACTCCAGAGACCTGCAAAGCATCCCTGTCGAGTCCCCGGCTGAGCATTGACCTGAACCTGCAGGTGAAGAAACCACCCAAGAACCTACTCATGGAGCTGGAAGAGTTTCAGTGTGGTGAGGAGTTTGAGGAGGGGTGAGGACAGGGGCTGTCAAGTGGATCTCATGTGAAAGGCTACTAAACAAGGCAATCTGTGAATGCTACCAGAACAGGGAGGCAGAGTCATCGTCTGGAGACCATGGGTTGGAACTAGGAGAGATGAAAGATGTGAGGCTTAAGGGGCAGGGCAGTGGATGGTGTATAGCAGGACATCTTCCCTAAGGTTCCAGGCACTCTGTTGCTGTGCTCTTTCATAGGTACATAAATGGCTTTTGAAAGGGCCACCCTGAGATAAATACTCAGAAAGTTCTAAGTCTTAAAATGGTCATCCATTAACACAAACCAGTCTTAAGAAACCAACTTGTGTAGAAGACTTATTGCTTTGCCTCCCAGCACCCTCTCTGTTCTAGAAAGGATACCTTTCTTTCTTCTAGTCAACTGCATGGCATCCCCCTCCTCCTACAACCCAGGGCTTTAATGGGAGTGGGCATGTTCTTCCATGAGCCCACAGAGAGTGGATACTAGGCCTATCTAAGTTGCTGGGCTAGCCCCTTGTCCACTGCAACTCATCAGGAGGTAGACACATGGTCTGAGCCAGGCCAATCAGAACTCTTCCTCTGAATTTTGCTTTTACACAAGAGCTGGCAGTAAGACTTCTTTCCTCTATGGTGGTAAATCTAGGACGATGGAAGCCTGGAAATTGCTGGTAGCAATGTCCTCAAGGAAAAAGTTTTTTTTATGATGGATGCCAAAACTAATTCAAGCTGGTTTTCTCTCATCTACCTTAAAAGAAGAGCTGAGGAAGACACTGTACTTTCCTGTATCTGTTCTCTGGAGTAAGAGAGAATACATTTATTTCTTATTCCCATGACACTCCTTTAGATACAGCTCGAGTACCCTGTATTTGAAAATCCAAAATTCTAATGCTCCAAAATTCAAAACTTTTTGAATATTGATATGATGCTCAAAGGAAATACTCATTGGACATTTCAGATTTCAGACTTTTAGATTAGGAATGCTGAACCAGTAAGTATAATGCAAATATTTCAAAATTCAAAAAAAAAAAAAAAAAATCAAAACCTGAAACACTTCTTGTCCCAAGCATTTTGGATAAGAAATATTCAACCTGTATTTTAAAATAGATATTATGTCTTTCCTAAGCTTCATCTACTCTTTTCCAGGAAAAAAGCCCAGTTCTTTCAACTATTCCTCATGGGCCGTGGCTTCCAGGCCCCTGGTCACTTTACCAGGGTGTTCTCTAGTTGTCTGTGACTTTCCTGAAATATGTAGACCCAATATGCAAGTTGCTCCCAACTTGGTCTTATTTATTAGTGCCTGGAAATACTCTGGGCACAAATTCTTCTATTTCTACAAACCAAAATAAGGTCAATGTTTTAGGCAGCTGCATTATTCTTGGGTAATTTGAGATGGAAATTATTCTAAATCTCCTGATTCTGCATGAATTACTGCAAAGCCAGATATCCCTAACCCTATAGTTTAACTATCTGAATGAAAGACTTCACATTTTTTCATGTTCACTTTCATCTCACTTTCTTAACCCCATGCCCCATCCCGTTATGATAATTAAAAATGATTCTTTCATCTGTATGTAATATTGGTTGGCAGTCCTAAACATGAGACAATCGGGCTTAACCCGATTGTCAGGTTAGGCCAGGACCATAAACAGAACTTTTGGAGACCTGTGGACATACTCGCTGCTTGGCCATATGAGCCCTTAAAAGGTAAGTCTCTCTGTCAGGTGGGCAGGGGTGACTGGTGTCTTCTTACCATTCCAGTTGATGAAAACCAGAGCTGCCTGATCTTGTATTTAATCCTTTCCACTATCTATTAAAATTCACTAAAGCTTGCTAAGCTTCATTTCCTTGAAAGCCTATCAGGTTTCAGTTTCATCAAAGTCAAGTGTATTTAATTAACACAATCCAATTCATCCTGGAAGTGGTCAGGTTCTCCAAAAGGTACTCAATAGAGCTACTGGTGTTTTTATAGGAATTAAACATATGATACAATAGACAAAAATAAGCATGCTTTATACATGCCATTACCACTACCTCTTTTGCATACAATTGAATAAATTACCTTTTGTTATGAAACATTAATCTTCTTTTCTCAGCAGAGTAATTCCCATCTCAGATTTAGCCTGCTAAGGAGTGCCTTGGGAACCAAACTTTAGCAATCTTGTACTGGCAGAATGAAGAGAAGACACCATCCTTTGGAGAGGACAGCTTATTTTGTGATGTCAAAATTTTGCCCTTCTGGCCTAATCGGAGGTATTTAAAGCCCTCATTAGGTTGCCTTCCCTGGTGCTCTGGAATACAAGAAAAGATCAAACACGTAGGCAAAAGATTGCACACAGGAAGCCTAGTAGTTACAGTCAAACTAACCCAGCAGGGCACACCAGCAGAAATTTTTAAGGAATTGGTACAAATACCTCAGTCTTCATGCTTCAAGAGGCTTCTCTGTAATCAGTTACATAGCACCCCCCAAAACATATGCTTGTGTCCTGGGAACCTACCTTATTACTTTACATGTCAAAAGATTGAGTGTTATTGTACTTGGAAAATAAGTGTCTTTGCAGATGTAATTAAGTTAAGGATCTTGTGATGAAAAGATCATCCTGGATTATCTAAATGAGCCCTAATTCCAAAGACAGATGTCCTTATAAGAGAAAGATGGAGAGACGACACAGAGAAAAGAGGAGAAGGTGAGTGAAGATGAAGGTAGAGATTGAAACCATGTGGCCACAAGCCAAGGAATGCCAGCAGCCACCAGAAACTGGAAGAGACAAGGAAGGATTCTCTCTTAATACCTCCAGAGGGAGTGCAGCCCTGTCAACACTTGATTGCCATCTTCTGGCCTCTGGAACTATAAGACAATACATTTCTCTGGTTTTAACTGCCAAGTTTATAATAATTTGCTACCATAGTTATAGGAAACAAATGCACTCCCTATAGGCAGCTAATATTTGGGGGAGTGTCAACAGGGAAAATGTGGTGGCACCCCCAATATGTGCACCAAAAAGTGCAGATCTCACAATAGCCTATATTTATCCCCCCTGTTACCAGCTGGGTCATAATGTTAGCCTGCCCCTACCCTTTTCCTGAGACTTCAAAGATTGCCTGCTGTGATCCTATGACTTTAGTCTGCTTAAGCCTGTTTGCTATTGCTATTACTTTAACCTAATTTTATATGGATACACATCTTGGGAGGGTATGGCAGTGAAGAGATTATTGACTGGGCTTTCTTAATTCAACAGGCTCCAGGAATGAAAAAAATGGGAGGAGTATCCAATAAGGGTTGGGCCAGCCAAGCCACCAGCTGCCCAGATCTCCAATCTACAAGGTGCCTGAAAACATAAGATGAATAGATTGGAACTGCAGGGTCATTTAACTCAGATTTTTCACACTAAACTTCTAACATAAGCAGCAAAATGTAAATTTGTTCCTTTCTCACCAGAGTAGACAAAATTATCGAGAAAAAATAAAGTAAATGACTTATTTCCACCCATCTATGCTGTTTCTTTTAGTGCACACAATTAAATATAGGCTAAGCCAGCCCTTCATTACCATTTCTTTCATCTCAGTGCTCGCTTTTTAAATTTCAAAAGTTCCTTCCTATTTTCTGAATCATTCCTTTCTTGTAGCACCCAATTCCTTTTTTCTATGGATATAATATTATCTTGAATTTCTCTGAGAGATACTAATGAAAGTTTTTAAGATTTGTGTGATTAGCCTGAGATGACCATGCTGTGAGAAGACCAAGCCACACAGAAAGAGAGAAAGGCTAAGGAGAAGCAGAACGCCAGGCTGGTGAGTAAGAAGCCACATTGGGCATCCATCCCAAATGAGCTTCATATGACTCCACCCCCCTGCCATCTGACTGTAACTATATGAGAGACCCCAAGTGAGAACCAGGTAGTCCCAGACAACCTACAGAGCCATGAGAGATAATGATAAATTATTATTTTAAGCCACGGAGTTTGGAAGTCATTTATTCAACAATAATAAATAGGTCACCTGGATATCCCAATTACTGTGATTCAATGTTTATACATTATATGAAAGTATCCAAATATCATATGTACCAAGAAAATATGTACATCTATTAGGTATCAGTTTAAAAACTAGCCTAAAAATAAATAAATAAATCACCAGAACACATGGTTTTCCATTCATATTTAAAATGTGGCAATTGGGCTGTGTGCAGTGCCTCATGTCTGTAATCCCAGCACTTTGGGAGACCAAAGCAGGTGGATCGCTTGAGCCCAGAACTTTCAGACCAGCCTGGGAAACATGACAAAACCCCGTCTCTATCAAAAATACAAAAATTAGCCGGTCTCATAACCCAGTCTCAAGAAAAATTTTAAATTTAAATTTTAAAATATAAACTACAAAAATTAAAAAAAATATATAAAATGTGGTCATTGGAAGCATCTTGGCCAGGCATATTGAGATGGCAACCTTCATGCAAAGGAGACTGAACAGCAAGCCAGTCATTATCATTGCGACCTTAAATATTACAACGTAGAAGGTTTTCCTTCAGAGCACACACACCTATACCAGTCGCCCTAGGTCTCTTTGATAGTTTTTTAGGGAAAAAAAAAAAACACGATTTTTTTTTCTTGGCCTGAGTTTAAAAACATGCTGCAAGCTTCTTCTCTTGGGGGTGGCTGAAAGCAAAGAAAGGATGGGGTAGAATGTGTCAAATACTCCATATACACACCTTAACTCTGTTTCCACTGTAATTCTTGCCATCTGACTCATCTCCCTCTGAAGACTTTCTGGGGCACTGAATGGGAGCCACATTCCCTTCCTAACTGTAGTCACTTGATTGGGTTTTCTCAGCTCCAGCCTCTCCCCTCCAAGGCTTCTCAGTCATGACTTCTTTGGCTTTGCATCTTCCAGAAATTTGTTGAGATCTTTGTCTGGCTAATGGAGCTCTTCCAAATTCTCTGTTTTATTCTCATGTCGTGTGTGTGTGTGTGTGTGTGTTTGTGTGTGTGCGTGTTGGGGTAGGAGTAATGCCTCATTTTATTTATTTAAAATCATTTAAAATTTGGTTGTATATTATTTTAAATTTAAATAAAAATAGAGTGTTCACTCTACATTCTGGAATCCATGTTTTATCTACATTTAAAACACATTAACATGTCTCTTAAAAAGTTTTCCAGATTGAATAATTTTAAATAATTTTTATAAAAAACTAGTAATCAAAAATACAAAAAAAATCATTTCTCCTTTCAGTCTGGATGTAAAATTTTGCAAGCACACCACTCTCAGCCTAACCATCAGAACAGGTCAGATAAGCTAAAAATCATAGATTTTTAAAACTCGTTACAGAAGGAGAATACCAAAAAAAAAAAGAAATAAATTCCAGAAAATCAGGATCCCTTTATGGGAGAGGAGATTTATTGCTACTCTTATTCCTAGTGAAATGGCAGAAAGAGGTAAAATACATGAAAATGTAGCAGGAAGAACTTCTAAGAAAATTCTGACGAACCTGTGAAGGCTATATGTAGACTGACATGGGAGATTAGAATCCAAAGGAGCTGCAGCCACAGAGTAAGTGTCCACCCACTCACCAATCCCATAAGTCTTGACACAGTTTTGAGGAATAGCATGTATGCCAAAAAGAAGGGGTGAGAGCTGAGAGAAATCCACTATGCAACAAATGAGACCACTACCAAATGCAAGAGAATATACCAGTTGAAATCAGGGGGAGGGATATAATTAAAGAGCTGAGAGAAACACAACAGAAACACTCTAGGCTCTCAGGCTGAAGGCAAAGAGAAGAGTTGAAACAACTAGCACCTCAGGCATTCCAGACTATAACCAATGGGAGATTGGAGTGGAGAGTAAAAGCTGAATAAAGTTCTTAAGGAACTCCACTCTAGGCTTTCAACTACCAAAGACTGGGCATGAGGCGAAAGATCTGAAAGAAACCTCTCTATTCCTACCAGTCAGTCACAGAGGCTGGGAATGCTGGCCTAAGAGTACCCAAAGGTGGAGCACCAGAACTGAAAATAATATACCCAGGATCAGAAAGATGAGAACTGGACTCATAAGAAAAGAGAATTCCTGAGAGACCCAAAGGATAAGCAGTTGGACTATAAATCAAGGAGAGATATCCCACATCTCAGAAAGTTTATATCTGTTCTCCAAGCTCAAACACCTAGAAAGAAATGTCCTTATTCTATCCTTAAAATATTTAAAGTCACGGATTAATTGAATCAAACTAAAACCATGACAAAGACCAGACCCAATTCAACTACAGATTGGTGGCCTGACATAAGAAAGCATATGGCCTTCTCTGAAAACAAATGTTATTTACTTAAGTTCCTCCTTTTCTTGTATAAAAAAATGTCCAGGAAAAATCAAAACTCACACACACAAAATAAAAAAGAAGGAAAAGCTACACATAGTCAAGAGAGAAAGTAGTCAATAGAAACAGATACAGAGATGACCTAGAGGACAGAAAAGAACTTTAAAATAACTATGGAAAAATGCTAACAAAACTGATGTAAAATATACATAAAATCAATGAAGTGAGTGAACATGTCAGCAGAAACAAAAACTATAAACCAGAACTAAGTAAAAATGCTAGAAATAAAAATATAATATCAAAAATGAAGAAAATATTAGATGAGCTTAACAGCAGAATGGACACAAACAAGGAAAGAATTAGTGAACTGGAAGACAAGTACAAAAGAAAGTATACAAACTGAAATAAAAAGACAAAACAAAGTGGGATAAAAAACAAGAAGAGGACATTCAAGATGGGTGAAGCAATGTCAACAGTCTAATTAATATGTGTAAATGGACTACCAGAAACAGAGAAAACAAAAAATGAAGCCAAAATATTTGAAGAAATAGTGTCTGAGAGTGTATACCTGGGAAATTGACCTAGAACAATCAATAGACAAATGCTATTAATAGTATTAGAAAATTTACTTTAAGCCTACAAGAAATCAAGGAATGCTGTATTTCTAAGCCTTGTGAGGAGTCTAGTAGAGGACAAGCTCCGTCCAGAAAATAGATAACTGGAGAATCTTGGGCAAAAGGCTGATGGTAAACATTGAATGTATTTAAATGTAGAACTAAAACTAAAATAATAGTGAACACAAGAGTGGACGAATAGTTTGTAAATATTACAAAGCAAAAATAAAACAACTAAAATCAATAAGGAAAAGAAAATGGGGAAAACAAAAATCTCATTGACTGACATATATAAAGTAAGTAGGCGGTAAAGGATATCCGTTAAGTCTTACAAACTCAATAGTAATAGCCTATGTAAGAATAGAGGGGACTACAGACACTAATAATTATTAGTATAAAGATGAATACTGGAACAAACAAAGCAAAACTTCCTACATACCAAAATAATTACCAAAAAAAGGTCCAAAAAATCACATAAAGAAAAACATTAAATTAACAAGAAGAGAACAACATGGTTTTTTCTTCTAATGGGCAACTAAAGACTCAACAGGTAAATCATAAAACAGGATTACCAAATAATCAATAAACATATGAAGAAATGCCTAACAGTAAGGAGCTACCTGTATACAGTCAGCCCTCTATATCCATGAGTTCTACATTGATTGATTCAATCAATTATGGATTGAAAATATTTTAAAACATTATATCTATACTAAACATGTGCAGACTTTTTTTGGTCATTATTCTCTAAACAAGAATATGACAACTATTTACATAGCATTTATATTGTATTAGGTATTATAAGTAATCTAGAGTTGATTTAGTGTATGGGAGGATATATATATGTTTATGTTATATGCAAATACTACACCATTTTATATTGGGAACTTGAATATGTATGGATTTTGGCATTAGAGGGAGATCCTGAAACCAATTCCCCATGGGTTCCCAAGGATAACTGTGTGCACTTTGGAGTGACTAAAAATTAAAAACTAACAATACAAACTGTTGGAGTACATGAGGAGTAAACTAAAGTCATGTACCATGAGGATAGGTATGTAAATTGGTACAACCGCTTTGAAAAACCATGTAAGCAGTATTTACTAAACCTGAATATTTGCATACTCTATGATCTAGAAACTGGCCCCTAGCTATGTATGTATTATCCAGCAGAAACGTATTCACATGTTCACATGTAAAAATGAATAAGCACATTCACAGCAGTTTTATTTATAATAGACTAAAACTGAAATGAACACAAACATCTATGGAATACTAAAGGAAAAATTGTTTCTGTTACAACACTTCTGACATCAAATGGGTGGGGTTTCCACACAAAGCAATTCTCCAATTCTTTGTGGACATCAACTGGCTGCCCTACAATTTAATTTAAATTGACATTACCCAAAGTAAGAGTAGACTCCACTCGTTAAGGGTTCAGTTCCACAAGACTGCTCCTCATTTCAGATGCCAATCACAAGTAGTAGGTTCCCAGATTACCCACACTTCTGTTCAACTTCTACAAATTGGGGTTCCCCACAAACCTTTCTCAGGTTTGATAATTTGCTATAACAGCTCATAGAACTCAGGAAAACACTTTTTACCTATGTTTACCAGTTTATTATAAAGGATACAAATGAAGAGATATATAGAACAAGATCAAGAAGGGTCCCAAGCACAGAAGCTTTCGTCTTAAGGAGTTGGGGTGAACCACTCTCCCAGGAGATAGATGCATTCAGCAACCTACAAGCTCTCTGAACTCCATGGTTTAGGGAAGCTTCCTCATGTAGGCATGATTATTAGTTCACTATCCAGCCCCTCACCCCTCCCCAGAGCTTTGGTGAGTGGAGCTGAGAGTTCCAACGTTTTGATCATGGCTTGGTCTTTCTGGCAACCAGCTCCCATCCTGAAGTTATCCAGGAGCCCAAGAGTCACCTCATTAAAATGAAAGATGCTCATCTAACTCAAGAAATTCCTATTTAAGAGCTGTATATAAGACATCCCAATTACCCCCATCATTCAGGAAATTACAAGGGCTTTAAAGGGTCTGTGTAAGGAACTGAAGGCAAATAACAGATATATATTTCTTATTATGTTACAAATACCTAAATAAAGTACAGTATATTCATAAAGAGGAATACAATACCGACACAACACATAGCTAAGTGAAGTCATTTCCTAGGCATAATTTTGAGCAAAAAGGCCAGACACAAAAGAGTACATACTATAGCAGTCCATTTATATAAAATTTAAAAGTAGACAAACCTAATTTATAGTAATAGAAACAGAATTGGAAGGGGATATTAACCAAAAGTTGACATGTAGGATGCTTCTGAGTGCTAGTACTAATCTAGACCATGATCAGATGGTGGTTACCAGGGTTTGTCCATTTTCAAAATTCACTTACATAATTTTTGTCTACTTTATATATGTCATACTTCAATTACAAGACTTTTTTTAAACTAAGCCTGAAAATAAATGAATGAAATTCCCAAAAGTCCAGAAAAAGAACAAATTAAACAAAGAGAAGGTAGAAAGAATAAAAATCATAAACCAGAAGTTATTAAGATAGAAAACAGAAAACAGTAGAAGTAATAAATAAATGAAAATTCTATTTGCTTGAAAAAAATCAGTGTAATAGACAAGCCACTACCTAATCTAATCAATACAAAGGAATAAAGCACAGGAAGATGGTAGTGTAGGAAGCATCAGGAAACTCTCTCCTGCCAAGACAACAATTGCACTGGCAGAATCTGTTTGTTGTAACTATTTTGTAACTATGAGGTCTATTTAAGGCTTGTAACTTCCAAGGAAGACTTGTGGTTAATTTCAGTCAATTTTAGCTCTTAGCACAATAGCAGCTACCCATTCCCTCTTCCTAGCCCCATGGCAAACAGCTAAGCACATGTTCCTGGAGCACTCTTCACACAGTTTGTGGGAGCCAGAGTGGGCAACAATGGCCCTGTTATCCAAATAGCAAGGATCTGTGTTCTGATCAATGACTGCTGCTTGTAATCACAGAGGTGCAAAGAAGGAGGAGGCCATTGTTGAACCTCCCCCCACTGCTTCAGGCCTCTCCGCCTCTGGCTGAAGTGACTTCCAGGAGATTTAAAGGACTGGTTCCCCTCCCTCTTCTTTCTTTCTCTTTCTTTGCCTTCCCCTCCCTTCCCCTTTCTTCCCCTCCCTTCCCCTTCCTCTTGCCCCCCCCCACTTCCCTTCTCTTCCCTTTCTTTCATCTCACTCTAGTTCCCTAGGTTGAAGTGCAGTGGTGCAATCTCGGCTCACCACAGCCTTGGCCTCCCAGGCTCAGGTGATTCTTCCACCTCAGCCTCCCAAGTAGCTGGAAGTACAGGTATGCACCACTAATTTTGTTTTGTTTTGTTTTGTTTTTTTTGTATTTTTAATAGAGACTGTTTCACTATGTTGTCCAGGCTGGTCTCAAACTCAAGCAATCTGCCTGTCTCAGCCTCCCAGAGTGGTGGTATTACAAGTATGAGCCACTGCACCCAGACTTTTTGTTTTTTTTTTGAGAGTCAGGTATAAAAAATTATAACATAAAAGGTTGTAACATTTGAAAACAACTATATATATAGGAAAAATTAGAAAGTGACTACATGCCAGGGAAAGGTGCAGGCTCAGAACATACCTAAGAATACCTCAAGTTTATACTACAAGCTGATTCTTGGTATAACAACAGATAACAAATATCAAAAATATAAAAGAAACAAACAATTTCTAAAACCAGCAAACTCTAAAGGCAAGAATCTGATTTCCAGAGTTACCACATTATTATTTTAAAATACCCAGTTATCAACAAAAAATCACAAGGCAAACAAAGAAATAAAAAACTATGGCCCATTCAAAGGAAAAAATAAGTCAACAGAAACTGCCCCTGAAAAAGAACTGATGGCAAATCTACTAGACAAAGACTTTAAGACAACTATCTTAAAGATGCTCAAAGAACTAATGAATGATGTGGAGAAAATCAAGAAAACAGTGTACAGGGAAAATGGAAATATTTTTTAAACCACAGAAAATCTAAAAAGAAACCAAACAAATTCTGGAGCTGAAAAATAAAATAGACTAATAAAAAATTCTCTAGAAGTATTCAAAGACAGATTTGAGCAGGCAGAAGAAAGAATTGGTGAACTTGAAGATAGAACAATGGAAATCATTGTTTCTGAGAAAGAGAAGAAAAAAGATTAAAGAGAATTAAACAGAGCCTGGGAGGACTTGTGGGACACCATCAGTTAGATCAACATGTACATTGTGAAAGTCCCAGAACAAGAAGACAGAAAGGGGCAAAATGAATAATTGAAGAAATTGTTGCTAAAAACTTCCCAAGTTTGATAAAACATGAATATAAACATTCAAAAAGCTCAAGGAACCCCAAGTAAGATTAACTCAAAACGACCCTCAATGGAAGAAAAAGACCCCACACTGAGACACATCATAATCAAGCTTTCAAAAAACAAAGAGAGAATCTTGAAAGCAGGCAAAAGAGAAGTGACTCACCCACATATAAGAAATCCTCAATAAGATTATAAGCATATTTTTCATTACAAACTGCAAGACAGAAGGTGATGGGCTGCTATATTCAAAGTGTTAAAAGAGAAAAAGCTATCAAGTAATAATGTTGTATCCAGCAAAACTGCTTCAAAAGTGAGAGAAAAACTGATACATTCCCAGACAAACAAAACCCAGGGGAGTTAGTTACCAGGAGATCTGTTCTGCGAGAAATACTCAAGGAAGTCCTTCAGGATAGAATGTAAGGACACTAGATAGTAACTTGACATCACATAAAAAATCAGAATCTCAATAAAGATAAATACATGGACATTTATAAAAGTATTATAGTTATATAAATACTTTGTAACTCTTTTTGTTTTCTACATGATTTAAGAAACTAGTTTATTACAAAAGTATTACTCTAAAAGCTAGTATTATTGTAACTTTGGTTTACAACTCCACATTTTGTTTTCTGCATAATTTAAGACACTAATGTATTTAAAAGAATTGTTAGTTAATGTTTTGCGGCATACAATGCGTAAAGATGTAATTTTGTGACATCAACAACCAAAAGGGGTAGGGCGGGAACTGCAAAGTTTTTTGTATATTATTGAAGTTAACCTGTTACAAATTCAAATTCGAGTATTATAAGTTTAGAATATTAAGTGTAATCACCATCGTAACCACAAAGAATATAGCCATGGAATATACATAAAAGGAAATTAGAAAGCAATTTAAATATTTCGCTTCAAAAAATTAAACACAAAAAAAGACAGTAATCTAAAAAATTCAGGACAAAAACTGCTGTAAGGTACTAAGAAAACAAATAGTAAAATGACAGAAGTAAGTCCCTCTTTATCAGTAATTACTTTAAATATAAATGAATTAAACTCTCCATTCAAAAGACAAAGATTGACAGAATGGATTAAAAAAAAAAAAAAAAAAAACCACCATGATCAAAATATATGCTGTTTACAAGAGACTTACCTTAGATTCAAAGACACAGATTGAAAGTGAAAGGATGGAAAAAGGAATTCTATGTACATAGTAACCGAAAGAGAGCAGCAATGGCTATACTAATATTAGAAAAAATGGACTTTAAATCAAAAGGTTACAAGAGACAAAGAAAGACATTGTGTATTAATAAAAGCCTAAATACAGCAAGAAGATATAACTATTATAAATATTTACATACTCAATAAAACACCATAAAAATATAGGAAGTGAAAAGCAACAGAATTAAAGAGAGAAACAGACAGTTATGTAATAATAGTTGGAGACTTTAATACCCCATTCTCAATAACAGAAAAGCCAGACAGAAGTATGAAAATGGAGGATTTAAACACAATAAATCAACTAAATCTAACAGACATATAAAACATGCTACCCAACAACAACACACATTCTTCTCAAGGGCACAAGGGACATCTTCCAGAATAGACCACATGTTATGCCACAAATTAAGTCTCTATAAATTTTAAAAGATAGATATCATACAAAATATTTTTTCTGATCACAAGATGAAGTTAGAAATCAATAACAGATATAAAATTGAAAACCTCACAAATTTGTCCATTAAAGAGTGCACTCTTAACCAAGCAATAGATCAAAAAAGAAATCACAAGGTAAATTATGAAACACACAGAGATTAATCAAAACAAAAGCACAAAGTGTTAAAACTCACATAAGACAGTGAAAGCAGCGCTAAGAGAATAATTTACAGCTATGAATGCTTACATTAAAAAGCAAAAAAGAACTCAAAGGAAAAGAAGTCTTTATATGAAAAAGACACATGCACACACATGTTTATAGCAGCATAATTCACAATTGCAAAGATATGGAACCAACCTAAGTGCCCATTGAACAATGAGTGGATAAAGAAAATGTGGTATATATATACCATGGAATACTAGTAAGCCATAAAAAGGAATGAAATAAATGTCTTTTGCAGCAACTTGGATGGAGCTGGAGGTCATTATTCTAAGTGAAGTAACTCAGGAAGGGAAACCAAATATTGTATGTTCTCACTTATAAGTGGGAGGTGAACTATGAGGATGCAAGGGCATAAGAACTATATAATGAAATTTGAGGACTCAGAGGGAAGGTTGGGAGGAGGGTGAGAGATAAAAGACACATGTTGAATACAGTGTGCACTGCTTGGGTGACAAATGCACTAAAATCTCATAAATCACCGCTAAAGAACAACAAAGCAAGAAAGATCCAAAATTAACAACTTAACTTTATAACTTAAGAAACTAGAAAAAGGAGTACAAACTAAACCCAAAGCTAGCAGAAGTAAATAATGAATATTAAAGCAGAGATAAATGATATAAATAATAGAAAAGTGTATTAGTCTGTTCTCATGCTGCTAATAAAGACATACCCAAGACTGAGTGATTCATAAGGAAAAACAGGTTTAATGGACTCACAGTTCCACATGGCTGAGGAGACCTCATAATCATGGCAGAAGGTGAAGGAGAAGCAAGGCATGTCTTAGATGGCAGCAGGCAAGAGAGTGTGTGCAGGGGAACTGCCCATTATGAAATCATCAGATGTCATGAAACTTATTTATCATTATGAGAACAGCATGTGGAAAACCAGCCTCCATGATTCAATTACCTCACACCGGGTCCCTCCCACAACATATGGGGATTATGGGAGCTAAATTTCAAGATGAGATTTGGGTAGGGACACAGCTAAACCATATCAAAAAGCAGTAGAGAAAATCAATAAAACCAAAAATTTATTTTTTTAAAAACTCAACAAAATTGACAAAATTTAGCTGGATGGACTAATAAAAAAAGAGATGACTTAAATTATTAAAATCAGGAAAGAAAGTGACAATTTTTCTACTGATTCTATAGAAACAAAAAGGATTATAAGAGAGTAGTATGAGAAATTGTAGGACAACAAATTAGATAACCTAGACAAAACGAACAAATTCCCGGAAACACGAAACCTACCAAGACAAAATCATGAAGAAATAGAAAATCTGAGTAAACATATTAACTAGTAAGGAGATTTAATCAGTAATCAAAAAGCTCCCAACAAAAAAAAGTCCCGGACCTGTGGCTTCACTGGTGAATTCTACCAAACATTTAAAGAAAAACTAATACCTATCTTTCTCAAACTTTTCTGAAAAATTGAATAGGAGGGAACACTTCCTGACTCATTCTATGAGGACAGCATTACCTTGATGACCAAGTCAGACAATAACACTGCAAGTAAAGAAAATTACAGATCAATATTCCTTATTAACATTGATGCAAAAATCATCAAAAAACATTGGCAAACATGACACTGAATAGTGAAAGACTGAAAACTTTTCCTCTAAGATTAGCAATAAGGCAAGGATGCTTGCTTTTACCACTTCTATTCAACATAGTACTAGAAGTTCTAGCCAGAACAATTATGCAAAAAAAGAGAAAAGAAAAGAAAGAAAAAGCATCCAAATTGGAAAAAAAAAAATGAACTTACTTCTTGCTGTTTTTGCAGAGGATTATTATGTAGAAAACCCTAAGGATTCAAAAATATATATCTGTTAGAACTAATAAATGCTGTCACAGAAAAGTAGCAAAATACAAAGTTACCACTAAAAACTCAGTTTAACAATCTGAAAAAAAATTACAAAAACAATTACGTTTATAATAGCATCAAAAATAATAAAATGCTTTGAAATTAACCAAGGACATGAAAGACATACAATGAAAACTACAAGATATTGCTGAAAAAAAATTAAAGACATAAATAAATGGAAATATCTTGTGTTCATGAATTGGAAGGCTTATTGTTAAGATGTCAATACCACCCAAAGTAATCTACAGATCTGATGCAATCTCTATCAAAATCCCAAAAACAATTGTTGCAGAAACAGTAAAACCTGTTCTATATAATTCATGTGGAATCTCAAGGGACCCTGAATAGCCACAGATACCTTGAAAAATAGCAAAGGCATGTCTCACATGGCAGCAGACAAAAGAAGAGGGCTTATGCAGGAAAACTCCCTCTTATAATAACCATCAGATCTCAGGAGACTTACTCACTATCACGAGAACAGCATGGGAAAGACCTGCCCCCATGATTCAATTACCTCCCAGTGGGTCCCTCCCACCACATGTGGGAATTCCAGATGAGATTTGGGTGGGGACACAGCCAAACCATATCATCATGCTATCTGATAAGGGATTAATATTCAGAATATATACAGAACTCTTAAAACTCAACAACAGAAACCCAATCTGATTCAAAAATAGGCAAAGGACTGGAATAGACATTCATCTAATAAACACATGAAGAGATGCACATCATCATTAATCATTAGGGAAATACAAATCAAAACTACAAGCCATAACACCTCACACCCATTAGAATGGCTACTTAAAAACAAACAAAAAAAAAAACCATAAAATAACAAGTACTGGTGATGATGTGGAGAAATTGGGACCCTTGTGCACTGTTAGTAGGAATGTAAAATGGTACAGTTGTTGTAGAAAACAGCATGGCAGTTTCTCAAAAAAATTAAAAATAGAATTATCATATGACCCAGTAGTTTTACTTCTGAATATATATACCCAAAAGAATTGAAAGCAAGATCTCAAAGAGATATTTGTACACCCATATTCATAGCAGCATAATTCACAATAGCTAAAATATGGAAGCAAGTGCCCATTGACAGATGAAAGGATCAGCAAAATGTAGCATACATACACAATGGAATATTATTCAGCCCTAAAAAGGAAAGAAAGTCTGACATATGCTACAACATGAATGTATCTTGAGGACAAAATGCTAAGTGAAATAAGCCAGTCACAAAAAGACAAATACTGTATGATTCCACTTATATGAGGTAGAGTAATCAAAATCATAGAGACAGAAAATAGAATGGTGCTTGCCCGGTGCTGAGGGGAGGGGGAAATGGGGCATTATTGTTTAATGTGTGTAGAGTTTCAATTTTACAAGATGAAGAGGTATGGAGATGGATGGTGGTGATGGTTGCACAACATTATGAATGCATTTAATATGCTAAATTATACATTTAAAATGGTTAAGATGGTAAAAAAAAAAGTAAAGGATAAATGTTACCAAAAAATAAAGCAAAGATGTAGAAATCAATAATAAATCTGTGTAAATAATTATTGAAACAGTGGAGATTAAAAATAACAGACTACTTAGCATAATATTAAAATAAACTAAAAATCTAAATGAAATGGATAAATTCATAGGATAATACAATTTATCAAATTTGACCTTAGTAGAAATCAAAAGCTTAAAGAAACCAATTTCCATAGAAAAAAATAGAAAGTCATAATAGAACTATTCCACAAAAGAAACATCAGGCTTGAATGATTTCACAGGTGAATTCCACCAAACGTCCAAAGATCAGAAAATCTTAATACCACTTAATTGTTTCGAAGCATAGAAAAAGAAAAAAATTCTAAAAAATTTAATGAAGGAAGTATAACATTTCTACCAAAATTTGGTAAAAATAGCACCTTCCCAAATTTATAAACAAATGGCCTTTTCGAATATTGACGTAAAAACTACTGAATTAAATATTAGCAAACAGATTGAAAGATCATATTAAAAAGAGAATTATCATGACTAACTAGGATTTATTCCAGGCATGAAAGAATAGATCAATATTTAAAAATCTATTAATATAATTTACTATATTAATAGAGGCAAATAGGAAATGAATATAATTTTCTCCAAAGACCCTAAAAATAAAATAAAATTCCAAGCTTCAATAAATTTCCAAACACAATCCAGGTAAGGACTGATGGATATTGCTGAATAAGATTTTCAGAATGCATATCTCAGTCCTGAAGCTAGAATCTTACTCCATTGGGAAACACTAGAGGCATTCCCTTAAAGCCCCTAAACAAAGCAAGCTTTCCCACTATGTATTCAAGGTATTAACTAATGCAATCAGACAAAACAAACCTTTTAGATGTGAGAATTAGAGAAGAAATATTAACAAATCTATCTTTATGTTTTATTTTATTTATTTATTCATTTATTTATTTGTTTTGAGATGGAGTCTCACTCTGTCGCCCAGGCTGGAGTGCAGTGACGCAATCTCGGTTCACTGTAACCTCCGCCTCCCGGGTTCACACCATTCTCCTGCCTCAGCCTCCGGAGTAGCTGGGACTACAGGTGCCCGCCACCATGCCCAGCTAATTTTTTTGTATTTTTAGTAGAGACGGGGTTTCACCATGTTAGCCCGGATGGTCTCGATCTCCTGACCTCGTGATCCGCCCACCTCGGCCTCCCAAAGTGCTGGGATTACAGTCGTGAGCCACCGCACCCGGCCACAAATCTATCTTTATTAATGTGATAATATACCTAAAGGTATATGTCAAGGGACAATCAACACCAATATTAAAATACTTCAGTAAGATACCAGAATATTGAATTAATACAAATCAATAGCTTTTATACACGAATAACCAGTTTAATATAACAAGGAAGAATACTTCATTTACAAAAGCATTGAAAAAATCAGGAATTAGGCTTAACAAGAAATGTGCAAAACATGTAGGAAAAAACTTGAAAACAGTCTTAAAACCACAAAAATAAACTTGAACATCGAAAGATCACATTTCTTTGGATAGTGTGATAGACAGAATAATAGCTACCCCCCTCTGCAAAGATGCCCAGGTCCAAACTGCCAGAGCTTGTGAATATGCAACCTTGTGTGGCAAAATGGACTTTGCAGAAGTGATTGCATTAACGATATAGAGATGCGGAGATTGTCCTGAATTATCTGAGTGGGTCCACTATAATCACAAGGATCCTTGTAAGAGGAAGTCAGGAAGGTCAAAGTCAGAGAAGGCACCATGAGAGCAGAGGTGAGAGAGGTTTGAAAATGCTGTGCTCCTGTCTTTAAGGATAGAGGAAGGATCCATAAGGCAAGGAAGATGGAGAAAACAAATAAATGGATTATCCCCTAAGTCTCCAGAAGCAATACAGCCCTCTGACATCTTGATTTTATGAGACTGTTTTTGGACTTTTGACCTCCAGAATTGTAAGATAATAAACTTATGTGGTTTTAAGTCACATTAGTGATAATTTGTTACGGTAACAGGAAACTAACACATATTTAATGACTCAACAGCATTAAAAATGCCAGTTCTCCAAAGTTAAAATACATTTAATGTGATCCCAATAACAATATTTTTAGGTTTTATTTTCTAGATTTAGACAAGTTGCCTCTAAAATATATTTATGTAAAAATAGCTAGGAGAAATAAAAAACCCTGGAAAAAAGAGAAGTGAGGGCAGTCTAGCTATACCAGAAATTAAAACATATCACAAAGCCACTGTAATTAAAATATTATGGAAATAGGGCACAAGTACAGAGACCAATGGAAGTGAATAGAAAATCAAGAACTAAACCCAAGTACATTTGAAAGTTTAGCATATGAAAAAGATTGCATCTCAAATGACTGGGATAAGAAAATGTTTAATAAATTATAATGAGAAAATAATATATTGCCAACTATGACTCAGAATCCAGATAAAAATAAACTACATATGTACAAAAAATTTTGCAAGGTCAAAATGAAAAAGAAAAATCAAGAAACAAATTATAAACTAGTAAAGAAATGATTACAAAGTATGTCACACTTACAGGACTGATCTGCCTAATATATAACATATTCTTGAATTCTGATGGAAAATACCAAAACCCTATTTTTTAAAAGGTGGAGGATGGAGCAAATGGTATAAACAGAGTCCACAGGAAAATACATGTAAATGCCCTTTAAACATTAAAAAATCCACAACTTCACTCATAGTAAGAGAAATGCAAAATGAAACTATATTGAGACACCAATTCTCACCATCAGATTGCCAAGAATTCAAAAGCTTGACAACATTCTGTTAGAACAACATTCTCACACATTGCTAGTAGAAATGCAAAATAGCACAGCCTAATGGAGGAGGATTCAGCAATATGGAACAAAATAGCATGTATCTTACTTCTTGACTCTGTAATACCACTTCTAGGATTTTATCTTTAAGGTGCACCTCCAGAATTTATATAAACTTCTGGTTTCCAGTCCAATACATAAAAAGCTTAGAAAAAAAGAAAAAAATAAAAAGCTGAACAAACTGAAAACCAACACTTTTCTTAGGTCCACCAGAGAATTAAGGTTAGAGCAAGCCACTGCCCTGAACATTGGAGAAGAAAATACAAGAATCATAGCCTCCTGATAACAGAAACTGCCACTGGAGCCAGCAACTGGTAGGAAATTGATAAGAAGACAAAGGTAATTGACTAATTGTTGGAGACAGTGTGTTCTAGCTTGAGAAAAAAATATCTTGGGAGCCATCCATAAGGGGTCCCACACTTTTATGAGTTTTCATCTTCGGAATCCCTGTTTCCCAGGGTGAAGTTCTGAAAAAAAAAAAAATCCTTTTTGATTCCTGAAGAGGGAGGAGGAAAGTAATCATTTTGAAATATACCTAGAGTTTTCTCTTGTTTTAAACAAAGGTCTGCCCTCAAGGACAAATATTTTACCACTGCTTAACTTACATGGGAGAAGAGAAGTACTCTATTTCAGCCCCCTATAGACTTCCTGTCTCACCTAAAAAATAGGAAAACAAGCTGAGAAGAATTTATGAAGGCCACAGCCCAGGAGCATAGGCTCACTAAAAGACTGAGACCTAATCTTAGTAGTACAGAACACTCTTCTCCCCGACTCCTCACCACCACATCAATGGAGCCCCTATATAATAATTGGAGAACACAATTGAAAGAACTGCAAGTCCTGAGACCTCACTGTAGAAGTCTCTAGGGAAACCCAAAGATAACAGGGCAGAGAAAAACAAGAACACCAGAGGACATTTTAGCTTCTGACACCTGCAACAAACAATAAACACAGCCCAATTCCCATTCAGATAAACAAAAAAGCTGAAGGCCTATGTACCTCAGTTCTTTTACCTGATATGTTCAGTTTTCAACAAAAAATTATAGCACATGCTAAAAGGCAAAAACAACAACAACAACAACAAAAAAAAACCCCACCATCTGAAGAGACAGAACACACATCAGAACCAGACCCAGGTGTGTCGGAGATTTTAGAATTATCAGACTGGAAATTTAAAATAGCTATGATTAATATACTAAGGGCTCTAAAGGAAAAAGTGGAAAACATGCAAGAACAAATAACAATGCAAGCAGAGAGATGAAGTCTAAGAATGAATCAAAAAGATTTTAGGATGCTTTTTGCTAGCATCAAAAGGATGCTAGAAATAAAAAACACAATAACAGAAATAAGGAAAGCCTTTGATCAGTAGACTGGACATGGCTGAGGAGAGAATCAATGACCTTGAAGATGTGTCAACAGAAACTTCCCAAACTGGAAGACAAAAGGGAAAAAATGTTGTGGTTTATTTTTAAAGTGGAACAAAATATCTAAGAGCTGTGGAACAATTACAAAAATACGTAACATATGCATAGTGGGAATACCACAAGGAGAAGGAAGAGAGAAAGGAACGGAGGATATACCTCTGCAAATACAAAACAACATATGCATGAACTGAAGCACTATTTTTAATGGCAAAATTTTGGAAGCAATTTAAATGTATATCCATAAAAGACATAGATACATTGTTATAGAACCAAACTGGAGTCCACTCACCCAGCACAACAAAGCCAAGCACTGACAATGGGTTGGCAGCAAGAGAAAGTGAGGCATTTATTTGCAGGGCATCAAGCAAGGAGGATCAGGCAGCTAATGCTTAAATTCTGACCTCTCCAGTGTCTTGCAGATGAGGATTTTGAGAGGCGGGGGTAAATTTCAGGAAAGTAGAAGTTAAAGGCAAAATCATAAATCAATACATGGAGGTTACATATTGGTTTTGGCCTAAAAGGAATTATTTTGAGGTGTGTGGGGCTTACAGATCATAGGTAGATTCAAAGATTTTCTGATTTGCAACTGGTTAAGGAAAATAAGCTTTGTTTAAAAATTTGGGGTCAGCAGAAAAGAACGTTAGCTCTTGCTTGTGGGTGTGACTTTCTCTAGGCCACTCAGAATGCAATTTAGAACAAAGAAAAGTGGTCAGAATACAGTGCCTAGTTCCCCCTCATGTGAGTTTTATGTGCTGGTGAATCTGTTCAGTGGGAATCTGGGTTTCTGAAAAACAACTCAGAGACATATGTTAAGATGTTATCTTTAGTTTCTATAGGGAACCAAATATGCCATTGTTCTAGTTTCCTTGGCTATTGTTTTAGACTACTATTATCTTCTTGCTTATCCAGTTGCTTCTTGGGACTGGGTAGGTGTCTGGAACGTCCCTTGAAGGACCTCAAGTTTTTCCTTTATTTCCATGCTCCATCTCAAAATAAGCTATAATTTGTCCACTTACATTTTAACGCTATATGGCAGTGTCAGTGACTTTCTAATCAGAGAGACTCCAACTTAGATAGCAGCTGGGTAAAATAAGGCTGAGACCTACTGGGCTGCATTCCTAGGAGTTTAAGGCATTCTTAGTCACAGGATGAGATAGGAGGTTGACACAAGGTACAGGTCATAAAGACCTTGCTGATAAAACAGCATGCAGTAAAGAAGCTGGCCAAAACCCACCAAAACCAAGATGGTGACAGAAGTGACCTCTGGTCGTCCTCACTGCTCATTACGCACTAATTATAATGCATAAGCATGCTAAAAGACACTCCCACCGGTGCCATGACAGCTTACAAATGCCATGGCTACATCAGGAAGTTACTTTATAGGGTCTCAAGAGTGGAGGAACCCTCAGTTCCAAAAATTGCCCACCCCTTTCACGGATAACTCATGAATAATTTACCCCTGGTTCAGCAAATAATCAAGAAATAGCCAGAAAAATGGCCAACCAGCAGCTTATGCTGTTGCCCTGCCTGTCGAGTAGCCATTCTTTACCCCCTTACTTTCCTAATAAACTTACTTTCACTTTATGGATTCGCCTTAAATTATTTCTTCTGCAAGATCCAAGAACCCTCTCTTAGGTCTGGATCAGGATCCCTTTCTGGTAACAACAGAAGCAAAGAATAAAGATCTCTAATAACTGATATGGAATGATTTCTAGGATATATTGTTAAATTTAAATGTTTAATTTAATTTTTAAGTGCAAAACTTTTATATAGTATGTATTGTTTTATATATTACATTATACATATTAAAATACTGTTTTTATGAAATAAGAGGCTCAATTTCAGAAAAACAAATCCAAGCAAGACAAACTAGAAACAAATAAAATTATTTATAGTGGATACATATGAATAGAGTGGAAGAGATGGGGATAGAAATGAGACTTCTCTAAGTATATAATAACTTTTTTATATGGTTCTCATTGTTGAACCATGTAACCCTTTTACATAATCAAAAATAAAATCACACTGCTATAAACAACTGCCCGAGGCTGGGTAATTTATTAAGGAAAGAGGTTTAATTGACTCACAGTTCTGCATTGCTAGGGAGGCCTCAGGAAACTTACAATTATGCTAGAAGAGGAAGCAAACATGTCCTTCTTCATATGATTGCAGGAAGGAGAAATGCCAGGCAAAGAGGGAAAAGCCCCATATAAACTATGAGATCTCTCGAGAACTTACTATCATGAGAACAGCAGCATGGGAGTAACCACCCCTACGATTCAATTACCTCCCACCAGTTCCCTCCCATGACTTGTGGGAACTACAATTCAATATGAGATTTGGGTGGGGACACAGCCAAACCATATCACTAAGATTTTTTTTTAAAATAGCAAAGAAATCTTAAACTTTTTCATATGTTTGTTATTAGAGGCAGTATTGGCATAATTCTGAAACTATTTGTTGAATATAGTAAATATGTAAACAAATAAATATAGTGATGTTTAGGGGTACAGGTTCTCACTGTGGAGTAAGGAGAATCTAATATGAAATGGTGAAAATGAGTGGTACTGGGTTTTGATTAGAGATATCCATATAAACTCAGAATTTTATGTTTCCTAACTCTGTCCACTGTAAGCACAGCATATTAAATTATATCCTCAGAGAAGCTTCATTTCAATTGTTATTCCTCCAACTCACTCCCACTTACTTCCCATAGGTAACCATTCCCATTGTTTACTGATTTATTGTTATCAAGTTTCATTCTACAAAATAAGCAAACATACACATATATACATGAAACATTTATATTTCTCCTTTCTTACACAAAAACTGGCATGTACTGAAACTTAATGTCCAGTACTTGATTTCTAAACACTAGTCTTCAGTGAAACAAACTAGGATTCCTTAAAGGAAGGACTGATTCCAAATCAAAGGCAGAGAAATTACAAACTAAGCTTAGAACATTTTCTGTGCTAGACAACAAGGGAGGCACAAAGACTGAAGGGGATATATCCAGATGACACAGGAGCCAGCTTGAAAGAGCTCTGATTAGAAAAATGTCACACAATTTGAGCATCAAAATAACCAATGAAGGTAATGGACTATAATATTGAATTTTAAAATCCATAAATTCATAGTGATACTGAAAGAGAAAAAAAAGATTGTGGTGGTGGGAGGAGGAAGTTCTTTATTACAGGAGAAAGCCATCTAATAAGGGCAGAAAGGATGATAGAATTAGAATATAATCATTGACTTCAGGCAAGAATCATCAATGGAAGCTAAAACCATTGGGTTAATGATTGTTATACATTTACCTGTCTTCAAAGTAACACCTATCCCTCACCAGCAGTTTACTTCCTAAGTATAAAGATAATGAGGTACCTTTAAAATAGATCTGGAAGACAACACCTTATCCAAGTGATCCAATTTATCATCACCACAATCACGGAACAATCTGATATTATATGCCTCCTGATGTGACACATGAGAAGTACACAGCATCAACTATGTACAATCCTTGCTAAATATATATGTAGATATATATTGACTGTAAATCTAATCATGAAGAAATAATTATACAAATGCAAATTATGAGATAGTCTACCAAGAAGCTAGCCTAGATTTCTCAAACAGTAATGTCATAATATACACAGAATTCACAGACAGATGGGGCAGTGTTCTTGATGAAAAGAGACTAAAGACGAATAATTACCAAATGCAGTGCTTGATCCATGACTGGATTTGGGATGGTGGGGTGGGTGGGGAGGGGACAAACAGCTTTTAAAGAAATGTTTGGATCATTTGGGAAAACTTGAAAATGGGCTATAAATTAAATAGCATTATTGAATTAATGTTAAGTCTCTTGGGTGTAATAATGGTGAGGTTACGCAGGAAAATCTTATTCTTATAAGAATTATGATGACAATTTAGGGATGAAGTGTCATGATGTCTGCAGCTTACTTTCAAATGATTGAGAAATAAAAAAATATATGCACATATAGTGACAGACACAGACAGCAAAAGCAAGAGAAAGAAAAAGAGAGAAAGAGAGTGCAAATACAGCAGAATATTAACAATTCATAACTCACGTGTAAGGCATACTGATATTTATTTTATTATTGCAATTTTTCTATAGGTTTGAATTTTCTCAGAATAAAAACTTGAAAAAAATACAAAAATTAGGAATAGTTTATAGGCTTGTAAATGAGTAAAGATGAAAAACATAAATATATTTTAACATGATTTGTAACTATAGCCATGTAAATTACTTCTATTATAAATGACTGAGTAGCTGATGCTACACTTAGGAACAATGCCAAAACTGCAAAATCACGAAAAAGGTTTTAAAATGTTGTTTTGAGCACTAAGAAAAAGTGTATGATTTTAATAAAGAAAACTCAATTTCTTCACATCTCCACTAAATAAATATTGAAAAATTTAAAGGCTATCATTTAGAGTTTCCAGGTCAAGACAGAGGATTTAACATACACATTTAGTTCTGCTCTCTCCCAGGTTACAGACTTATTTTATTCTAGTTTTTGGAATAAATCTGTGAGGATAAAGAGTACTGAAGAAAAAACTACAATAATATTTTGATATTAAAATCAGATGAAGAGGTTGGTAGTATCTGACCCAACAGTTGGGAGAGTGCCGAATCTTAAACTGTGGTGATAAAAGCCAAAAAGCAATTCAATTTACACTGCAGATTCTTCAAAGGCTCAGGAATTGGCAACATAAGTGGGCACTGAAAGAGGGGAACTGGCAGGGAAGTTTGTTAAAAAAGCAGAATCTCTTTTCCACTCTTCATAGCCATAAATCTGACTCTTCTCCATAAACTGGAGGTTTCTTCTCTGGAAAGCTTAAAACAAGCACGTTAAAGGTAACAGTGCCATACTGAAACAGAGAGATTAAATAAAAATTTACATCAGAGTATTGAGAGCTAACCTCCAACTTTCTTTCTTCACTGAACTTCCAGTAAGCCGGCAGTAACATATTTACCCACCAGACAGGGAATTGGAAGAAATCGCACAATGTGACCAGCCCAAAGAAGTGTTAAATCAAGTTTAGCTTAAAGCTGCCTCCTTATATATTTTAAGTTTGGCCTAAAAATAAAGGTTTCTCTGTATATTGTAAACTATATCTTAAATCGAGTTGTATACAGACTGTAGCCTCCTCTTGTGCCAATCATTGAGTTTTGGCCAATCAAATGTGGCCAACTGTTCAAACTGTGCTCAAATAAGGCGAATGTGTAACTATGATCAATTCAGCTGTTTCTGTACCTCATTTCTGTTTTCTGCATGTCACTTTCCTTTTTCCGTCTATAAATCTTCTTCCACCACATGGCTGCGCTGGAGTCTCTGAGCCTACTCTGGCTCAGGAGGCTGCCCGATTCATGAATCGTTCATTGCTCAATTAAACTCTTTTGAATTTATTTCAGACAATTTTTTCTTTTAACAGAATAAACTGAAAGAAAGTGAAACAGGGGGTTCCCTCAACCAGGATGACAGCCTAGACAGATCACACTAACAGAAAAGCCACAGTTGAGAAGTTTCACCACATAAGCTAAGTGTCCCAGACTTAAATGTGAGGAGATGAACAAAGATCATGAGCCATTTGAGGCAGCATTTAATGTGAAAGACATGGATTAAAAGAACAGAGAAAGAAAAGTAACTGAGGAAACAGACACAACTCAGGAGAACAAATATTAATTTTAAATGATCATTAATATCCTCAGAGAAATGTGACATTATATTCATAAAACAAGAAGAGAATGCTATAAGAAAGGAGCATAGAGAAAATGTTAAAACTTAATAGGAGAAAACAATAACAGAAATTAGAGCAAAAAGGCAAATAGGTAGAAAACAGAGGAGAAAAATATGAACAAACTAGAGAACCAATCTGACATTCAAATAATAGAGTTTCAAAAGGAAAAAGCAAAGACCATGAAGGGAAGGTAATCATTAAGATAAAAATAACAACTTAAGAAAATTTTCCAGAACTGAAGGGATGAGTTTGCTACCAGTCTGCAAACATCCTATTATTCCTTCAAATTAAAAATAAATAAATAAGCTTAGCTCCACCTCCCTTGTCATCACCATCTCATTTCTCTGTAGTTATTTATAGTTAAACACATTGAAAGGGTTAATTCAACTGGCTTTAATTTCTCCCACTCATTTTCTCTTGGATGCACCCATCAAGGCTGTTGCTCCCACAACTCCACTGAAACTGCTCTTCTCTAAGGACACCTATGACTTTCAGGTTGCTAACTCCAACGGCCAATTTGCTGTCCTCTACCACCTGCCTCCAGACACGCAACTCCTGAAATCTTATCCAACTCATTCAATAACACCTTCCTCTTTCCAGTTGCCCAGGCAAAAATACATAAATTAATTATAATCAATTCTGACTCTTTCTTATACATTCCTACATCTATAACACCAAAAAAATCTGCTGGTCCCAACTTCAAAGAGAACCAGAATTTGGCTTAATGTTTATTTGATCACTTTAAGTTAAAAAAGCAGAATCTGTTCAATAGCGTACAAGGTCGCACATAATCGGATGCCTCTTACCTCTCATACCTCATCCCTTCTAGTGACCCCTTTGCTCACTCTGCTCCAGTGACATTGGTCTCCTGTCATCCCTGAATACACTGGACATCTGTCCTGCAGGTCTTTGCATATGTGCTTGGAACATCCTTTGTCCAGGAATCAGCATCACTTGCTTCCTTAGCTCCTACAGGTCTTAATTCAAATGTCACCTTCTTGGTGTGGTATTCCTTGAGCACCTTATTTAAAACTGCAACCACCCCAACTCTCCCCCATTGGAATTTCCTATCCATCTTCCCCATTTTATTTTTCTCCGTAGCATTTATCACCATTTAGCACACTAACTGTTTACTTATTTTGTTTGCAGTCTTTCCCTTTGATAGGAGTGTAAGCTCCTTGAGGGCTGATATTTTTCTGTTTTGTTCTTTGTTGCATCACCAGCATATAAAATAGTGTGTGGCACATAACGACACTCAATAAATATTTGTGGAATGAATGACTGAATAAATGAATGCTGAGTGCGTAGCACAGTGGATGAAAGTAGGTCCACACCAAGAATATAATCAGGAGGAAGGCAAAGAAAAGACCTTACACATTTCTGCAGAGAAAAAAAATAGGTCACTTACAAAGAACCAAAAATCAGAATATCATTAATTTTTCAACAGCCATAATAGAAGGTAGATGCGATGGAACAATTTATTCAAAATTCTGAAAAAAAAAGGTCCTTCCTAGAATCCTGTAGACAAAGTATTAATTAAATGTCAATTTTTTGCTAAAGACACTTACAAACACTTGAAGTTTTCATACTAGAACATTTCATAGAGAGTTATTCTCTAGAAATGCTCCTCCCAAAAATAACATTATAACTAACTATTGCCCCTTCTTTAAGTCTTTTCTAACAATGCCACTTTTTCACCAAGGCCTACCCTGACTTCCTCCAATTCTACATTGAAGCTCCTGATCCCAGTACCCCACTAATATCCAGGCAAGAGGGCCTCTAACCTGGGCCCTAGGTTTTGTAGGACTTGACTTATAATGAATACACACATTGTTAAAGACTACCTGGACACTTCTGTCAGTTGGAATCTGGCCCTCCAGGCTGGCCCAGCACTATCTATAACTATAAACCTCCATTCTCATGATTAACACCATTCAGGCACCAGGCAAATGCTTTTCTCCATCTTTTTCCAGATGTCCTGGAAATAAAAGGAAACTGTGGATGCCACAAAGGTGTGCAGATTGGGGCACTACCAACTTCAAAGAGGGATACTACTTTGGAGTACAGGTAGGATTTGAGCAGCAAGAACACTTAAGTAAGAGACAAATTAACTCTTCAAATGCTTTCTCTCCGATAGCCTGAATGTAATAGATTCTCACAGAAGAAAGTAACAATTTTTAGTGTTGTGGTACGTCCATTTCCTTGCTTCTCTTTGAATTTCAATTTGCATTTCCAAGGTACCCACAAGTTCAGTAGATATTCACAGCAGTCACAGATGTTAGCTGAGGAATATTTTGTAAAGTGAAATGATCCATGTTGCTCTTAAATTTGTATAGCTGTAGGTCAGGCATAACATGGGTCAAGAGTGATGCCAGTTAAATGGGTCCTCACCTGAACTCTTTCTCCAAGGTTCCACAGATGCTAGAGGCAAATCTGTCTGATCCCCTCACCTTTCTCCACTTCTTTCTCCTTGGCACTTGCCACTTCCAAATATACTATGTAATTTACTTCTCCATTATGTTTATTTTTATTATTGGACTTTCTCTGCTGGAATATAAGGTTCTCAAAGGCAGGAATCTAGGATTGTGTTCACTGCTATAACTCAAGACCCTGGAATATATACAGTTTTTTTTTCTAGAATTCTTAATAAGTGTTCAATGAAATTTAATGAATGAGTGGCTTAATTCTATGTATGTTCTTTAAGGAGGCATCTGAAGTATATACACTCCCAAAACAAGAGACAAATCAAATAATAGAAATACATGGGTTTCAAGAAACATGAAGTCCCACAGGATCACATATGAGAGAGAAGCAATGGGCATGCGTAGGATGATGGAGAAAGAAAAACCCACGATGACAGCTGTGCCCCATGCCTGGAAGTCACCGGTGCAGAAAGGAGAAGGTTGAAAGGCCCCAGAGATATTTCATCAAGATGATGGTACTGTCTTAGTCTCTGGGCTGCTATAACCAAGTCCCATAGACCGGATGGCATAAAATGAAGAGAAATTTATTTCTCACCGTTCTGAAGGCTGAAAGTCTGAAACCAGGGCACTAGCATGCCTGGGTTCTTCAGGGCCCTCTTCTGGATGGCAGACTTGACATCTCACTGTGTTCTCATGTGGGGAAAAGAGGATGAGAAAGCTCGCTGTTTCCCCTTTTTAATAACAGCACTAATTCCATGTATGAGGGCTCCATCCTCATTCCACTCACCTTCCACAGGCCCCACCTCCTAATACCATCGCCTTGGAGGTTAGGATTTCAACATGAATTTGGGTGGAGTTGAGGAGACACACATTCAATCCATAGCAGATACTGACTAAATAATCGTATGTTTAAACATACAGAGAGGAAATCTGTGCAACTGAGGAAGTATGTGAGGTTGAGTTATCGATGAGAGGGAAAAATAGGCAAGCATGGCAATTATTAATTCCAGGACACAACATGTTCTACAGCAGAGAAAGAGTGGATATAGTGTACCTCATGGTTGCTAACAGTCACAATAAAGTAAACACAAAACATCAATATAGGTGTTTGGTGGGGAACCGGGGCCAAAGATAACCAAATCATCATTTTACAGGTGGGGAATCAAGAGATTATGCCTGAAACAAAAAAATTCAAGTAGCAATATGAGAAGTGGGAGGTAAATCCTGGAAAAATCAGCCTAGAGACTTGAGTGTGGCTGTTTCAGGAGAGAGAGAAGTAGAGTGGAGGACAGCAGGGAGGACTTCAGCTTTTCATAATAAGCCTGGAGTTGCTGATACTCTAAAGTACATGCATATAAAACATTGATTAAAAAAAAGGACTCTAAAAACACAAACCTCACACAAAAATTGCATTTCCTTGTATAGACATATGGATGTAAATGGAGAGAGGGAGGTTTGCATGCTGCACTGTGGACAGTGGTTACCTCTGTTAACTGCAGGGCCTCTGGAGACCGGAGTGAGATGACAGGTGAGGAGGAACTCGGCGACTCTCATGTTTGCTGTACTTACTTTTATATTGTTTTTATCTTAATGAAAATGTACTCATGGATTGTTTGAGGCAAAAAGACACAATACAGAGAAGGGGAAATGACATTTTGAAGAAGTTACCATTATCTGGGGCAGCTCCTTATCTAACCGTGGATTGGAATGGGAGGCAGAGAAGGGAAAAGAAGCAGGAAGGCTCATTGTAGATAGGAAAATGAGAGTTGGAGTCCTCCAGAGACGAAAGCCCGAAAGAGGAATTTCAACCATGAACAAAAACATGAAACTTCTGGGCTTTATAGAGGCATATTATTTCTAAAGAAAGATTGGTCCTCAGACTATGTCTTTGATAAAACCTAGAATCATTCCCTTACAACTGAATGCAACAGCAAAACCCCACACACCTTACACTCAGAATTTAGATTTGCATCCATCTATGGAATGGGATTTTTTAAAGCAAAGAAAGTATCTTTCTAGGAATGGGCTGCATGAAGCCTGTCTCCTGCCCTCTGGCCAGCCTCACAGATGGGCCACTCTGGCCAGCAGCCACCCAGCACTGCCCTTGAGCGTTCTCAGCCTACTCAGTCCTGGCAGGCGCCCCCTGCCAGAGGCCCCTGGGAGTCATCATGTTGTAGGCCATTACAGCAGAACATTGCTCTGCTGCAGGGGCAGCTGGCTGGCCCCAGGAGATCACTGACAGATGTTACACCTCCCTCCCCACAGTCACCAAGAGCAAGGGGAGGGAAGAGGCAAAGGAGTGTGTCTCCTATGGGATAGATGGTGGCCAAGCAGCAGGCCAGCGGGATACCAGAGAGGCAATGCCTTTACCAAGCAAAAAACAAAAATAAAAACAAAAAACCCTCTTCTTGCACAGTGGTAGGTCAGAAAATAAAAAACTATGCTTTTGTGGGTTTGGCTTCTTTTTTGCTTAGGTTGGGTTGTATGAAGAAAGAAAGGGGCTGTGAAATCACAATACATTGTTATCTATCTATGCATACATTAAGCCTTGCCTATTTATTGGCTTAATCAACACCAACTGAGACATAGCGTAATAATAGCCAACATTCATTGAATACTGAATTATATATAATTGCCACGCTTGTGCCCCACTCCATGCTAAGACTTCATATCTGTTAGCTCAGTTAATCAACACAAACATGATCATTTTAATCTTGTCAATGAGAAGATGGAACTTGGATTAAATAAGTAGCCCAAGATGACAATGAAATCTGAGCACTAGGATGGCACCATTTGTCGCCAGCTCTTAAGTATCACCCTCCACTACCTCCCACAACATTAGAAGTAGATTTTGAGCTGGATGATCTATGCCAATCAGAAAAAGCTTAAATTTACTTTAGGCTGCAGTCTTTCCAAATGATTTGGGGGTTAGGACAATGAAGTTAAGCACAATGAAGGCTGAAGTAGGGGGTAGAAATGCAGTAGTATGGTGATGATCCAGGCCCTCTGAACTTATGTAAAAGGACTAATCCAGACTGTGCTCATTGGTGGAAAAGCAAATCCATTAGCTGCAAGTGTGCCTCTCATTGGTTTAAAGCCCACACCAGCAAGAGCATACAAGAAGCTGGCCTTCAGCCCCTGCCGCTGGGTGAGGTAGGGGCAGGCAGAAGCAATGTGTGGGAGAGATTGGAATGATGAGGACAGTGGGGTAGAACGGGGACTAGAGGGTCAGTCAGAGAAGGCTAACTCAACTGCCATAACCACTGAGGAGTTTTGAGTAGGGGAGATCATGATTAAAAAAATAATTATATAGCAACTGTAGGCAAAGTGGACTGGAACAAGGAAAGATGAGAATTAAGAAAGCAGTTCAAATGGCCAGGAAGGCATTCTTCTAAACCCTAAAGGCCTCATGGCTATAAAAATCATGGAAATGATATTTCAAATGATCAAAACAACCTTGCAAATGAAAGAGAGACTCAGCTTCCACCGCCTTCTAAGAGGTGCCCTCTGAACTGCCTGCCTGCTGGCCTCCTTCTCCATTCCTTCTGTCCTCCTACGTGAGAATTATCTGCTGACAGTGACCATGGTGGGGGCAGGAGGCCAAGGATGATTTCTTTTCCATGAGGATTGCTTTGCAATTGCCCAGTTCCAGCAATACATATGCAGCTCTGTGTAGAGAGGAGTTTGCATTGAATCTGTTAGAAAGGAAACTCCAAAAACCTCTGTTGGAAATGACAGCTCTTGACAAGATGAAAGGAGGTGTCTTGCTCAGATCTTCACTTAAAACAATCTGGAGTTCCATTAGTATTCATTGAGGAGCTGCAGCACAGAACGAGTACAAGCACCATGAATAAAATTAAAACCGGTATTGACTCTCAGCACAGTGGAGGGTGGGAGGGGAGCTGACCAGACTTCCACAGCCTTGATTCTTAGTGGCCAGACATGACCCATCCAAAGCATTGTGTGTACATTTTAAGCTGGTATCAACAACCGCCCCACCACTATGCCTTTAAGCCTGTCCACACCCACTTTCCAATTTCCAGGGATGAAGTCAGACAGAGGCACCCCCTTCATTATTCCTAACAAGCATCCCAGATGTACACCATCCTGGTTCTGCCTTAATCTGGCTCCTGATCTTGGCTCCATGCCATGCTATAATTCTTACCTTGACCTTTGGGCTTTCTGTCTCACTAATTCTGATGCTTCTCTCTTCTTCGGGGTGTTTGATTTATAAGTTTCCCCCCTCTGAACTCTGAAACTGGGAGTTCGAATCTACTCTAGACCACAGAATACCCTGACCTGGTCTTCCCATTGATGTGCAAACCTCAGCTCTGATCCATCCTGCTTGGACCATCTTAAATTGAGTGGGGAGTAGGGGTAGGGCCACCTTGCAAAACTGCCTCTTGCAAAACCTACTAGGCTAGATCTGATCATAGTCCTCATTTCCCTGCCCCAGTCACAAGTGTACAACATCCACCTAAGAGGTACGAGGAAGAAAGGGGAAACGTTTCCTAGAAGGTGAAGTTATCCCAGGAAAAAGAGTTGAAAAAATCCCATTTGCCTTTTCTTGGCTCCTTTTTGTCATTCCTCCAGGGTTAGGGTGACCTGGCTCTTTGGAGGTCGGATATGTCCTCAGCACTTATTTGCAAGGTCATGTTAGCCCCTAATTGTGCTTGCAGCTGCAGCTAAAGGCTCCAGAAGGTCCTCTGTTCCAGAAAGCATCTCCGTCTGTCACTGCTGTCAGTATGTTTTCTGTTTTCTGGACCTGCCAGAGCAGCTGTCTTCAATGAGCCACATGCAGGATTCCTGCTCCAGAGAATCAGAGCCGAGCAGGGCATCTCTAAGTGCAGTGTACACCACCACAACAGGGCCTGTGTCCTGTGAGGGTCAGGGCATGGGAGAAAGTGAGCTGGCATCTTACCAGATGGCCCTCATCAAAGGCACCGTATTTCCAGGCCCTCTTTATACAATTTTTCAGGTTCATTTTATGACAAAGGACACAAATTACTCTCTCAGCAATGGTTGAGACTCCAGAAAATGCTCTTCTAGGCCCACTTCCCCTGACAACCTCCTTCTACTCCTACCTCCTTACCCTGGCTTTTGTCCTCATCCTCTGCTTCACGCCCACCCTAAGCTTAGCATTCCCTTCTCCCCTTCTTTGTCCCTTTAAGGTCCTGCTTTATGATATAGTCTTCTCTGACTTTGAACGAAATAACTGGTTAGACTTTGACCATGGCTGTGCCTTTTGGACAGATATGTCTGTGGCTTCTGGTCTTCCCGAGGCTGAAGCCCTTTGCAATGGAATGATGGGGACCCTCCTGCATTTAAGGCCTGGAAGTATTGGGACTGGGACTTAGGAGCTCTGGATAGCTGCTGTCTGTACACAGTGAGTCTCACTGTGAATTTTTCCATTGTCTGTGGTTTAGGCATGAAAAGGAGGGGATTGGAGCTGGTTTGGGTTACCTTCAGATGCCACTAACCTCCTGCAAAATGATTCTGATCTAATATGGTGCCTCCCTTACTTACCTGCATTTAACAAGATCACTTCGATACCCCATCACCTTCCAGAAGCTGCTACCAGAAGTCCCAGTTAGAAAAGTTGGGTGACTATCACTTTGGTGATACAGGGGAAAACTTCGGTGATATCAAACCAGTCATAAGGGCCAGGAGGATGTCTGTGTCTACACTTAGAGAACCTCTGGAGTTAATTCAGATCTTTCCACTGCCATGAAGCTTTTCTGAACAACTCACAGTGAACGGATCTCTCTCTTCTCTGATGAGTGACAGAAGTACTTTCTTAACCTGTATTTGTCCCTACAATTTCAAATAACCACAGCAGGCCAGGTGGCTCATGCCTGTAATCCTAGCACTTTGGGAGACCGAAGCAGGTAGACCGCTTGAACCCAGGAGTTTGGGACCAGCCTGGACAACATGACAAAATGCTCTCTGTACAAAAAATACAAGAATTAGCAGGGCATGGTGACATATACCTGTGGCCCCAGCTCTTGGGAGGCTGAGGTTGGGCAATTGCTTGAGATGGGCAGGAGGAGGCTGCAGTGAACTGAGATTTTGCCACTGCACTCCAGCCTAGGTGACGGAGCCAGACGCTATCTCAAAAATAAAATAAAATGAAATAACCATATCAAATACTTCTATGGTGCTTACTATGTGCCATGCATGGCAATACGCACTTTATAGATATTATTAACCCATTTAATCCTACAACAACCCTTTGAAGTAGGGTCTATTAATATTATCCTTATTTTTTTAGAAAAAGAAACTGGGCACAGAGAGGTGAATTAACTTACCTAGAGAAACAGCACTAGTAAGGGGTGGTGCCTGAATTTGAAGCTGGAAGTCTGGCTCTAAAACTCAGGTCTCATAAGCCCCAGAATCAAATTATTTCTGTGACAACCTGCCTTAGTCCATTTTTCATGTGGCTGCTTCATTGTTGGTCATTTTTGGTACCTACACTTTATCTTTAAATTATGTCCTGTGATACTTGAAGGCCAATACCATGTTTAATACATCTTTGGGTTTCTAACAATATTAGCACAGTTATATATAGGCTTGCATATACAATTGGTTAATAAGTGACTACTGACTAACATGGTGAACAAAAAAAGAGATTAATCTAACCAATTTCAATCTTTTCTATAACTTATTTTGCCTCCTAAGAATCCCTCCAAGAATATACTTTACTCCCCCGGGAGAGGTTATTTTAAAAACTAAATAACTAAGCACTTAAGAAAAATTCATCCCTCCTGATGAACTGATGTTCATGCTGTTTGCCTTTTTATTTCTGCTACCAAGAAGCTCAAGGCTATGTTTTTTTTCTGTAAAAGACTTGTTATACTTAGTTTAAATATTCTGGTACAATTATACTCCCTCTTTATTATTTGACCCTAAATAAATAAATCCTTGTATGAATAGCTTTACGAATCTTTTATCCATGTATTTTATTGTGAGCTACCTCACTTTCTTTTTGGAGGTCTGATGGTAGACGAGAGTAGGTATGCCTCAGCGTCCTCATCTGTAAAATGGAATAACAACAGTCCCTCCACAGCAGGGTTAGTGTCAGGAATAAACAAACTGAAGCATGAAAAAAAACTTGAGACAGAGCCTGATGTACAATAAACAGTCAAATGTTGAGGGAGACGAGAAGGAGGACAAAGAAGAATTGGAATATTCTTCTAGGTTCCCATAGAACATTTATGTGCATGTGTGTTGAAAATAACTTATATTTCTAGGGCAGGACTCTTCCCTGAATTCCAGACTTGTATATCCAAATACCTACTTATTGCCTCCATTTTTATATCTGATAGACACCTCAAACATGTCCTTACTATCCTAAATCTTTTCCTCCTGTAATCTTTCCCACTTCGGGCAACTTCCAGTGACTTACACCAAGAAACTTAAAATCATCTGTAATTCCTCGTTCTCTCACACCCCAAATCCAATCTCTCAGAAAATTATTTGGCTCTACCTTTGAAATAGACCAAAAATCCAACCACCTCTGCCTTGTACTGCTCACACCCAGTTCAAAGACACCTGCATTATTGCAGTGGCTTCCTGGTGGGACCTGCCTCTCCACCCTCAGAACCCTTCCAGTCCATTTTCGAAGCAGCACCCAGACCGATCTTGTCCAAATATAACTCACCTTCTCATTTCACTTACTAGAAGCCAAAAATCTTTGCCATGACCTCCAAGGCCCTAACTGACTTGGCCCACAGGTTTCTCCCAGACTCTGAATTCTAATACCCGCCCCTCCCCAACTCCTTCCACCACCCTTTTTGGGAAAAGTTAGGCATGTGCTCACCTAACAGTCTTTCTCACATCCCCCCTTGCCAGAGTCCTCAAGGCTCTCCCTTGCCTTCTTCACATCTCAAATGTCACCTTGCTGGCCAGCCTATCCAAAATTGCAGCCTCACACACCCACCTGTACCCCATCATCTCCCCTACTTTGTTTTTTTCTGAATAGCACTTAGCACCATCTAACATGCTCTATGGAGATGACACTCTTACAAATCAAGAGCACAACCTCTAGAGCCAGATTACCTAGGCTGGGTCCCAACTCCACGATCACTAACTGTGTGATGCTGTGCAACTTCTCCTTTCTGTGCCTCGGTTTCCTCATGTTTAAAATGGGGTTGTCGTGACAATTAAACGAGTTGGTATACGTATATAACCTAGAACAATGCCTGGTATAAAGTAAGCACTCTGTAAGTGTTAGCAACAAGTCATTTTGCTTATTATGTTATCTCCCACTAGGACACAAATTTCCCTATGGAAGGAAGTGTGTGTGTTTTGTTCACTGGGTCTGTTACCAGCAATAGGAAAGATGCCTGGCACTTCCTCTAGGTGCTCAATAAATGTTTGTCAAATTAATAAACCTAGAGCCTGGGAGGAAGGTCAAATACAGAATTAGCAGTCATGTCCTTAGACACGCTGTTTGAAGCTTTAAAAGTGACCAAACAGGATGTAGAGGAAGAAGCCAGACTGCAAAGAGAAATTGATGTCAGAATTTTTTCTCAGTATCAATAGTTATGAGATAAGTAGAGGAAGAATCGACAAATGAGGCCAAGAAATGCCCAGATGGCAAGCCTTGGGAAGATCCAAGATAGTGTTTTATTATAAAAATCCAGGGAAAGCTAGGCATGGTGACTCATGCCTGTAATCCCAGCACTTTGGGAGGCTGAGGTGGGAGGGTCACTGGTGCCCAGGAGTTTAAGACCAGCTTGGGCAACACGTGAGATTCTGTCTCTGCAAAAAGATTTTTAAAAATTTAGCTGGGCATGGTGGCATGTGCCTGTAGTCCTAGCTACTCAGGAGGCTGAGGTGGGAGGATTGCTTGAACCTGGGAGGTTGAGGCTGCAGTAAGCTGTGATCATACCACTGCACTCCAGCCTGGGCAGTAGCGAAAACCCTGTCTCAAAAAAAAAAAAAAAAAAAAAAAAAAACAAATAAAAAATAAATCCAGGGAAAAGAAAACTTTAAGACATACGAGTGAGCAGTACCAAGAAATGCAGCGGGTTGAGGCCCTGGTAGGACCACTGGATTGGGCAAACAAAAGAGCACTGGTCACTTTCAAAAGAGCAAATTTAGTAGCAAAGCAGGAAGTGAGCCAAGACCAATGGCAAATTAAGAAGTGGAAGCAGCAGCTATTGACTGCTCTTGAAGTTAAGCAGTAAAAACAAATGGAAACAAACGGAAAAAGAAAAGACAGGAATCAAAATATAACTCTTCTAATTTCACTCATAACGGAAGCCAAAGTCTTTACTATGAGTCTTCAAATGAAGTATTGTTATACTATTTATATATAATAACATACTTATTGATGCTACTTATGTATTGTGTTTTTATGTGTAGAAATCCCCCTGCCACCGCCCTGGTCTCTCATTTTATATTGTGAGATTTTTTTTTTTTTTTAGAACAGGTGCAATTTGGGTATCTGTATACATAACTGGTTCCCAAAAAAGATTAGGGCACAACGTTAGTAAGCTTTCATTTCTTTTTCCCCCTCATAGAACTCAAAACCTCTTTGTGGACTGAACCCATTCAATGAATGTGTCCCGATGGAAAAAAATTTAAGTGACGTGTCCTAAATTAGAGTCTTGAGAGAGGCTTCCCCACCCAACCTCCACAGGAACGAAATGATTTTCTACATTCTTTCAAGGCAACCAAAACAAGTAGGGCTATAGTTATAGTTTACCTTTTTCGTTTTCTGCCCGGTGCTGCTATAGTCGCAACAGGGTTAAGAAGCAAATGTCTCTTACCGACAAGCACTAAGGGGCCCTGCGAAGGAGAAGCCTCTTGGGCTACCTTTAATTGGCTACAGACACATGGGGGAATACAGAAGCCAAACCCTGGAGGGATCTGGCCCGCACCGAGGCCAGAGGAGTGTGCCAGCTCCCCAGAGTTGTGCTCCGGAGTTAAATCCATAACACTCACGGCCAGGTTGTAAATTTCAGGCCATAGTTCATTAACTCCAGAAGTTCAAAACAATACCCCCTGCTCACCCAGTCAATGCAGCTGAGAGTTTTCCCGGCGTGTGATGATCCATCAACAATTGGATTCCAATATCTTTTGCTTCGTTAATAGAGTCACACAAGCCCCTCCTATAGCGCTGGGTAAGATTTCTGCCTACACGTCTGCTTGGCGGAGCTGCATTATACTGGGCTGCATTTTGAACCCCAAACTACAGGCAGACCCCAGGTGCACCTGTTTCTGACCTCTCCCAGCCCAACGTCTCCAGCTTGACCAAAGTTAGCATCAAAATGCCTTCCACGTGCTTGTTTAACTTTAATGAGATGGCTCCACTGCCGATGGAAGGCAGTGCCTATCTTAGAAAACCTTATGCAGCTTTGAGAATCCATATTTTCTCTTAAAATTCATACCTGTAGCTTAGCTCACTTTCAACTCAACTGTTTTCTACAGTCTAAGACGCAAGTCTCTCGCGACTTACTGGGCCCCTCAGAAGTCTCCTCCCCTCCACATGTGGACCAAGCATCTGTCATCCCCCATAAAAGGGCTGGGACAAATTAGCCCTATGCCAAAGGGTGGTCACAGGAGCTACAGCCAAGAAGCAGCCCTGGACTTAGAGTTGTTAGGTTAGGCTGCTCCTGAGTAGCCCAAAGCATGATGAGCCAGAGGTATGGGCATAATCCACCTTCCGGAAACGGTGGTGACTGCCAGAACAAAAAAACCCAAAATCTAGCACTAAGTCCAAGGACAAGGTTGGAGCTGGAAAGAAGGCAAAACCAAAGTCAGGAGCCAGACTGTCCAAGGCAGTGAAGATCAAGGTCAGCAGCGAAGGCAGTGGACTCTAGGATATTTGCTATAAACATTGCTAGAGGCACAGGTCAGTCCAGCTATGGGCACGGGGTGGAGGCAGGCAGAATCAGGAGGCTGCCGCCTTCCCTCACTCAAAACTTCCTTCTTCACCAGCTGAACGCAGTTGAAACAATAAAGGTCCGCAATACAAACAGGAGGGCACCACCGCCACAGTTTTCAAAAGCTTTGTGAAATTCAAATGAGGCTTTTTTTCCTTAGCAACCCTCCCCACTGGGAATTCTTTTCTTGTTTTTCTTGCAGCTCCCAAAGTCTCTTGCTTTCTAAGCCACTGAAACAACGTATATCGTGGACTCCATAAACCTCCATTGCCTATAAGCAGTAGT